>NC_000005.10:95564352-95867382 GCF_000001405.40 Homo sapiens | reverse complement strand
GTGGATGATAATGGCCAATGCTTAAGAAATTTAATTTAGGCATGGGCTTCTAATACGGGTTCAACCCTCCTGGGCTAAGACGCTTCAGTGAAAGGGTGGAGATAAAGAGAACCTACTGTCAGCAAGCTTTCAGAACTGCAAGGCAAACCATTGCATAACCACAGGCTTGATTCACTAGTTGGCCACCTTTATTCAGCTTGTTGAGATTACAATATTCTTGACTTCAAGGATGATTACAGGTTACTAGGCCTTCAGGTTCAAAATTGCCCTCTGCAGCTTTTGTGAACTCCCCTGACTCCCTATGTATTGCCCATTGAGTTCCCTGATTCCTTGTCCTAGAAGTTCTAACATAACTTTGACTTAGGGTTTCATTTAGAACTTTACAAGAAATAAGGTTGTCACCAACAGAAATTGACTCTGTAATGTCAGGTCCTACTGGACTTGAGATTATTTTTCCCTCAGTTTCAGCTGATTCATATTCTCAATGGCTCACTCAGTTATGACTCAATAATGATGATATCATTTTAAATTATAAAATTTGAAGAGAACCATGGACAGAAATAGAAGGGGAAAACATGTAAAATGAATAAGAATAAAAAGAAAACATGTCAAATGAATAACAGTGTTCCTTTGTCTTGGTATAAAATGGAAACTTTTCTAATAATAACACATAATTTACATGAGTGCTTTTATAGTCATTATTTGGTTTGATGTCCATAGCAACTCTGTGAGGTAAGCAGTTGCAGAAGCTGAATCTCAGAGAACCTAAAGGACCAGCTGGAGGCCTCAGACGAGAAAGCAAGTCCTGACCCAGGCCAGGGATTCTTCTGCTCTCTGGGCCTGGTCTTCTTCTCACAACACAACATCTGAGGAACCCAGAGCCCTTTGGTGAAACTAAATAAAATGACATAAACAAAAACAAAGAACTGTGTGCTGACTGAAAAGTGAATGAGATTGAGTAGCAAAATACTAAATATAGGCTGGGCATGGTGGCTCACACCTGTAATCCCAGCACTTCGGGAGCCTGACGCGGGTGGATCACCTGAAGTCAGGAGTTCAAGACCAGCCTGGCCAACATAGTGAAATCCCATCTCTACTAAAAATACAAAAAATTAGCCAGACATGGTGGTGCACACCTGTAATCCCGGGTACGTGGGAGGGTGAGGCAGGAGAATCGCTTGAACCCGGGAGGCAGAGGTTGCAGTGAGCCGAGATAGCACCATTGCACTCCAGCCTGGGCAACAAGAGTGAAACTCCGTCTCAAAACAACAACAACAAAAACTAAATATAGGCACAATGCCCAAGTTTTCTGGGAAAGCTCTTAATGTTCATAACACTCACAGAAGAGAGAAGAGGACAGAGAAGGATCATTGGCCATTCTAAGGAAAAGAAAGAGATGATCATGTACATGAAAGGTAGGATCCAGCAAAAGAACCTGGAGATCAGAAACAACAGAGAATCTACCTTAAGTTCTATCTCAATTTTTAACAAGTTTACTGCTGATCTACTCATACGTTTGCTTTGTTTTGATATATATACACACACATAAATATATAAATAATATCTGCATGTATATTTGATGCATTTTTCATGCTGCCACTACATAGTATGATCTATGATGCAAATAATAATGGCTTGGGTTTTTAAATATAATTTCTATATAGTTTGTTGAATCACATACAACAAAAAATATCTAACATGTTTGGTTCTATTCACAAATAAGTAAATAACTCCAGGTCTTGGTTGTTTTTTATTGCAATTGGGACAGATTTTTGTTTTGTTTTTTAATTATCTCTTTCCCATCTACAGGGAAAACTTCGTGCTCATAAAAAGAAAAGGAGGCTGGAGGGCCCTGGCTGGTCGCTAAGCATTGTACATGCAGCCAGTTGCTACACAGGTTTCCTGATCCTGATTTGAATCTCAGGGGCCAGAGCTGTGTGTGTTCCACAAAAGGCCCTTTGAAACTCCCTTCCCTTCCTGGTTTGACAAAGCCCTAGACGAATGACCTTTGAGGGACGGACGCATTGGTTTGGCTTGGCCTCTGATCTCTCATGAAGGACTGTGAGCCACACTTGTCTGCCTGGGATCTGCTGCCTACTTCCTCCATTTTATTTAGCTCTTTGGTTATTTTCCTAATGAGCTGTCTGTTTGTCTCCAGCCTTCCAGCCAGAAGATGAATGTTTGCAAATCATAAACTAAGTATGTAGCACTTCGGACCTAAAAGGAGTGGTTCCATACGTTGTGAAATCCACCTACTCTGGAGCACTTGCCGGGGCTGTCCCTTTATAGTTTGGCCCTTGGCTGGGCAGTCATGCTACCCTCCAGTGAGAGCTGTCCCCAGCCTTGCATTTACATTCTCCCAAATGCCCACCTCCATAGCTGCCCTTCTTCATCTACCCCACCTTGCCAGATGTGCTTAGGAAGCTAACAGGCAGACCACGTACATACTTAGGGCAGCAGCAATTCACAGAAGAAAAGGAAAAATTAAACATATTTTAATCAACCAGGTGGTTACCATGGGAGAAATTTTTATATTTATGTTGTGGCTTTGAATAGCTTTCATTTTGAAGATGGGGTAGCAGAAAACGAATCTTAATATCTTTGATTCATGGAGACTTTAAAGGTCTTTATCAGGTACTGCTTTCTAGAGTTCTACAGACTGATTTTTGCTCCTCCCTGCTTCCCAGTGAATCTTGTACCCCAAGTTGATGTGACTCAGGAGTTAAATCCTGCTGGAAATCTGGAACTTGTCAAGCCTTGATCTGCCTTAACATGAACTATTTAGCTCCTATTGTTCCACCCTTGCATGACCCCAATTAAGGCAATAATAGAACCCAGTACTTTCAGAGTCTTTAAAGCCAAATGATAAAGCTTTATTCCTTAGTTTTGTGGTAGTTTGGAATCTTCATTTTCATGGAGTTGATGAACACTAAGTATTTACTCTCTTCACATATGCAAAAAAAAATTGTATGACCCCAATCTCTCCTGTCTTCTAAAAGACTTAAGTGCGTATTTTCACTAGATCCTACATAGACCCACTATATAAAATGGGCATTGATATTTTTATTTTTAAGACCTAGTAGGTGCTATGTAACCAAATTCTCCTAAATTGTAAGATGGAGTTGACACACCAAGGCAGAAGCACCTGTGGACATTACGCCCATAGGAGTCAACTTGGGTGGGTACATGGTTGCTGCGCTGGTTGGACCATTTCTGCTCTAAGTCACACCAGATGAGGTTGAGAAGGTTAGGAGTTGACTTAGCAGCTGTTAGTTACTACCAAATGCTGTGTGAGCACTAGATCTCAAAAAACTTTGAAATATATATGTGTGTATATATACATGTATGTATATAGTTGTGTGTATATGTATATGTATATATACAGTGTATATATACATATTTGCACACAAAATAAACCAGGTAGACAGTGTACATCTCTTAAAGGAATTACAACAGCACTTCACAATAAAATTTTAAAAACTATATTGCCCACAGCATTTAAAATATAGTGTAGGTATTTTTGACAGCTTTATGAAGTTTTAGAAAAAATAAAACTATATGCAGAAGACCTAATGATTTGATTTACAATGCCAATTTTAAAATTATATTTTCAGAGTTCAAACAACCAATACATACCCTCACCCCCAGCGCCCCAGGTATCCTTTCCTTGGTAACCTCATGCTGGGCAAGAACAAAGGGACTGAAGTGGCAAGATCTACTCCACAGTCTGTGCCTACTCCTTCTCCTTCTACCCTGACAGGAAGAAATCATGGGGCCTGAGATTTCTGTAAACATGAGGCTCTTGCTCAATGCTCTGGGGAACATAAACCCCAAGCCCTGGCAGAGGGGAAATCTCCTCCCACTTTCTAAAACTAGACAGTCGGGCCTAATATGAACCATGGAGTTCAGCAGCACCAGAGCGATCCTGAGTGGTCACAGTGTGTCCACATCAAATCGAAACACACAGGCAATTTGGGTACATTTCCCCTGCCAGTTTAGGATGGAAATGAGAGTTGGAAGAAAGGTCTCAGGAGCCCCAACCTTTTACCCTCCAGGTCACTGGTCACCTCCTTAGGACCTCCAGGACAAACTGCTCCTCTCTGTGGTGTGGGATTTGCTTGCGGAGACAACACGTTTGTTTAGCCTTACACATGAATGCAGAGCATATGGAGAAGTAAACCTCACTGACCACTGCTTCCCCAAGTGACTTCTCTCCCACGCCCCTCATGGAAAGCCCTACAAAGGAAAAATCAATCTTCTCAGCTTTAAACCTGCCTTCTGTCCTCGTCAGATGTTGCCAAGCACGAAGTGTTACGGGGGCTCCTATCACAAAGCAAACAGAGCTGGAGCAGCCGGAAGGAGAGCTGCTCTCTAAAAGCTTTTAAACACTGTTATATTTTTAAAACCACTTACTGAAGAGGTGAGTTATTTTCTACTCCTCCTTCCCCAGAAGCACAGACATTAAGGTTACCTAGAAACTTGTCCAGGAAGCATGTGGCAAATAACAACCATGCAATAGAAACATCCGGATTTGTCATCTAATAGGAGATGGTATCAGCAAGGTCATATTTGGATAGAGGTGGAAGATGAAACTTCATTAGCTTGCATGCCCCAGCTACTGGGGGGCCATTCCCATGTGCTCTGGAGGAGGGAGACTTTGCTTTTATCTTGGCTGGGAGGGCCTTTGATTGGTACAGGTTGGAAATGAGTAAGATCTGAGATTGACGCTTCTTGTACTGAAGACTGCCTGTGGGAATAAAAAGCAGAGGGAGAATAAAAAGACATGAGATGGGGTCGCCTCTACCCTGGAAGAACATCTAATCTGTAGGATGGACGAGATGGGATGTACACAGAGAATGACCTGAGAACAAAATTGTTTTTTTAAGTTTCAGAAGCAAAATAATATTCCGTGAAGGACCAGAAGGGGGACAGGAAGACTTCTTAGTGAAGGTGGTTTTAAATCAGGTCTTGAGAGACAGTGAGAACAGCAGAGAATATGGGAGAGAAGGGATGGGGTGGCTGGCATGGTTCTGTTAGCGAGTCACATGTGCTGAGGACATGGATGTGGTGCTGTTTACTTTGATATTTCATTTCCATTATTGTAGGAGAAGGAAAGGGAGATGACGCCTCTTTATTTTTATAACTTTAGCTCCAGACTTTCTAAAAAAAAGTCTTCATTTCATGAAGGCAGTTTTGCTGTTTCCAAAGAGCTTATTCCTAATGCGTATTTCCAACCAACACCCTCTCTGTGTCAGATGAGGTGATAACATTTGTAATTGCAGAGAAGCAGAAAAGTGTGACTCACCTGTTTCACCACGAAGACTTTGCCGCAGACGTGGGGTTTAGGGAGATTCAGCTGGTATGAAAAAAGCAGCAGGAGCAATGGGCCACTGGGAAAAATGGTCTAGGGATCTTTGCTGCACCCAGTTTCCTCTTGCTTTATCCCAGAATATACCCTTTTTCCAATTCATCATAAAGAAGGGGGACTAGTGAAACTCAGGAATTCTGGAAGTTAAGCTATCTGCAAACTTATTCTGAGGAATCAGTGCAAACACACAGGGCCAGCTATGGGACAATGCCTGGGCTTTCTACACTGACTTCTTTCCATTCGATGGTCATCAGTTTTATCAGGGGCATCAGGGCTTCTGTGTAAGTCACTAAAACATGGCCGAAGGTACTTGAGCAACCACAAAAAAATTTGACGCTAAAAATATAGGCAGGAAATCTCCACATGCAAACAATTCTCAGGAAGAGGAGAGGGGTGCGTCATAAAAGTCCGGCTGACATTCTACACTCCTCTCAAATTACATGCAGCCAGTGCCGTCGGCCTGAAAATATTGAGCAATATTCCAGCCGTCCTCTTGTCACATGTACTTCATGAATGCTGGGCTCATCAGGCAGAAGCACCCAGGCATCAAAACACTCGCCTGAGAATTGAGGAACGTGGCCACCGTCTTCTTGGCGAGACCTCGACTGTAGGAAGCACCTGACCTCAGCTCCTCTGAAAATGGAATGAAGCATTTTACAGATCTGTACCTGGTCTTCCCCAGTCACTTCAAAAAGGATAAGAGGCAGGAGTTTAAAGTATGAGTTGGAAGTTGAAAGATTTAGTGGCCCTTCTGACATCCCATGGTCTCAGGAAATTCAGTTAAGCTCTCTGCGAGTTTCCATTTCCCCATCGCTGAAATGATGTGAATTCATGCTACCTATTCGGCGGATATTAAAATGCAATAGACCTAGGCATTGTTCTATGTATGGGAGAGTGTATGTGTATTGATAACTATTGTTTTCTTTTCCAGACTTACTGTTCTCACTACCCTGATGTATCCAGATCAGTTAAAACCTATTACTTAGCAAAGTTTCAGTTTGAATTTGTGTCCTCTCACACACACATAAAACACATACACACACACACTCAAAAAGGATCAGAATTCTTTTTTCTTTTCTTTTTTTTTTTTTTGAGACTGAGTCTCGCCCAGGCTGGAGTGCAGTGGTACAATCTCGGCTCACTGCAATTTTTGCCTCCCAGGTTCAAGCGATTCTCCTGTTTCAGCCTCCTGAGTAGCTGGGATTACAAGCACCTGCCACCATGCCCGGCTAATTTTTGTATTTTTAGTAGAGATGGGGTTTCGCCATGTTGGCCAGGCTGGTCTCAAACTCCTGACCTCAGATGATTCACCCGCCTGGGCCTCCCAAAGGGCTGGGATTACAGGCATGAGCCACCGCGCCCGGCCAGAATTCTTTTTTTTCCTTTCAACTACAATATGTTTTTCTGAGTGAGGAAGAAAGAGAATTTACATCACAAGGCAAAAAATACTCATAATATTGCATGCATCCATGGGAGAATATATTACAATACGAGCACCATTTTCCCTGGGTGCCAGGGGTGGGGCAGTTTAGCTGGAAAAGCTAAATTCTGCTCCACTTGGATTGAAAACGTTCAGATGTTTTGTTTATGTGTTTGCTTTCTTGCTTATTCACCTACGACATCTAATCCTTTAGTCTGAATAGTATCCAGTGAATACACTCCTGTCCCTCTCCTCAGTCCTCACCCAAATGCAGTAAAGCAAGAGATCAGCAGGGCAGCCAGAGAGCCCACACCAGTGAGGCCAGGAAAGAAAACAGAGCTCAAGAGGGTCCACATGAAGGTTTCCTTCCTTATCTAGTCCCCAGAGGCTTTTTTTTCTAAGTAAAACTCCCAAAGAACTAAAAACAAAGGAAACACAAAAAATTCAACGTGGTATAGAAATTTCGGTAGAAGAACTTTTATTGAACAGTAAGATTCAAGATTTCACCAGGTGAGAGGGGGAATTGAAAATTAGTAGAAAAATTCCAAGGGGACCAGTTAGCCACAACAAAGAATGGGGTTCAGGGAACTTCTTAGGGATGTATCTTCCCCTCAATACAGGTAGAGGAGCAGCATCAGAAGCAGGGCGTTGGAGAGAGGCATAGAAGAGAATCACCTTCTCCTGGCCCACGCAAGCTACCTGGTGTACCTTCAAGTTCAGGCCAGCTGCTGTTCCTGCCCGCTCTTGGAGATGAAAAGGTTTCCCATGCCCCCACCTCCTCCCGAGTTAATTCTCTCCAGGTGCTTCTCTTGATGTAAACCCAGGGTGCTATTAGCAGGCTCCTTGTTCTCTTGC
Organism: Homo sapiens; assembly: GCF_000001405.40. Classification (NCBI taxonomy): domain Eukaryota; kingdom Metazoa; phylum Chordata; class Mammalia; order Primates; family Hominidae; genus Homo; species Homo sapiens. The sequence goes on along the minus strand of NC_000005.10, from coordinate 95,859,739 downwards.
TCAAATCCTTTCCAACCTTTCCAACCTGTGGAGCTCTGCTGTTTCTAATTTCTAACCCCCATCTTGTTTCTTTCCCCCAATATTGAATTCTGCCATAATCTTCAGATCAACTCTAGTTGTCTCCATTTTTTTTCTGAATGCTAAAACCTTCCAGCCGTCTTCTCTTCCACTCCCTGACCACTCACGAGTCACCTGCATTTCTTACCCCAGTCGTCATCCTTGTTTCCATGAACGATCCTCTCCAGGGCTTCCTGCCAGAAAAGTATTTTGCAAGTTTCATTTGAATTTCTACACAGTATAATTCTGAACATGTAAATAATATATAAAGTCAACCTATGTTTGGAGCTAAGAGTGACAACAATCTCTCACACTACAGATCCGTCCCAAATTGGTAATGCCCTAAAAATGCTAATAAAAATAAGGTGCTTGTGAAATACTCAAATCCCTTCAGTTAGTACAAAAACAACTGGTGACCTAAAAATTCAAGGAATGGCCCAGAGTAAAGGGAAATGTAATGTTGACTCTGGTTTACAGAAAGTGAATCTGAGTCATGGCAGATCCTGAAATTTCACATGAACTCATTCTGCCTGTAAATGCCCCAGCATCAATAGTGAGCAAACGTGCATTCTGGCCAGCCAGGCAGAAGCACTTTGTTTTCCATTGTGCGGTGACGCCAGATCCCCATTGCTTCTGACAAAGGCCCTCGTCAAGCCTGTGTGTCATCGTTTGCGTTTGCCACAGCTGCAGCGGGGTGCGCGCAGACCCACTTCCCGACTGCTCATCAACCGACCTCCCTGGGGCCGAGAGGCAAGCCGGGTCCGCGCGGGGTGCAGCGCCACCTGCTGGAATTCATGCGATGGAGCAGCAGCCTGAAGTGGCTGCGGAGTCCAGAAGTCCTGTCCTTGAGGTTTGCTTTCAGACAACGGCCAGTCCTGACTGCAAGAACAAAAACACTAGCAGAAATATGCACCCGTTACGCAAACCAGCCCTTAAGGCTGCACATGATCCTTTCCCCACTACAGAATGTGGTGTGGCGTGTATATGTGCACCAGTGAGTATGTGGGGGGAGAGGGGGTACACCCATTTGTGGTGGGGGGGGTATAATGTGGTGTGTTCATGTGCGGTGTCTGTGCATGACCTCTCAAAGGTAGGAAAAGTGGCATCGTCGTCATACTCCTTGTTGGATTGGTAAGGAATTGTTCAGTTGACAGAGATTTTGATATAACTTGTTCCATTTATTTCCTCGCTACGCCGTTCAAGTAGATAAAACGTTCTCGACCAAATGAATTGCCAGTGCTCTGGCTCTCTAGAAGAATTACTCATGACCTAACCACGCTGGAGGCTGACAGCTAACTAATGATCTTTCCCTCTTTTCAAAAGACTTTGCCCATATGGGAACAAAGACTGTCATGATCCCCCAGCCAGGCAGGGCTGGCCCTGGGCTTGGAGGAGGCGATGAAGTAAGACACAGGCAGCTATGGGAAGAAGTCAACCACTTCCACGAGGCCAATTGTGGGTGTCTCAGGAAACAGACAAGTTGCGAGTCTATGTTTTTGCCAGATCCTCTGCCCCTTTAGAGACGTGCTCGCATGTCACATGCGTGAGGCAACTTTCCGTGCCTAGGAGGTTACTGACTTAAACCCAGGGACACTTGTTGAAGTGGGAGGCCTGACAGACAAAGGCAAAGGTGTTTGATGAATGGCTCTGCTGGCTGGTGATGTGGAAGTGTTTGCTGACAGTTCGAGAAACACCAGGGAGCCAACAGATTAAGTGTTCTGTATTTTCCTGGCTACTAAATAATAACTACAGTTTCCTGAGGGTTTACTCATGCCAGGCAGAAGGCTAAGTGCTTTACCTTTGTTTTTTTGTTCATGAAATCCTCAAAACTGCTCTATAAGCCATGCACTATGATCAGCCCTGCTTTCCCGATGAGGAAACTGAGGCCCAGAGGGGTAAGTTCCCTGCCTAAGGTTACACAGCTCAGGAGTAAGGGGAGGACTCAGGTCTCTGCGGGCCAAAGGCCAGGCTCCTGATGCTGACCCTCCTGCTTCCCTGCCATTAGTGCCCTGCGAGGCCCGGACCTGCCCTCTATTTTCCCGCTCATTTTAGGGCCACAGTGACTCACCAGCCATGTGCCCATACCACTCATTTTCACAGAGCCCTGGAGTATGAGAGCAGGGCTTGAGGAAAGAGCTTTCGTTCACTTTGTTTTGAGCCAGGACAACAGACTGGGAAGTGGTTGGAACACACAGTTCTGGGTCAGAGGTCAGAGAACAGACAGGACTCCAAAGGCTAAAACAAACAAGATTTCTCACAGCAGCTCTGGCCGCGTTGAGACCCACGGGCTGGGGCTGGCCAGTCTGTCCCCACGTGGGATAGACTGTGTCCAGAAGGGTGGCCTGGCCTGCTCCTGGCTAGAGCAGATGAGGAAACCACTGTCCTGGATTCAGCTCCCAGTTCTGCCACATTCCAGCTGAGGGCCTGTGGGACAGTCGTGAAGAGCCACATATGGCAATGTCATCTCTCAGGAACCCAAGACGCCAAGGCCCCTCACTGTAATGTGGCAATAACGCCAGCTAGCATGCAGAACTGTTGTGGGGTAATGAATGGAAGCTAATGTATGAGAAGGAGCTGTTACACTCCAGGACTCTAGATACCAAATTTTATGGTTATCAGTTTCACAGCAAAAAAAAAAAAAAAAAAAAAAGAAAGTACTCTTATTCTCAAATTATTCTTATTAGTTCTGGTGTGCACTTACATGAGAAATGGCAAAGGGATATTCTGCTTGCAGTCTTTTGCCCTCTGGCAAAAACTTTCCAGACAGGGTGTCATCGTGTGCAGCTTCCGTGATGCAGTTTGATCCTGATAGGTAACAAGAGTGACACGTTTTATCAGAATCTTTTTACATGGCTCAAGGTCACTTCCACCGACACCAGTGCTATTAATATTTCCCCCATTAAGCCAACCCGTCCTAAGAGCCAAAGAGAATACCATAGTTCCAGGTTTCGGTTTGAAGGTGCTGATGGATGAGAGTAGAAGGGAGTGAATGAGGAAGCCCAGACCTTCCTGCAGGAGCAGGGAAGCAAGACCCAGGCCAGCACTGCCCACCCCCCAATAGCCTTCCCAAGGGTGAGGGGCAGCCATGCGGAAACTGGCACTCACTAGGCCAAGACAGCACAGGCCTCCAACCTTCAGACAAAAGCCTTTTGTCTGGGAGGTGCTGGGGGACACCACACAATGCTGTTTCTTTCTAAATTATTTTTTTCCCCTGAATGCTATCTAGATCCTGGAAATCTATTTCCATGAAATGATTTTAAAATATCCTATATGATAATTGAACGCTTGTCATCAACATGAATGTCCAACATTAGGGGCATGGTTAAGTATAGAATGTTGTATCCCATGATGTTTATAAGAGTTTATAAACATGTGGAGGAAGGGTACAATAGCATAAAGGAAGGCTTGTGTTAGGCTCACATATGAAAAATAAAGAAACAAGAAAAAAAGCTGCAGGCAGGAGTGTACAATGGTAGGAGCTGACGGTACAAAAGATAAATGCTGAAACTATTCTGTAGGATACTGAAATGATGGATACTGACCTGCATTCGTCAAAACCCACAGAACTGTACAACACAGAGAATAAACCTTAAAGTAAATGATAGACTTTATTTAATAATAATGTATGAATATTGGTTCACTAATTGTAACAAATATATGGCACTAATACAAGTTCTTTGTTACACGATGTTAATAATAGGGAAGGGAATATGTTCAGGGAAGGAGGGCAGAGGGAAACAGCTGTCCTAGCTGCTCAATTTTACTATAAACTTTAAACTGTTCTAAAAAATGAAGTGTATTAATTTTCTTAAAACTAAAAATAAATAAAGAAATAACCAGAAGGCAATAAATCAAAATATGAATAGCACTGGTTTTGGATAGTGAGACTATGACTAGCTGCTTTTTCGTTTTTTACTTTTCTGATTTTCTCCATTCTAATTTTATCAATCAGGTAAAACTAATGAAAAGTTTTAAAATCTTGTCTGGGTGACTATTCTCTGAGGCAGGAACTGTGTTGGCTCACAGTGCTCTGTGGTCTAGTTCCCTAAACACAGCAGGAATTTAGTAAGTTTTGCTAATAGCGCATAAGCACTTTTAAATACATCTTCAACTCTGTCTGCCTTGCAGCCTACAAGCTTGTCGCCTCACGGCCCGAGAGAGGACAGCAAATTAAAGTAATAATTGTGAGAGGAACAGATCAGAGCATCTAACGAGTGGTTGGTTGGGTCACTGTAAATTGAAAATCTCTCCTTAAGTGGCTAGAGGCCTGCGTGGGCATGTCGAGAAGCATCTATTAAGTGGCATCAATGGGTAGAGTGGTGGGTGCTGATATAAGACCAAACCCAAGATATCATGTCATCAAACAAGAAGCATGGGCAAGGCTTTGGCATGTAGAAATTGCTGCAATGGGCTGGGTGCGGTGGCTCACGCCTGTAATCCCAGCACTTTGGGAGGCTGGGGCGGGCGGATCATGAGGTCAGGAGATCAAGACCATCCTGGCCAACATGGTGAAACCCCGTTTCTACTAAAAATACAAAAAATTAGCCAGGCATGGTGGCGGGCGCCTGTAGTCCCCAGCTACTCGGGAGGCTGAGGCAGGAGAATGGCGTGAACCCGGAAGGTGGAGCTTGCAGTGAGCCGAGATCAAGCCACTGCACTCCAGCCTGGCTGACAGAGCAAGACTCCGTCTCAAAAAAAGAATAAAAAGAAATTAATGCAGTGAGATTGGTTTGAGAATTGGGAAGAATTATACCAAAACAATTCTTAGCCGAGTGCCTGATACTTGGTGAACAGTCAACAAACAGTAACTGATACTTCAGAGCATTATAGGGATTTGTTAAATCCTAGTTTTAGGATTATTTAGGAATAAAGCTCAGAGACAAAGCAATCCTTCATATTAAAATTGTTTTACAATTTACAGTGCTTCTTGACATTGATCTCATTAACTGCCTTCATTTGTAACCTTGTATGACTGCAAGCTCCTTGAAGACAGGGCCATGTCTTGGTTTCGTATCTCCCCCTCTTAACACTGTCTGGCACATAGTTGGTTTTTACAGTGGATTAAAGGCTCTTACCACAAATTCACTGATGCCTCCCATCCAGAGGTGATGTCTATGTATTTTATTTCCCCTTTTGAATCTGGGCTAACCTGTGACTGCTTTGACCAACTGAGTATGGTGGAAGTGACATTATGACACCTCTAAGCCTAGCCTTAAGGCAAACCTTGTCTCTTGGAGCCCTGAGCTTTCATGTAAGAAGCCCAGCTACCCTGCTGATGAGTCCATGTGGAAAGGCCTAAGACCACATGGAGAGGGAGTGGAGCCCAGCGGAGTCCAGCTTTCCAGCCATCCCGGTCAAGGGATCAGCTAAGTCGGCAAAGCCATTTTGACAAGTCCAGATCAGATCAGCTGCTACTTGAATATCTCAAAGGACTCCAGCTGACTCTACAGGGAGCAGAATCACCCAGCTGAGTCCTGTGTGAGTTCCTTACCAACAAAAGTCATGAGATACCTTGAAATGATTGTTTCAGCCACGAAGCTGGGGTCATTTATTATGAAACAATAGATAGCTAGAACAGCTCTTACTAAATGTTTGCTATGGATGGATAAACAGATGGATGGGTGGATGGATGGATGGATGACTTAGAAGGGCCATTATTTTTCCTAGAGGAATAATGCTCAGAGATAAAGCAACTTGCCAAAGTTCCTGTAGTAAGCATTTGTCATTATTTCCTCCTCCCTTAGCATCTGAACCTCCTTCTCCTTTTGGAGAATTTTCTGTCTTATTAGGTAGAGCTACTTCAAATTACAGAAACAAAAATGCCATATATGCCTTTCCACAGCCTTCTTTAAAGCTAAGGTACAGGCCCGTGGTGCAAGATCTTCCAGTGAGACACTCCTGCCTCAGACTGTGAATCAGAAACTGGGGCAGGCTCCATTCCAGTGGGTGGGGGCAGCAGTTGGAGTCTCAGCAACACAGACCCTCCAGAAGCCCTGCAGCCACAGCCCCAGCAGCAGGGTCCTGTGTCCAGGCTTCCTGGTACGAGCCCCCCAGCCAGGTCCCATGTCTAGTGATATGAGCCAGAGTTGCTGTGCCTGGCAGCAGCAGGATCTTCACTGCATTGTGAATCCAGGCCGTTCTTCCTATCTCCAAGCTTGTCATCTCTCCCTCTTAGGGGTGGGGTGAGCTATGCTATCCTATCTATTTTTAATAAGTTCTTTCTCTGCTGAAAGCTAGGAACCCTGGCTGACAGTACCAGATGTGGATTTCTCATTCTAGGATGCCATGTTCTCCATGAATAATTTTCAAATGGTGTCCTGAAGGTCCTAGGGTTCTCCTGGGCATAGTCTGTAGTCCCAGCTACTAGGGAGGTGTGAGAATCGCTTGAACCTGGGAGGCAGGGGTTGCAGTGAGCCGAGATCACACCACTGCACTCCAGCCTAAATGACAGAGCAAGATTCCGTCTCAAAAAAAAAAAAAAAATTCCTTGGTCTGTTTGCTCTAATATTTTTGCTTTGGGTGGTATGTATTGTTGTCTTGTACAGTTTTGATCTTTCTTTTAATGTAATTTTCCTCCTTAAGTTTTGACCTTCTTCTGTCCTGTGAGCTCCTGTTGAAAGGGGGTATTGGCTACTCTGGCACTCTGCATCAGGAAAGGAGTATAAGGGAGGGAAGGTGGTGAGCCCCAAGCATTAGAACCACCATTCCTATTCCCATTTGCTAACATTCCCATTTGCAACTCCAGCCAAGATTTACCTTTAGCTTTAGGAAGAAGAGCAATAGGGGTAAGTGGTTTGTTGTCAGTTTTTAGAATCCATGCTTCCTTCTTGCTTCCATAGCTTCTTCAGCATTGCCTTGCAGGAAGGAGCTACAGCCACGCCAGTTGGACAACTAGCAGGAAGTGGAGATTCTGAATAAATGATTAATCAATTTCACCTAGCGGGACAATTAGAAGAGGAATAACTTACATGTGAAGCAGAGCTGGGTGCCAGCTTGTCATGGCCTGGACTGTTGGCTCTCTCTGTGATCCCACTGTGTCTGGAATTGGTGGGTTCTTGGTCTCACTGACTTCAAGAATGAAGCCGCGGGCCCTCACGGTGAGTATTACAGTTCTTAAAGGCAGTGTGTCCAGAGTTTGTTCCTTCTGATGTTCAGATGTGTTCGGAGTTTCTTCCTTCTGGTGGGTTCGTGGTCTTGCTGGCTCAGGAGTGAAGCTGCGGGACCTTCGCGGTGAGTGTTACAGCTCTTAAGGTGGCGCATCTGGAGTTGTTCGTTCCTCCCGGTGGGTTCGTAGTCTGGCTGGCTTCAGGAGTGAAGCTGCAGACCTTCGCAGTGAGTGTTACAGCTCATAAAGGCAGTGTGGACGCAAAGAGTGAGCAGTAGCAAGATTTATTGCAAAGAGCAAAAGAACAAAGCTTCCACAGTGCAGAAGGGGACTGGAGTGGGTTGCCAGTGATGGTTGGGGCAGCCCGCTTTTATTCTCTTATCTGGCCCCACCCACATCCTGCTGATTGGTAGAGCCCAGTGGTCTGTTTTGACAGGGCGCTGATTGGTGCATTTACAATCCCTGAGCTAGACACAAAGGTTCTCCACGTCCCCACCAGATTAGCTAGATACAGAGTGTCCACACAAAGGTTCTCCAAGTCCCCACCAGAGTAGCTAGATACAGAGTGTGGATTGGTGCATTCACAAACCCTCAGCTAGACATAGGTTGCTGATTGGTGTGTTTACAAACCTTGAGCTAGATACAGAGTGCTGATTGGTGTATGTCCCTGAACTAGACATAAAGGTTCTCCAAGGCCCCACTAGAGTAGCTAGATACAGACTGTTGATTGGTGCATTCACAAACCCTGAGCTAGGCACAGGGTGCTGATTGGTGTGTTTACAAACCTTGAGCTAGATAGAGAGTGCACATTCGTGCATTTACAATCCCTGAGCTAGACATAAAGGTTCTCCAAGGCCCCACCAGAGTAGCTAGATACAGAGTGTAGATTGGTGTATTTACAGTCCCTGAGCTAGACATAAAGGTTCTCCACGTCCCCACCAGACTCAGGAGCCCAGCTGGCTTCACCCAGTGGATCCCGCACCTGGGCTGCAGGTGGAACTGCCCGCCAGTCCCACACCGTGCACCCGCACTCCTCAGCCCTTGGGTGGTCGATGGGACTGGGCGCCCTGGAGCAGGGGGCGGCGCTCGTCGGGGAGGCTCAGCCGCACAGGAGCCCATGGAGTGGGTGGGAGTCTCAGGCATAGCGGGCTGCAGGTCCCGAGCCCTTCCCGGCGGGAAGGCAGCTAAGGCCTGGCGAGAAATCGAGCGCAGCGCCGGTGGGCCGGCACTGCTAGGGGACCCAGTACACCCTCCGCAGCCGCTGGCCCGGGTGCTAAGCCCCTCATTGCCCGGGGCCGGCAGGGCCACTCGGCTGCTCGGAGTGCAGGGCCCGCCAAGCCCACGCCCACCCGGAACTCCAGCTGGCCCGCAAGCGCCGCCTGCAAAGCCCCGGTTCCCGCTCGCGCCTCTCCCTCCACACCTCCCTGCAAGCTGAGGGAGCCGGCTTCGGCCTTGGCCAGCCCAGAAAGGGGCTCCCACAGTGCAGCGGTGGGCTGAAGGGCTCCTCAAGTGCCGCCAAAGTGGGAGCCCAGGCAGAGGAGGTGCTGAGAGCGAGCGAGGGCTGTGAGGACTGCCAGCACGCTGTCACCTCTTACCACTATCATCTTCGTCATGCAGTCCCTGATAGTCCTACCCTTGACCTCCAGAAGTTGATGCTCCAAGCATGAGGCAGGGGCGCCTAGAGTTCCTGACCTCAGTGACCTCATTGATTCCTGTGTTTAAAGTTTCTGAGGAACCTGAAGGCTGACTCAAAACTGCCTGAGATCTTTCTTCATCGTTCAGTTCAAACACAAGCCACAATTGCCTAGGCAAGTAGAAAGGGAAGGTAGATGTCAGCAAAAGCCTGGCTTGCCTGCTGCCACTGTAATGAAGACTGGCCAGAGAAGCACAGACAGGACCGAAGAGCTTCACGTTGTACAGAACAGCAGGTCTGGGAAACAATATGGCCTTGCTCGGTGATCACTTACAGAGAAGTGTCCTCAATGTCTCCTTCCTCAGAGAAACAAAGCCATTTCCTTGGCAACAAAACCCCATACTTGTGTACTTTGCTAAAAATTTACAGTGCAAGGCCAAGGCTGATTGCATGTGTGCACTCATGCTGAGCTTTCGAAACAGGCTTTGCTGATGCCCATCTGCCAACAAACCACCTTTTAACCCTGTGTCCTTAAAAAGCTCAGAGTTATAATTTTCAAAAGTTCTTAAGTTCGGCTGGGCATGGTATCTCACGCCTGTAATCTCAGCATTTTGGGAGGCCAAGGTGGGTGGATCACCTGAGGTCAGGAGTTCAGGACCAGTCTGGCCAACATGGTGAAACCCCGTTTATACAAAAATACAAAAATCAGCTGGACGTGCTGGCGGGTGCCTGTAATCCTAGCTACTCAGAAGGTGGAGGCAGGAGAATTGCTTGAACCCGGGAGGTGGAGGTTATAGTGAGCCAAGATTGCGCCATTTCTCCAGTCTGGACGACAGAGCGAGACTCTGTCTCAAAAAAAAAAAAAAAAAGTTCATAAGCTGGAGAATGAATAGTCTTTCTTCAAACTAAAAAAAATAGTTTTTATTTTATTCAAAATTAAAAACTATTTATTAACTTCAAAGACTTTGACTCTGAAGTTAGACCTGAATATGCCAGCCTTTTTCCCACTGGAGAAGCTCAAAATCTTCCCAACCATTCCCCTAGATGCCAGATGAAGTATTCCTGAACACATATCATTACTTAAAACTTGGGTTAGAAACATTCTGTTATTGAGATTTATATATTGTCATTTATGTATGCTCTTATAGAGATATAATTAAAATATTACAGAGACACATTGTTCTAATACACACAAGATACTGGTGAGTTACTAGATCATAAGGGCTATCACATATTATGCTTACCATGTGCTAAGCACTGTTTTAAGTGAGTTTTACACATACTAATTTACTTGGGCCTATCAACAAATATAACAAAGACCAGAGCTAATAAACAAAAAAAAGGATGGGCAGATGGATGGATGGATGAATGGATGGATGGGTAGGTAAGTAGCGGGTAATAATAGACTAGATCGATAGATAAAAATTAAAAGTTGAGGTCAGGAGCACTGGCTCATGCCTGTAATCCCAGCACTTTGGGAGGCCGAGGCCGGTGGATCACTTGAGGTGAGGAGTTCAAGACCAGCCTGGCCAACATGGTGAAACCCCATCTCCACTAGAAATGCAGAAATTAGCTGGGCATGGTGGCACATGCCTGTAGTCCCAGCTACCCAGGAGGCTGAGGCAAGAGAATCGCTTGAACCCGGGAGGCAGAGGTTGCAGTGAGCCAAAATGAAGCTACTGCACTCTAGCCTGAATGACAGAGCGAGACTCCAACTCAAAATAAAATAAAAGCTGAGTCTATTGACTTGCTAGCCACAGGAATACAGGATAGGGAGAAATTTACTGAATTAAGTAGTAGCTCACTGAGAGGGAAAATTCAGAGTTGTTAAAGGGCTTGCCAGGGTAGGTTCATGTGGTTATTGCTAATTAAGTGTTGAAATCCAGTACTTTGCAAAGAACGGAATGAATCTAAGGTTGTAAATAGAGTTGGTTAAAAGAAGCCCCATTGCTCGCTGTTGGGAAAAAGTCTTCAGTTAGGACCAGTAAGAGCCTAGCGTCCCACAGTCATTCCAAGTTCACAGTTCTTTATTCAGCTTCTGCTGGTTTGGAGCCAACCTTGAGACACACAATAGTCAGTTATGATCCATCCTTGAGAAATGCTCCTGTAAGGAGAAAATGTTCTTTTACATTCCTCACAACAACTTTTTAAGGGGGTGCAATTATTATCATCCTCATTTTCCAGAGCTGGAGACTAAGGCACTGAAATACTATGTGATTTGCCCAAGGTCAAGCTAGAATTCAATCCTGGGAAGTCAGAGCTCACACTCTTAACCCCTCTTCTCAGCCAGCAAGCACAGATTCAAAACCAATTGTTGATATGTATGTTGCCTATTTAAAATAATTCATTATTAAAATTATACTTATAAAGTTGTTTTTAATTTCAACTAAATTAAATGAACAAAGAGTACTGTGTATGATTAGTATTATGGCTACACACCAGTTTTAACTTGAGATCCGACTTTAACCTTTGCAAACTGCTGTGAAATGTTGGATATTTTATGAAAAAAATAGGAATATTTGCCTCTTTTTTTTTTACATCTGTTGTCGTAGGAACCAAGTCTGTCTCTACAATCATACACATTATACCAAAGCCATCCTGAAGGAGTGAGTCTTTTAACAGTCCCCCTGTTAAAGACTTTCTCATTCTCATTACCCCCACTCACCCTAGTCTTACCTTCTACATCACTTTAAAACTTTTCTAATTAGAAATTAGAGGAATATTTTCTAATCGAAAATGAACTGCACTTCTTTGCCCATCTGTCTCTCTCCTTGTATCTGCAAACCATTTAAAGGTCATCACCTTGAGCTCTTTCAAGGGTAAATCATCTCCCAGAGTTTGAGAGGCACAGAGATGTACTGCAAAATCCATGACCATCATCTTCTTACCTTTTGGAAAGATTTAGTTTTGAGAAATAGAGGATATCGGATCAATTTGATAATTAAGAAAGTCGACTGAGCTGTGTAATGCAGTTTTTTGTTCCAAACAAGTAGGACCCAAAGTAATGTAATATGATTTTCATGTCACCAGTATAAACTAATACAAAGGCAATTTTAAAAGAGAAGTCCCCAAATTGTCTTGATCAGTGGTGGTTATATTGGCATAAAAGTACTGCCTCTGAAGATGACTCCTTTAGTGGTGATAATTTTTTGGATATGTTTTATTAGGTTTGTGGAAAAGCTCAGTATGACCACAGCATAAGCTATACCTCATATGTACCTCAAATTCGAACATATAGACAACTGCATGGCTTCCCTTGTTGACCATTCTAAGGGTTTGAAGGTAATACAGGTGGCAGAATAAGATTTTATTAGAAGAAAGAGTTCCATGGCTAAGAAAATGTTCAGCACAGGGCTAGTGTATCCTTGAGACTTTTCACAACACAAAGATTCTAAGATTCAATATTCCAAAAGATCTGTGGCAAACTGAATAATTTTCAGAAGTGAGTTTCCACTGAATTAGCCACATTCTTTCTCCTAATTCCTCTTGTAAATGATAGCAATCATTTACAGGCTAATATTAAGCATCTTATCACTGAGAACTCTATAATAAGTCTTCATTATGATGACACTGATATATTTGGAATAATTAGTAAAAGACTAAAAATTATGTCCAGTATAGTTTTTGCTTTAAAGCATATTTTAAATGGGATTGTTTTTGGAGAAAGGGAATCTCTGAAAGCGATTTAACTTAATATTTACCCATTTACACTTCACTGGGAAGATCATTGGTTCATCACATGCACTGTTCTTCACTGCCACTAGGTGGTGCTCCAGCCATAATGTCTCTTCCTGAGCCTCCAGAATCTGTTCACTACATACTGCCCTAGGGTAGGTCCCACTGAACATGGCTGGTCTTGCAAAAATCACATCCAGTGTGAGGTATGTTTCTAAGCTCCCTAAAGTTTACACATAACCCCAGACTGAGGATGACAGTAAAAAAGCCCGCTATTCAGGAAAGCAGAACTCGACCCACAGTGGAAAGAAAACAACTAAGGCAGGTGGGGTAGTAGAGACAAGCCCAGGCTTTTCCCCCTGATGGTGTCTTTAGTAGTAACCTAACCATCTACTGCAGTGGCTGGCCCAGTGACGCTGAAAGGTGAGGCTATGCAAACATCTTCCATGGCCTTCCAACTACCACAGCTTGGCCAACACGAGCACCAGGAAAAAAAGATCTGGGAGACGGACCAATTATGGGGACCTTAGGTCTGTGCCGCCCATCTGTGCCTGGTACCCATGCTTCATATCTATCCAGATTTTATTTGCTTTGGGCTAGCAGCTCACCATATGCCAGCACAGGCGACTTGCCCCAGGAGGGCAGACCTTTCCCTGGACTGTGAACAAAATTTATCTCCCCATTTCCTGAGTTCTTTCAGTTACATTCTGTACCTTACTAGTCAGTTTTGAGTCAGTTTCCAAAAGAAATGCATAGAGGTACAAGCTTCAAAGAAAGACAATCTCCATACGTGGTTCAGTGTACAAACACGGGCAGTGTGTGTGCATAGTCACAAACGCTAAGTGGCACAGAAAAAGAAGCAATCTGCATGAGTCAGGGTATTAAAAAGGCTTCACAGAAGATGTGGCACTTAAAAACAGGACTGCAATGTTGGGAGATGGAAAAGATCTTGGAGAACATCTGGTCTGAGGCTCTGAAATAGTTCATCTGAGTCTTTTTTTTGAGATGGAGTCTCTCTCTGTTGCCCAGGCTGGAGTGAAGTGGTGCAATCTCGGCTCACTGCAACCTCTACCTCCCGAGTTCAAGAGATTCTCCTGCCTCAGCCTCCTGAGTAGCTGGGACTACAGGTGCCCGCCACCACACCTGGCTAATTTTTGTATTTTTAGTAGAGACTAGGTTTTGCCAAGTTGGCCAGGCTGGTCTCGAACTCCTGACCTCAGGTCAGCCGCCCTCCATGGCCTCCCAAAGTGCCGGGATTACAGGCATGAACCACCAGGCCTGGCTGTTCATCTGAGTCTTAAAGGCTCATGAAGGTACCTCAAGAGCCATCCTTGAGGCCAACCAAGGAGGCTTCCAGGTCCCACCCACATTTTAATAGCAACAGTTTTATCTGTTTATTTATGGGGGTTCAGTGTAAGTTCTGTTTGAACAAAGAATTCTACTCCTTTTTTTAAAGTTGGAACCATTGATCTAGTCCAAGCTGCTCATTTTACAGATAAGATCACTGAAGCACATTGAGAACTTTCCCAATCTCACACATGGCTTGAATTGAAAAGGTAGGGAACATTTTGGATATGTAGAAGAAGGGTGATATGGTTTGGCTTTCTGTCCCCATCCAAATCTCATCTTGAATTATAATCCCTAAGTGTTGAGGGAGGAACCAGTGGGAGGTGATTGGATCATGGGCGTGGTTTCCCCCATGCTGTTCTTGTGATAGTGAGAGAGTTCTTATGAGATCTGATGGTTTAAAAATGTAGCACGTCCCCTTCCCTTGCTGTCTCTCTCTCTCCTCCCACCATGTAAGACACGCCTTGCTTCCCCCTTTGCCTTTCACCATGATTGTAAGTTTCCTGCAGCCTCTCCAGCCATGCTCAACTGTGAATCAATTAAACCTCTTTTTTTTTAATAAATTACCCAGTCTCAGGTATTCTTTATAGCAGTGTGAAAATGGACTAATACAAAGGGAGACCAGGGTGTCTGCAGGGAACAAGAAAGAACCACATCTCCATCTGACCCACAGGTTAGAAAAGCATGTTTGTCAAACTATATGAACCTAAAGGCAGTTTATATTTGCTGACCAAGTTCTATTCAGAGATATATATCCTCTTGCCAGAGACACAGACATGCAAACCATATTTACTACTTACTAAACCCCAAACCCATACTCATCAAACTTGAAAGGTAATAGAATACTAATTTCCATTGTCCAGATGACTCTTCTCCATCTTTTAACAAAGTTATTTCCTACTGTTTCTCAGAATGGCTCCCATGCAGTTAAGAAAAAGACAGTACTCCATGCTGGAGATGATAATCCAGGCTCGGCAGTGGATACACTGGCAGATGTTTAGCAAATTTTATATAAATCGATCTTATTGTAAAATGTTGATGCTTCCTCACCAGCTCCTGTTTCCTCCTTATTTTACAAAATGTGGAATTAATTTCAGACTAGAGCTTAAATCAAGCACCTGAGTTGGGAAGACCAAAAGTCAACACAGAGGCTAACCCTTGAAAAGAGCTGTGAAATCTATAATTCAGGTCACAAGGAGGACTCTGTTGCTTTTCCACTCTGCTGGTGAAGAGATAACAGAAGGTACCCTCTCAGTTTGCCATTGTATTTAGGTGAAAGATGCCCACCTCAAACCCACTCAAGCACAAAGAGAATTTACGAGCCCACGCAACGGGAAAATGCAGGGCTAGCTCACGCTCAGCTGGAGAAGGAGGAGCTCAAATGGTGTCAGGAGGAATCCATCTCTCCCTCTCGTTTCTGCTTTATCCTGTTGTCTTCATCCTCACTCAGGCTTTCTTGGAGAGAAGGCAAAACCCCAACAATTGCAGATATACAAACTCCAAGTCTCTGGCCCAGGGGCTCCAGGTATTGAGTTGCATCTCATTGGCTCAAATTGCCTCCCATACCGCTTCTTGGATATATTGCCTTGATCGCATGCCTAACCCTGGCACTAGGATTTGAGAATTTACCAGAGGTTACCTCCTGGTAGAACTGAGTCTTAAAAGAAGAACCTAAGCCAAGGGCTAAAAGTAGTGGAGGGGTGGCTCCCCAAGAAGAAAAGATAGATTCTGTTTCAGGAAGAAGGGATATTGAGCAGGTCAAACCACAGCGGTGTACTCCCTTCACCTGCTCAGCCCTGTGCCTCTCTGTGCTAATGGATAAGGCACACCTGATACCTTTGGAAGGCTCTAGAGTAGCTAAATCATAGATACTATTAGCCAAGCTAGCCTGCCCATTCAGTTGTGTTCATTGAACAAACATTTATTTATAGTAAGCTGCAAACTTAAACTGAGCCCATGCAGGGAGGTTTATTGGGTAAATCAACTTCCCAGAACTACTGCGTCAGGAATTGCCACAGGCTTCTTGTTGGCCAAGCCCCTGGGGCCACACTTCGAGTCTTGGCTGACTGTCAGCTACTATTTTTTTTTTTTTTTTTTTTTTTTTTTTTTGCCTTTCTGCAAGCCCCAGGTTCCAGGTTTTTTTTTTTTCTTTTTGCCTCTGGTTCCTAGGTGTTTTCTCTTCTCCTAACTTTGGCTAGGCACAGGACACATCTTTCCAGCTACTTCTGACACTCTCGAAAACAAGAAACAAGATTTTTTTCTTCATCAGGACTGGAGATTTACTGGGGACAGGGAAATCTTCGAGGATTCAGAAGACCTCCTGCTTCCTTAGGGTCATTATTCCTGATCATCACCCTTTTCCAGTTCTCAACCTTCATGGCATTTCTGCCTCCTCTTCTGTGGCTGAAGTGGGACTCACAAGCTCTCTCACTCCTGTGCACTGGCAGTGCCAGCTACCACTTACTAAGCACCTACTCTAGGCCAGGCCCTGTGGAAAACACATTATCAGTATATCATCTCAAATGCTCCTCCCCTCTCCTCTGCGGTGAGTCCTGTGACCCTCACCAAAGAGGAAACTGGAGGCCGGAGAGATTAAGTCACTTGCTTGCATTCTGTGGCCAGTGAGTGGCAGCCGAGGAACTGGGACTGGGTCTGCCTGGGACTGAAACCACGCTCTTCACCACCACACTGTAGTGCCTTCTGTGGGCCTCTACTTCAGGAAGCCCTTTTCCAACACGTGAGCCTGAAATCACAGAATGGTGAGAACAAACGAGGGTGCCTGGAACACTGCTCAGGAGCCCCCAAAGACTCAGGAAAGCCATTGGCACGCCTCATGACCACAAGGCTGAGTGATTTCAATCTCTATGTCTGACAACGCACCACCCCGCAACGGCATGCACGGAAGATTTATAATGGGTTTTCTTCATGTATCACCCCTGCTGGTATCAAACCAGAACCACCTCTATTTTATGTAGTGTTTCTCAACCATATTTTACTCATGTGCCCTTCTGATATGTGCAAAATTCTTACTATCACCATCCCAAATGCTGGGGTGGTCCCCAGGGATTTCTTTCCTCCCACTGTGATTTTTGCATTACTCCATCTCACCTACCAGTTCCTGTAGTTTGAATTACAAAATTCCCCTCCTTTATTTTCCACATATAAAATGTTTATGTAATATTAAATATCAGAATACATCTAGACATATTTAAAATATTAACGCCCCAGATCGCGTTGGCCCCAACCAATCAGAACTGCTGCTGGTCCTTGCCGCATGCTGCTGAACTGCAGCCTAGCATTAGCCCTGTGTATACTTCCAGGAGTCCTACAATACTTCCTGGGGGCACCTCTCCCACCACCACAACTGGGAATCCTGAGCTTGGATCTAGTGTTTCTGCTAATGTTGCTATAGAATTCAACTAGGTGAGGAAGAAACAAAAATGGAGATTGCATCATTCTCTTTCTCCTTTCTTTTATGGAAACCTTCCTCCCAACCAATTGCTTCATCATGTTGGGGTTGGCCTTGCTCTCAGTACAAGGGATGGAATAATCCAAGAGGAGTAACAACAGCCAGGTGTGTCACTGTGTGTCAGAATAATGCCCCATGTGCATTAAGTTGCTATCAAGGGGCATCACCCTTTCCTCATCTCAAACTCCGACTATGAGGATATCCAGCTGGTGTCTATATGGCAGCCACCCACTTGTTCCTCCTGAGGGAATTGCCTTTGGGTTTTCAGATCATGAGGAAATGAGGCAACTAGTTTCATAATTCCTGAATGTTGACCCAGTCCTGGAAGAAGTCAACGCCCAACTGGAACATTACTGCTCTTGCCTGTGTCAGAAGAGGAACAGGATGACATGGCAGGAATCTTAAAGTGCCTCCAACACCGCCTGTGAATCAGTACTCACAGGTCAGAGCCTTCAGGGTGATGTTGAAAGGCAGGAATACTGCTCAGCCCAGCAAAATAGCAGGGCCTAAAAAAGACGGGGCCAGAGTTGGGGGGAAGGAAAAAACAAATTAAGTGCATGTCGGACACCATCTGCTGATTCCCAAAACTAATAGGAAGGTCTTTGCAAGGATTGCCATTCTCTACTGGAAGATTCAGAGGAGAAAAAAAAAACTGTGCAACAAATGCTATATTTTTGTTCACAAACATAAGGTATATTCAATTCAATCCAATTTTATGGAGAGCCTCTGGGTCAGACTGCAGGGCATGTAAAGGTGCATTCTCTTCATCTCTCCACTAATGCACATAAGGGGAGCTTAGTCCAGAAATTTCTGGGATTCAGAGGAGGGAAAAAAACTGAAATATCAACCCTTGAGATATTTTTAGTATCACCTCAAATCTCCAATGCCTTGGCTGGGGAAACCCCAAAGTTCCCCAATATTAGCAATTCCCCAGGATTTCAACTCTCTGGGTCCTCTGACCTCAAGCTCCTGAGTACCCCCCAGGTACCTCTGAGCTCTCCAAAAGAAAACACTCACACAGAAAGGAAAGTCATGTTGGAAACTCCAATAACAGGAGACTGGTTGAATGTATGAGGGTACATTCACAAAATGGAATTGTGAGTAGCATTCTAAAAATGAGTTAGGGGTACATCTGCTCAAGGTCAATTGTGAAGTGACCAGGGCTGGGGTGGAACAGCAGCAGAAATGATACTGTTTAAGAAAAAATACATGAAGGGCATCCCCAGAAGGAGAAACGAGAAACTGGTAACAGTGGTTGCTTTTGGGGAGAGGAACTGAAGCTAGGGGTCAGGAATGAGAGGAAGTACACATTTCTATAGGAGTTTTTGTAACAATAAATCACAGCTACTTTAAAAATTTTCCAAGGAGGAATTGGGGTAAGAGAAGCCATCACATGTAAACTTTGGGGAACCAGGTTCAACTTCACTGAAGATGCCCTAGAGGAGGAACAGAAGAGCTTTAGATCCATATCCCACAGAAAATGCTAGTTATTGCTGGTTCCAAAGTTCCTTTTAGAACACCTGCTACCAGGATCTCCTCCCCTGGCTTTCCTGCATCACCCCTTTGGCTCTGTTGGGTTTTTTCATGCCATACACCAGACTTTAATTCTACCCTCTTCTTCAAAGCCACTGGATGGAAACGCCCTCCCTCAATGATCTGCTTAAACCAACAAATCTATATAGGTCGTGTGAATCACTCCACTACCCTAGAGCATAAGAATTGCCACATTTTGGCCGGGCGCGGTAGCTCATGCCTGTAATCCCAGCACTTTGGGAGGCTGAGGTGGGCGGATCATGAGGTCAAGGGATGGAGACCACCCTGGGCAACGTGGTGAAACCCCGTCTCTACCCAAAATACAAAAATTAGCTGGGCGTGGTGGCGGGTGCCTGTAGTCCCAGCTACTCAGGAGGCTGAGGCAAGACAATCACTTGAACTCAGGAGGCGGAGATTGCAGTGAGCCCAGATCACACCAGCCTGGCGACAGAGTGAGACTCTGTCTCAAAAAAAAAAAAAAAAAAAAAAAACACAATTGCCACATTTCTTAATTTCTCTAAAGAAAATTAAATCTGGCCCAGACCCCAATCACCTTGTGCTTATCCCTCCCTTGGGAAGATCAAAGAAGTCTAGAGTCCTAGAGTTTCCACCATTCAGGAACATTGGGCAGGGGCCTTTAGTGCAGCATGGTAGCCAGTGAGCTGCTTATTGTCCAGGTCCCCAGGACGATGCCCCCATCTGCAGGCTCCTCTGGTGGCCCCCACCATCTCCAGGTCAGACGAGGTCTTTGGCCCTTTCACTTGGCTCCCAGTTCCTGAGACTCCGGGTCTCATCCCTAGGTGTCCATGGCCTCAGTTCACTCAGTTCACCTGAGATGTACATCTCAACTTGGGTGCTGGATGGTGAGTGGCATGCAAGTCCCCACCACTCAAGACTGGCCACTCTCTCTCTACCATCAGAGCCAGGCCACTCCCTTCTTCTCAAAGCCTAGTTGCTGTCTCCTACCTTTCTCCAGCTTACATTTCAAAACAATATCTCCATTCTAAAAAGCAAAAGAGCTTAGTGTTTGTCCATTCCACACCCAGGACAAGGGAATCAAGAACTCAGAACACAAAGGCCTGTCTGTTCATGCTGTAAGGGGGAAGAGGAAGTTACCTGCACAGCAAAGCAACTCCACTCAGGATTAACCCACCACTCTGCTACACCCTCCTCTCAGTAAATCTTTGTGCTTCACGTGGCAGAAAATACTTTCCATAAATAAATGGGGATACACCCAAAGGGAGGTGAGGGCCGTTGTTAGCCAGGGTCCTTGAGACTCAGTTTCCTGGATTGAACGTCACGGGGAGTAAATTTCATAGTGAAACAGCACCTCACAGAGTAGGTAAACTTCCCAAGACTTGGCAGAGAAGCCTGTGTGCCAAGTGAATTTTCTGCCTTCCGGCAAAGACGGAAAAGACACCTTTGAGTGGGTTTTCCACTGAGGAAGAAAGGTCTCTAGAAGGAGCATAAGTCCAAGAGGACCCCTGGGGTTCCAATTTAGTTGTTCCGGGTTGGGGCCCAGACAGGTATTTTTAAAGCTTCCCAGGAGACTCTCCTGTGCAGACAGGTTGAAAGCTGGTTATGTAAAGGCCTAAGGCGTTGTGTTTCCTCTGTTCCAGGGGTTGGTTTCCCAACCCCAGTCTCCATTTCCCCATCGCCCAGCCTCACATCAACACCTGCTGTGTGTTCTCCAAGCTTCTATGCTCCCCACAGTCTCCAGGCCAACACGTTTGGATGCCAAAATCCCCTGATCATGTTTAGGGCCCCTTCTCCTCCTGGGTCCCCCTTGTAGTATCCCAGATGCTGAAGTGGAGGCCTCGGAACCCTCACTTAGGCATTAGAGGGAGCATGGCTGGCACTAGCCTAAACAGCTGAGACCCTTTCGCCTTGGTAGCCAGACAGGATGCAGAGGGCAGCCACAGAGTACCACAGCAGGCTTTGGGGACGCTGGAGAGTGGTGGCCCAGGGTTACCACAGCTGTGCCTTATGTCCCCATCTCCTCAGCTGGCAGGGCCTGGACTCCCTCTTCCATGCTGTCCTCCCCTCATTGTGGAGATGGACCTATTCTCACTTCTCTTCTGTTCCTTCACCAGCTTCACTTGCTGTGAGGTCAAAGATTTCATTCCTGCTACTGAGACACGTGACTGATTACTCTTGGAGCAGTGAAGTCCTGGGAAGGACATGGGGATCAGTCAGGCTGGTTTAGATTAGCCTATGTGACTCCAGGTTGCCCTGTTGGTTCTATTGTAATGGACAGGCCTGGTCCCATGGTTGGCTCCAAACCTCCCCAGTCAGCATCCTCTGTGTCAGTGTTTCCAACCCTCATTGTAAAAAGCTACCTTTCCCAGATTTTTGATAGGGGATTCAGAAGACTGACTTGTTGCCACCGCCCCGCCCCACACCACCCCTTCCTCAGCTTGCCCTGTGCCTGAGTGTTTTCAGGAATCCAGTTAGAGCCAGGCAAGCAGGGCTCTTACCTTGAGCGGAAGGACCTCGGAGGCTGCGTCGTGAAGACTTTCCATCAGGGGCTGTTGTTTTGCCCTTTGAGACCAGCCGCTCTGGCAGCATCTTAGTGGGAGCCAAGAGTCAGATGTTCCTTCCCTGTGGGATGATGGTGTCATTGTCAGAAAGCGCCCTCCATTTCTGATCATCTGCTGCTTCTGTCACAAGCAGACTGGCTCTCCCCAGTGCCAACGCCTATTCCTGCATGTCAGCTATGGCACAGGGCCTGGGGACTGTCTCACGCTCCAGCACTTAGGCATCACCAGCCACACAAAGACAGCCTGTTTTCTTCCTTCCTCCCCACTGCCATGTCACTGCTGAAGGGCAAAGACCTTTTGAGATGGACTTTCAAGCTCAGTCTCTTCACAGTTCTCTGGTATTCCTCAAATCTGCAGAAGTAAGATACTTGGGTCTGCCATGACTACCAAATTCTCTGTCCCCTCTTTCCCAGTGTAGTCATGATTAGTAGACCTGGATGTGTCATTTCATGTTTGTGTTAACTCCTGTCTGGTTCTCCAGTTTCCTATGAAGGCCTCAAAGAGTTGATTACACACTTTTCATTTTTGGTGCTTACTGTTTCTCTTTATTTTCTTACATAAGTCATATAGGAATATATCCTGATTGTATAAGTTTCAAATAATATAGAAGTTTACAGAGCAAAGCTGAAAACCTGCACCATCCCGCTCCAGTTCACTCCTCCTCAAGGTCGCACTGCCCACGGCTGGCTGTGCCTCCTCCTACTACCCTGTCTAGGCACCCACGCTGCACAGCACATGCGTCTATGCATGTGTCATTTTTTTATTTTTCATTTTTTAGATGTAGATATTACTTTGCAAAGTAACAAATTTAGTATGTTTTTCACTTGGAAATGTTTCATGTTAGGATATACAGCTCTATCTCATTCATATATAACCATATACACACACATTATATAATGTTTTCATACCCTAGATTTTTATATTCATAAAAAAGAGATTATCCTATACACATGGTTCTGCACTTTGTTTTTTGTTTTTTTGTGAGTGGTTTTGTGTTTTTTTGTTTTTTTTGTTGTTTTTTGGGGTTTTTTTTTGAGATGGAGTCTCACTGTATCGCCCAGGCTGGAGTGCAGTGCTGTGATCTCAGTTCACTGTAACCTACACCTCCTGGATTCAAGCGATTCTCTTGCCTCAGCCTCCCAAGTAGCTGGGATTACAGGCACATGCCACCATACCCAGCTAAGTTTTGTGTTTTTAGTAGAGATGGGGTTTCACCATGTTGGCCAGGCTGATCTTGAACTCATGACCTCAAATGATCCACCCACCTCGGTCCCCCAAAGTGCTGGGATTACAGGCGTGAGCCACTGTGCCCAGCCTACTTTGATTTTAGACACAGAATACTCAGCACATACATGCCTTCCTTGGTTTTACCAACAATTGTGTCCTCTTTCATAATTTGGATGTGCCAAAAATATATTAGCCAGAAGCCCACTAGAGAACATTTTGTCACAAGTACACTTGTCATCTATCTGTGTGAGAGTCCTGTAATTGAACCTCATATTCTGTGGAGGAGTAATGAAATATGAGAGCCAAAAGTTATTACACAGGGAAAAAGTGCTGGATGGAAAGGAATGGCAGAGAGGATTCTTGGGTGAGGAAGGGCTAAGTGGCTGTTGTTTCCTCTTGATTCATTTCCAAAACTTTCTGGTGATGTGGGTCAATAGTTATTATTAGCTCAGAGTTTTACCTTTCAGTTTCAGCTTTAGTTTTACCTGAAGCCCTTTTGACAAGTCATTCCAAGTGACAGTTCCATCTACACATGAGCCCAGAGATTGTTTCTGGGTGGGACAAACTGTCCTTTCGAATTAGAGATGCTCTATCCCTAAGTGATTCATTTTCTTTGAGCATCTCAGCTCATGTTTAATTTCTTTGCAACTAGGTGTGTGAATACAGCTCTTACTTCTGTATAAGGCAGGTGTATACCCATACACCTGATATTAATAAACTATTGATTTCATGTTTTGTTGCATTGCTAAATTGACAGCCTAGGCAATTTGTTTTCCTCCAGAAGTACTGCCTCCCTAATTAAATAGACCTCATTTAATTGTGGGGTCATGTTAACCAAAATTATATTTCCCAAAACCTTGAAAGTATTTTTTAAAAAACTTTTATTTTTTGTTTCAGCATTCGACATTGCTACACAAATTGAGTCATGCAGCCCAGCAGCCACCGAGTGCCTACTGAATTTCCTGTCACCCAGAGCCTGAATTTCCTGTCACTGGGCATAACGTTTTAAAAATATTATTGTTTTTTTAAACCCTGGCACTGAACCAGTTTTTATTCTTCATCTTGACTTAATGCCTCTCCATTCTCTTCTCTCATCTTCTTCTCCTGGCTCCACTCACCTCCTCTGTAGCCAGGAGCCCACAGTTGGCTATTTCGGCCGTGTGTCCAGAGTCTGGAATCCCTCGTCCCCTTGGGCTTGCACTGTGGCCAGTTAGCTTGCCCATCCTCAGCCTCGGCACCCTCCTTGTTTGTCCCCTCCCTTCCCGGTGCACCCTCCAAAGGTGCACCCCTCTTCTCTGAGGTCAGCCCCACTGCCTGGCCCTCTGTCCCCTCCTCCAGTGCTGTTGGTGACTTTGCTCCATCAAGCATCGTCTTTCTCTCTCTCTGTCTCTCTCTCTCATATTCTCCCCCCTCAACTAGTTGCTTCCTCTCTGCAAAAGGAAAAAAATAAAACAAACATAGTCGAGTTTCCCTTAAATGAAAGATGCTTTTTCTCAATCCTGCTATTCCCTCAAGCTGTTATTGTATCTCATACCCTTCTGCCACAGTTCTTTAAAGTCTAGTCCAAACGGGTTTCTCCAACTCCCTACATCCCAGTACCTACTTTAAATAAATAAAAAGATTAAACATACAAGTGAAAGTGCATATGGTAAATATTCAATGAAGAAAGATGGAAAATAAAAAGCCCCTTCCCCATCTGACTGATGGGGAAATTATTAATTAATTAATTGAGTCATCAGTCCCGTTTTAGAAAAAATAATATATATTGATTTTATATATTGTATTGTGTATATGTATAACATATATATATTGTACACATACCCACACCTGCAAATATATATGTAATCTTCTAAATTTTACACATATGGAATCATACGGTGGTCTGACCTTTTTAAAAAAATTTGATAACATATCCTAGCACAAGAATCCAAAAATAGGGGTTGCCCCTGGTGAGAGGATCTGAACTGTTGAGGGATGAGGTAAAAGTGCAACTTCCTGGAGGCGGCGGCGAGGCAGTCACTGGGCCGGGGTCCTGGGCCGCCGCGCTGCGCTCTCTGGCGGCTCCTCACAGCTCTGCTCCAGGCTCCCGTGCAGGCAGCAGTGGGACATGGCGAACTTGGGCTGCAGGGACGTCCCGGGCCCGGATGAGGACATTTTTCTGTACTTCGCCTACGGTAGCAACCGGCTGACGAGAGTATCCACCTCCGAAACCCCTCGGCGGCGGGCTTCTGTGTGGCCCGCATGCAGATCCAGACCGTCCTGGCCAACATGGTGAAACCCCGTCTCTACTAAAAATACAAAACAGCTGGGCGTCGTGGCGGGCGCCTGTAGTCCCAGCCACCCAGGAGGCTGAGGCAGGAGAATTGCTTGAACCCGGAAGGCGGAGCTTGCAGTGAGCCGAGATTGCGCCACTGCACTCCAGCCTGGCGACAGAGCGAGACTCCGTCTCAAAAAAGAAAAAAAAAAAAAAGGAACATATGTTGTAATAGAAGTTAAAGTTTCAACTCAAGAAGGAAGAGAAATAACCTGTCAAAGATATCTGATGACAAATTACGAAAGTGCTCCTCCGTCTTCACAGTATAAAAAGATTATTTGCATGGGTGCAAAAATAAAAATGGTTTGCCGCTGGAGTATCAAGAGAAGTTAAAAGCAATAGAACCAAATGACTATACAGGAAAGGTCTCAGAAGAAATTGAAGACATCATCAAAAAGGGAGAAACACAAACTCTTTAGAACATAACAGAATATATCTAAGGATATTCTATGTGCTAATATAAAATATTTTTTAACACTTGAGAACAGGGATCTGGAGGATCTCCATGTTTGATCCATTTTCAACAGTGCTCTGAAGGAATATCGCACTTGGGTGACTCCTTGTTTTCAGACTATAAAAATAGACCGGGTTAGGAGTTAGACAGTTTAAAAGGGGGATATGGGGCCCTGAAGTGTGTGACAAATGAATGTGAGTACCCCTTATGCAAACACTGAAAGCTCTTCTCTTGACTTGATCTTAAGTGTCTCCTTGCTTTGGTAAAGGATAGATTTGTAGCTCGCTTGATGATGGTGCTGGTGAATTGCTCTGCTCTGAGATTTTAAAAAATCAGATTAATGAGAGTAATCTGCAGATAATTGATGATAACATTTTGAAAACTGGAAAGATGGTATACTGTTTTTAGAGGAATAAACATATTTGTGGTTTTTAAAAAAAAGAGCAACTTCCTTTGCACTGTATACCCTTTTGTATTATTAGGATTTTATACTATGTTTATATGTTGCCTATTTAATAAATCGCTTAAAGTTATATATCTTGAATATCTTTCCATATTAGCATGTACAGACAGAACTCATGATTTTATGGATACGGGCAGACTATCTCTGGAAGGATACAGAAGAAATGAGGAAAAGCCTCTTGAGGAATGACTTGCAGACTGACCCCAGGTCAGGTATACTTCCGGCATACCTTTTGTGCTGGTTTTTGTTTGCTTGTTATCACATACAAATATTACACAAAATAGGCTTCAAAAGAACTAGTTATATAGATGTACCATGATTTGTAGAATTAGTTCCTTATTCATGGATATTTAGGCCATTCTCAAGTTTTAAAGTTACTATTATTATTATCATTATTACAAACAGTGTCACAGGGAGAATCCTGTACATATATCTGTAATACCGTGGTGATGTTTCTTCTCTCCCTGTCCCACACCCCTTTCCTCTGTTATTATCTGTACACAGATCTCGTGATGGCGCTTTCCGACTACTCATCCTTGAATGAAGTGATTTTTCCTTTGCACGCAGTCTGGTGGGGAAGGCCAGGGTCAGGTTCCACTTTCTGGAATGTTCTCATGACCCAGGAAGTGGTTAAGAGACTCCTTTAGGCAGAGGACAGGCAGGTGGAGGGCTGTGTGCATCCCAGTGTCTCTTCTGTCTCCTGCCACCCGGATAGGCCAATTCTAGCATGCAACTTGTCTGTGAGTATCCTCATTTATCCTCACTTCCTCTGCCCCTCAGGACCAAACTGTGTGCAAAGTAGCGTCCATCACCCCGGCACCCATTCCTTCTGGGGCAAATAATAGATATGAGTTTTGCACCTCAGTGTGAACCTGTTACCTTAAAGAGATAAATTTGGTTGATTTTTTCTGAGATATAAGGGTCCTGTCTCCATTCTTCCATCCTCCCTGTTCCCTCTCACTGCTTTGGCATGCCTTCTGCCTATTTTGTGTAATATTTGCATGTGATAACAAGCAAACAAAAACTAGCACAAAAAATATGCAGGAAGTATACCTGGCCTGGGGTCAGTCTGCAAGTCATTCTTCAAGAGGCATTTCCTCATTTCTTCTCTATCCTTCCAGAGATAGTCTGCCCATATCACATATATGGAGCTGTGGGAAACTAACCTAAAATGTGGGGCAGTGGGGGGTGGGGTTTAACTGATCACAACTTACAACTGTGCTCTGTCCAATCTCCCATCCCTATGAGGGAGGCAGAAATGGAGGGGTCCCATAGCTTTCTTCTCACTTTTAGCTGTTAAAAATTCTGGTCTAATCGAGTGTAAAATTACAATCATATCTATTCAAACCACCCACCCCCATCATGACCTGGGGGCACCTGCAGTGGGCAGAGGGCATATCTGTCTTTTACTCCTGTCCCTTCACTTTTCCTCTTGGAGT
Organism: Homo sapiens; assembly: GCF_000001405.40. Lineage (NCBI taxonomy): Eukaryota > Metazoa > Chordata > Mammalia > Primates > Hominidae > Homo > Homo sapiens. The sequence goes on along the minus strand of NC_000005.10, from coordinate 95,832,483 downwards.
AGAGAGGGATGGGTCATGATCAGGTTCAATGACAGCTCCTGCCCCTCCTTTATCAAAGTTGGGGACTGGGAGAGGCAATGGAGAGGGAGGGTAACTGTTTCCTTACTGAACTTCCTATGTTATGGTTCTTTCTCTGTGAATGCTCATGGCCTCACTGGCCAACACTAACCATCTTAATAGCTGGCACCCTAAAACAGGCTCTTTGAGGCTGCCAGGTAAGTTCTTCAAAGAGGCTCTCTCACATACATGGCTTCCCCAATGTGGCAGATCAAGCTGCAGGTTGACCTCCTCCAGCCCCTTCAGCCTCTGCCTCTGTGTACACCCCACAGCCTCTTATGCTGGGCTCTCCTTGCCCAGTGATAGGAAACAAGACAACTCAAGGCTGTCACCTTCCATGTGCACTTGCCCATGGGAGACTCACATGTCCCTTTCAAGCCAGACTCTGCAATTTCTCCCAAGGCTCTTTGCCCCTGCTCAGCAGGCACAGGGCAGATCAATGCATCAACTATACCTAAGCAGCTGACCAACTGGTAAATGAGGCACCAGCCTCCTCTTCTTGCAAGTAAACTCCAATCTTTAATGATGTTTCTCTTGGGACCCATTTCATGTGGCTTGCAGGGGGGCGTGGTGGGAAAGGAAAAACTCCAACACTCCTTACTAGGCCAACTAGGGTGGGAAGGTGGGGAGTATGTGCTGATAGCTGTAAGGTCAGTTGTTTCATCTTTAAGAAAGCCCTAGAAAGGAATTCTGGCCTGTTGTTGGTGGCTTTCTATACAAGGTGCATTATTTATCCTTCATAATCCTCAGCTTTCCCCTTCCAACTCTACTCTAACAAACAAGAAAGTCCCACTCAATATACCATTTTTTTAAACATAAATGGTAGCTAGCATACTGATGCCACTGTGCTGCATCTTAATATCTTAGAGATTATTTCATATCAACTGACTTAATTCTGCCTCTTTAAAAAAAATTTTTAAGTATTTCATTATATTGATATATTTCTAAATTAGTGCCCCTTTAAGGAGTATTTAAGTTGAACACTTGTCAATGTTTTATTTTTTTATTTACAACAAAAAGATATCCAGTACATAGATTGTTTGGGGGTTGGATGTGTATAGACAAAAAGAATTATCCAGATAAAAGTTAGACTAGGAATAAGATAACAGGAATGTCTCATTTTAGTTGTGGGGCGAGTTTATGACAGGCCTAGTTAAGCTTTGCTGAGCCTCTATCAGCTGTGTGGAGTAAGCCTAGCTTAGGATGGAGCTGGTGCTCAGATAGACCAGCAGCTGGTAGAAACATCACGAATAGATTTCAAGCAGAAATGTGCTCAGGTGTGTTTTCAGAAAAGCCTTGCCATGTGAATTTAAATTCACTTCTGTTTGGGACCACTCTTTTTCTTTCTCACAAGCAAGGCTGTGATTCTATCTCATATGATGTCATGTACACAGGTGCTGCCTCTCCCTGATCCTGGATCTGAGATCCTGAACGACACTATGACATGTTCCCTCTTACTTGAAAGTTGTGTGTGCCTTGGGTGCAGGCACTCAGTTTCCCTGAGGAGTGGGCTCCTGCTCCATGAGGGACACTCAGCATTCTTTTCATAGATGTGAATTCCTGCCTGTTCCATGGAGGGGTTCAAGGGAAGGCTGGACAAGTGCCCAGTGGGAAAAATGCCATGGCATGGAGGCAAGCTCACGAGGGGGTTAGAATAGATGGTCTTCGGGACCCCTTTCAGGCTTGTGTTATCCTTCCTTTAAGACCTTGGAATTTGCTCTGTAGAGCAGCAGAGAGAGCATCTGCTTTGGACCCAACACCTGAGCTTGAATCCCACATCTGGCGCTTCCTTGCTGGGAAGCCCGGGACAAAGTCTCCTAACCTTCCTGGGTCTGTTTTCTTACCTGCAAATGGCAGGTACTGATACCTACTCTAATGGGATATTTATTTGTTAAATAAATATCATTTCGATAACCTCACTGAAAAACATTTAGGCCTGGAGTAGATAAAACCTTCTTCCCAACAGCACAAGCCCCACCTTTTATTTCAGTGTTTTCAGTTTTGTCTGTCTAAGCAAGATAAAGTTCCTATTGGTGGCTCACTGGTTCTAAGGAGTTTGTGCTAGGAGTTGGCAATGAACACTGTTGGTTGCCTACCCCACAACCATTTTTCTCTTCTTCCTTCCTAGGGAATTCCTGTTTGCTAAGGAATCTACTTCTCCCCATCAGAGCTCTCCCTTTAAACTAAAGAGTTTCTGCACAGCAAAAGAAACTACCATCAGAGTGAACAGGCAACCTACAAAATGGGAGAAAATTTTTGCAACCTACTCATCTGACAAAGGGCTAATATCCAGAATCTGCAATGAACTCAAACAAATTTACAAGAAAAAAACAACCCCATCAAAAAGTGGGCAAAGGACATGAACAGACACTTCTCAAAAGAAGACATTTATGCAGCCAACAGACACATGAAAAAATGCTCACCATCACTGGCCATCAGAGAAATGGAAATCAAAACCACAATGAGATACCATCTCACACCAGTTAGAATGGCAATCATTCAAAAGTCAGGAAACAACAGGTGCTGGAGAGGATGTGGAGAAATAGGAACACTTTTACACTGTTGGTGGGACTGTAAACTAGTTCAACCCTTGTGGAAATCAGTGTGGCGATTCCCCAGGGATCTAGAACTAGAAATACCATTTGACCCAGCCATCCCATTACTGGGTATATACCCAAAGGACTATAAATCATGCTGCTATAAAGACACATGCACACGTATGTTTATTGCAGCACTATTCACAATAGCAAAGACTTGGAACCAACCCAAATGTCCAACAAGGATAGACTGGATTAAGAAAATGTGGCACGTATACACCATGGAATACTATGCAGCCATAAAAAATGATGAGTTCATGTCCTTTGTAGGGACATGGATGAAATTGGAAATCATCATTCTCAGTAAACTATCGCAAGAACAAAAAACCAAACACCACATATTCTCACTCATAGGTGGGAATTGAACAGTGAGAACACATGGACACAGGAAGGGGAACATCACACTCTGGGGACTGTTGTGGGGTGGGGGGAGGGGGGAGGGATAGCTTTAGGAGATATACCTAATGCTAAATAACGAGTTAATGGGTGCAGCACACCAGCATGGCACATGTATACATATGTAACTAACCTGCACATTGTGCACACGTACCCTAAAACTTAAAGTATAATAAAAAAAAAAAAGAAGTCAAACCATTTCTAATCTAGCAATGGGCCTCATTTTCTCTAAAAGTGGTGGTCACTCCATTCCTTTTGCTAGTCTCTGGGTTAGGAATGAGCCTGTGATGCAATTTAACCAATAACACAAGGGGAGGTTTGGTGTGGGAAAACTTTAGATTAACGCTTTCCCATTGCCTCTGGAATGGTTGTTTGCAGACACGGGGCAACAAGAGAGACTTTCCAAATGTATGGCAGAGCCTGTAGGGAGGCAGCCTGTAGGGAGGCAGCCCGTACTCCTGACCTTGGCTGAACTTCAAGTCCCTCAAGTTAGGAAGATTTTCCTTATTCTTCTAGTCAGTTTGGGATCCAAAATATCAACTTTTCAAAGTTGCTGTGATGATTAGAGATCATGCATATAAAGCTCTTAGCACTGAGCCCAGCACACAGTAGGTACATAGTAAATGGTAGCTGTCAGTGTTACTGAGTTCAGTATCACACAGCCCTGCATAGAGGTAGAAGGCAAGGAAACATCTGTCCAGAGAGACTGCAGTTAGAGCCAGAGTCAGTGCCCCCCGCAGTCAAATCTGGAGAGGGCCAGAGAGAGCTTCCTAAAGAATTAGACTCTGAAAACAAGGCACGGCCCCAAACCAGAACCTTCATTGTCTGAGGTTGAAAAAGGCAGCTGGTACCAAGGCTCTCTCACCTGAGCCCCCACAGCAGCATGCCTAAGGGGCCACATGGGCAGCCATGCTTAGTGTAGCAGCCTTGAGGGCAGCTGGAGCAATGGCAGCCCACCACCCCCTGAGCCGCCCCTTCGTACCACTTCAAGCCTTGTGGAAGCCAGGACTGGTCCCAGGGTGAACACAGAGGGACCCTGAAAGTTTTGCCAGCTCCAAAGCATTCCTGTCACTCATTAGAGCCCTTCTGTGATCAAACTGCATTTAGGTACTCATTGTGTGACTTGGGAGATGTGACACCATCATTAATACATCAAACGTTTGACTACAAATCTATCCATATATAAAGTATGCCTGTTCCAGCTCCTTGGTGCCTGTGTGTGAACTCCTCCCTCTGCAGTGTGGTAAAGTTCCCCTATTCTCTGCCTGCTCTCCAGTTGTCTCTCCTCTCCCCACGCAAACCCCTAATGCTCTATCCATGTTCAATGTCGAGCACCGTTTATGTTGTTCTTCCTTTTCCTACTCCTTCTGCCTGCAATGCCCCTCCCTTCCTTGTACACTCAGAAGCTTCTTCTTATCCCTCAAGATTCAGCCTAGCTCTCCTTTGATGTGGGCCCTTTCCCCAGTCACCCTCCAGGTGGGAGTGACTACTCCCTTTGGTTAACCTAATGCCCATACACACTTCTGTTAACTAGAACACTTTCTAACACTTGTGTCCATTTTCCTTGTTTATATTGCCCACTAAACTATAAACTCCTAAGACCTGGGGCTGTATGATGGATGTTTGTGTTTGGCTGAGAGTAGTTGATTAATAAATGTTTGTTGGATGAATGGGTGGATGGATAAGAACCAGTGTGTATCTGTTGGGCTCTGGTAATGCAGAGATAAAAAGCCCTTTCCCTGCCCTCAAGGAACTCACTGTAGATGACAGAAAATTAATACAAAGGAACAATGACATGTGATGAGTCAGGGCGCAGTATGACATGTGAGCTCCATGGAGAGGCACCCATCCCATGGGGGAAAGAGGTGTGTGTTTTGGGGTACTTCCTAGAGGTGCTAACACACCATCCTGATCTGAGTCCCTTTGGGCCAGCAGGAGTCAGCCACACAGAAATAAGAGGAAGGGCACCCTGGGCACAGGGAGCAGCAGGTCCAAAGTGTGAGTGGCAGCAATGACGAAATGGCTCAGAGTCCACACAGTTGGAGCAAAGGAGAAATTGTTGCAGAACTTTCCCCTTAGTTCCGGTAAAACTGGGCTCTTGTCACACGACCAGGAAAGATTAGGCTTGCGGACACACAGAAGGGTGAGGAAAATGGAATTTATTGGATGAAAAGGAAAAAGGAAAAATAATTCTCAGCAAAGCAAGAGAGAGTCCTGATAGCAGGTTTCCCGGCTCACAGATTGAGTTCCAGGTCAGCACACAGGAACAGGAGAGGCCAGGCTCCTCCTCGCTGCAAACGGTGCAAACTTCCCAAAGTTCCATTCCGCCTTCCCAGTGCACAGGTGGGCATTATTCAGAAAGAATCAGTCAGGAAAAGGTGGGCCTCATCCAGGACCAGCAGTCCAATTTTTGTCTTTGTTTCTGGTATTTTTTGAGACAGAATTTTGCCCTTGTTGCCCAGGCTGGAGTGCAATGGCACGATCTTGGCTCACTGCAACCTTCGCCTCCTGGGTTCAAGTGATTCTCCTGCCTCAGCCTCCCAAGTAGCTGGGATTACAGGCGCCTGTCACCATGCCCAGCTAATTTTTTTTGTATTTTTAGTAGAGATAGGGTTTCACCATGTTGGCCAGGCTGGTCTTGAACTGCTGACCTCAGGTGATCCACCTGCCTTGGCCTCCCAAAGTACTAGGACAGCAGTCCAGTTTTTCAGCCTTCAGGTTGTTTTAGACTTGGAGGCAGGGTTTCACCAGGGACCCTTGGCTGCCTCCTGTCTCTAAAATGTTGGTGGGGAGGCTGGGATACGATGAACAAGGTAGGGAGGACCCATCACACAGGGCCACATCCCCACAGGGAAATCTGGATTTTGTCCTGGGGAAACATGGACTAGTTTTTTGTTTGTTTGTTTGTTTGTTTGTTTTTTGAGTTGGAGTCTTGCTCTGTCACCCAGGCTGGAGTGCAGTGGCACAATCTCCATTCACTGCAACCTCTGCCTCCCGGGTTCAAGAGAGTCTCCTGTTTCAGCCTCCCAAAGAGCTGGGACTACAGGCACACGCCACCACGCCCAGCTAATTTTTAAATTTTTAGTAGAGATGGGGTTTCACCATATTGGCCAGGCTGGTCTCAAACTCCTGACCTCATGATCTGCTCGCCTCAGCCTCCCAAAGTGCTGGGATTACAGGCATGAGCCACCACGCCCAGCCCATGGACTAGTTTTAAGAGGGAACAAGATAGGTTCTGTATTTTTAAAGATTGCCCCAGCAGCAGTGTGGAGTAGGCAGTGAGGCGAGGGTGGAGGTGCTACAAGAGGGAGTGAAGAACTAATGAGGGCTAGAGCAGCAGGAGCAGTCAGGTGTTCAGACCAGGGAGGCACTCAGGAGGCAAACTTGGTAGGGTTTGGCCACTATGCATAAGTGAAAGCAGAGGCCAGCACAGATGCCTGCCAGGTTTCCGCCCTGGCCGAAAAGGTACATGAAGGTGCATGCAGGCTCAATGAGCAGGTATGGAGGAAAGAGGGTGGCTTCAGGGGAGATTCAGTTTTGGCTGCCTAGAGGCTGAGAGGCCTAAGGAATCCCCAGGTGGGTCTTTTCAGTAGGCAATGAGATAGCCTTCCCTGAAGCTTAGGAGAGAGGTCCAGATAAGGAAAAACGTGATGCTCATCAGTAAAAAGCTGACAGCTGGAGTCATGTGTGGAGCTACGACCTCTCAAGGAGTGGGTGTGTACACAATGAGAAGATCAAGCCCCAAGATAGACCATATGTGTAGGCAAAATTCTTAACAAAGACACTGAGACAATATCCAATAGAAAGAGCAAAAAGATCATGCTGCAATGGGCAGTGGGAAGAGAACTTCCAGAGGCCTGCAGTGATCTACAAGGTCAAACCCTGCACAGTGGGTAAGGAAAAACCCTGAAGAATGTTCGTTTGTGGCCACATTTTTTGCAGCCCTCATCAGCCTGTGAGTACAAATGAAGTCACATTGGCCGGGCACGGTGGCTCACGCCTATAATCCCAGCACTTTGGGAGGCTGAGGTGGGCAGATCACGAGGTCAGGAGATCGAGACCATCCTGGCTAACACGGTGAAACCCCGTCTCTACTAAAAATACAAAAAATTAGCCGGGTATGGTGGCGGGTGCCTGTAGTCTCAGCTACTCAGGAGGCTGAGGCAGGAGAATGGTGTGAACCCGGGAGGCGGAGCTTGCAGTGAGCAGAGATCGTGCCACTGCACTCCAGCCTGGGCAACAGAGTGAGACTCCGTCTCAAAAAAAAAAAAAAAAAAAAAAAGAGTAACCACACATATTTCACTAGCTTGTTGCCAACCATCTGTAAAGCAGGACTGATTCTCCCCTAAAAAATGCCCTCACTTCCCACCCTCCAAGGTGTATTTTCTGAGAGTGCCTGGGAGTGTCTCACACAAGCCAAAGGAGAGTCCACACGTGTTAGTCCACACGCACACCCTCTTTCCATCCACAGCACTTGACGCATCTGCAGTCCCCATGGCGGCTTTCCATTGAGATGCCCTAAGGTCCATGCTGGGTTTCAGCTCCTGCTGTACAATGCAGCAGAGGCTTCTATGCTTGTCATTTTTCACTGAGTTGAAGCCACAGCATTTTCTGAGAAATGGAGAGGACACCCGTTCTTTGCCATCTCTTTGTCTCCCATTTTCCACATGGTGCCTCACAAAAAAATTGCCTTTAGCTTGTGCCTTATGGCCATCTGTCCTAAGGCTTCAGACACCAGGCAGTCCCCGGGACTGAGTGAGAGGCAGACAATAGTCTCCCTGGATCCCAGCCTCTTGGGGCAGGTGACTAATTTGCAAAAGGTCAGGATACCTAGCTAAATGGTCATTTGGTGACATAGAGGCCATGATTAGTGTCTGCCAACAATTCAGCAGAATGGTTGACAAGGTCAGATAACAACAAAATGAGAGAATGGAGGTGAGAAAGGTACAGACAGTAAATTTCATGAAAGGGCAGAGGCAGGAAAGCAGGAAATGGGGAGTGGTGGTGGTGGTGGTGGCTTTTAACTTGAACACAGTGGCAGGCTGAGGCACCAGGAAGGGAGGAGCCAACAACAGACCGGAGAAGAGAAAGGCTCTGAGTGAGTAGCAGGTGCAAGTCGTGTGGATAAACCTCAGGCTGAGGGAACTTAAGGCAACAGCCTGAGGGCCCTGAAACAGACCCTGGACCTCCTGGCAGGGGCCTCTGGAAGGAGCCTGGCCACAGGGTTCTGAGGTAAAAGAATGAAAAAAGAGAGGAGGCTCAGACTCTGTGGCAGAGCCTACTTTGGAGGGAAGTGGGAAGTGGGAAGTCCGGAGCCCTGACCACGTGAGGGGCCTCCCAGCCCTGCCACATCCTTTTCTCTGGACAGAGCTGTCACTTAGCTCCCCCTCCGTGACTCAGAATCTGGCTTTCTCATTTTGCCATTTTAATTCTAGTAACGATGAGAGTCACAGTAAAAAGCTGCTTCTGGGAGTGGATTTTCTTCCCTTCCCTTGATCGCAGTATGCTTGGGATTCCTCTTACGTGGCAGTCGTGGTGTCCAGCTCTGGCCTTGGCCCCGCCTCTTTGAAGATACTCTGGTTTCACCATAAAACTTCCTGGGGAAAGGATGATTCACGTTTAAAGGACATAGTTTTTCCTTGATTTGTTTATTTAAGCTACCATACACTAGAGGGGGCCGGAACTAGACCCAGGAGTAGAGGACTTTGCTTTGCGGGATAAGGAGAATGGGCACCCTGGGGAAGAGCGAAAGATTTCCTACTGTTACAACCCGTGTCTTATAACACTTGAAGTGAATGTGGTGTCTGAGTTACAACACTACTTCCCCTCACAAACAGTTAAAAGCAGAGGGTCACAAACATAGGCTCAACCAGAAAAAAAGATTCTCATTTCATCTGTAGTTTTGTATCAAGGATTGTGTTGGAATTTGCCTCCATATTAAACTGCTGTTCAAGGGTTACCAACTCAAATGGTTATGGGGTGAAGCCGGTGTCTCAGGCATGGGCCTGTCGTTGGGACCTGTGGCAAACCAAAGCCACTACTTGCCCTATACAAAGGGGGCAACAGCTGTCAGCCCCAGCAGCTTCCACTAAAAGGTGCAAGCTCTGTATTGCCCGACCTGACTTTTCAGAGAGAAGTTTTAAGTCCGAATTGTTTTGTGAGACCTCCAGATTTTTAAATACTGAGAATGAATTCCATTAAAAAGATCACAACAACAAACACCCACCATACAGTCCAAGCAAAATGCTGTGAGAGCAACCTTCATGAGGAGTGCAAAGTCACAGTTTCAATTTCACTTCTTCTAAAGAGATTTCCAAGTGTTCTGTTTCTTAAGTGATTCTGTTTGCATTTTAAAATACAACTGTATCTCCTAGAGGGAAAACAAGAATTTGCTCTAAGAAGTCACTGCCTCCTCAGCCCCTTTGTGAGTAAGCACTTTATGCTTCCCCAGAGGTGACTAAACTCTGATCATTGCCAATGGGCAGGCACTCCCCAAATGTCCAAGGACAACAAAGATACCCAGAGTGTCTTTCATAGCTACCAATGATTAAATAGCAAGTATTGCATTCCTGGGCATTGCTAACTAGTGAAGTATACCAGATGGAAATGTCTTCGAAGCTGTCCCTTTAAAACTCGAGCAAGCTACCAGGCAAACTCCGCCTCCAGGGAGGTTCCTTATTAAATAGGAGCCAACTGGCTGGGTCGGGGCTCAATACCCCAAGCAATACCTGCAACTGAGGATTCTTCCCGGGGAGACCGCAGCCCATCGGCATGGCTCAAGAGTTTGTGAACTGCAAAATCCAGCCTGGGAAGGTGGTTGTGTTCATCAAGCCCACCTGCCCGTACTGCAGGAGGGCCCAAGAGATCCTCAGTCAATTGCCCATCAAACAAGGGCTTCTGGAATTTGTCGATATCACAGCCACCAACCACACTAACGAGATTCAAGATTATTTGCAACAGCTCACGGGAGCAAGAACGGTGAGTTTCATTTTAAACGGCTAGGGAAAGGCTCCCGGATTGCCTTTTCTTGTCAGAGCTGTGCCTTTCTTTAGGATAAGGCTGCGGCTCCGTACTTCAAGGCGTCCAGAGGGCTGTGCGGGGCGGGGGGTGTGGGGGAGGGCGCCTTAGAGAGGATCTCGGTCACTTGAATGAGCGGCGGCACTGCAGCCAAAGGTCTTCACGGGGCAGAAGAGGGAGTACAGCTGATGTCTGCTGTGCGGCAGGGTAAGTGGGACCAGCAGCTTGCCGGTGAGTCCCTGGGGAATTATCTAGAGTCTTTGTTTTAAGCACTGCCAGGAAATGACAGTTTTCAGTTGGCAGGGCTGGAGGTGGAAGCTGGGGTGGAGGGCCGGGTGTGATGTGTTTGTTATTTAACATGAGATTCATGTTCTTCATTCTTTTCTCTAGGCTTTCTTTTTCTAATTTGCTCATTCTTCCTTATCTAATTCCTCCCACTGGAAAAATCTAATGTACCGTTATCTGCCCCTTGTTCTAAATTAATTATGGATGTTTCCAGGCCCCACATTGTAGGGAATCATAGCCTGGAGTTCTGGCCTGGCTCTTATAATGGCTGGCTGTGTGATCCTGGGCAAGTCACCACCCCAGTAGTCCTCAAAGATCCCAGCTGCAAGACCAGATTAGGTGACCTCAGAGTCCCATTTGCTACGAATAGACTGTGGGACCCTCTAAAAATTGCTCTCCTCCATCCGAAAGACTTCCCTCTCTTCAGCATCCTTGGCTTTGCGTCCTGGGCTTCAGGAGGGATGCCAGCCACATCACCTGTATCAGTTCTGCTGTGAGGTGGGATGAGAAATGTCCCACCAGCTCAGCTAAGTTCTCTTTTACGATGCACGAATTCTACAGCACAGTGTTAGGCCAAGCACATATCCTATTTCAGTTTTAGTTTGACTTACAAGGTTGTCTCTGGGTTCTGAGTATAAAGCATTGGAGGTTGTTTCTCTCCCCTTCTCTCTAATAAGAAGTCAGCATTTTGGTGCAGAAAGGGGGCTTAGTGTGTTATCCTACTGCTGTGTGCTGAGGTCCTGGAGTATACACAATGACGAGAGAAGCTCTTGCTGCCTAGTGGGACCACCAGCTGCATAGGATGCCCAGGCCCTGAGAGGTGTAAAGGGCAGTGCAAACACTACTACGGGCCCCACTGTGGCTGCCACCCTGAGGACCTTTTAGCCATTGGTTCCCAAACTTTGCTGCACATTAGGATCACCTAGAGAGCTTTTAAAACAATCCTTATGCCCAAATTATGCCCCTCAATAACTAAATCACAATGTCAGAGGTGGGAGCCAAGCATTAGTTTTGTTTGTTCGTTTGTTTTGAGACAGTTTCATTCTTGTCACCCAGGCTGGAGTGCAATGGTGCAATCTTGGCTCACTGCAACCTCTGCCTCCTGGGTTCTCCTCAACCTCCCAAGTAGCTGGGATTACAGGCGCCCACCACCATGCCCAGCTAATTTTTGTATTTTTAGTAGAGACGGGGTTTCACCATGTTGGCCAGGCTGGTGTCGAACTCCTGACCTCAGGCGATCCACCTACCTCGGCCTCCCAAAGTGCTGGGATTAAACGGGTGAGCCACCACACCTGGGATTTTTATTTGGAAAAATCCCTTGGGGATTCCAATGTGCAACACAATTGGGATTATTGTTCTCAGCCCAACAGCATCTATTTTCCAGGAGGTAAAGCAAACCTCTTCATGTGTTCATTTAACAATTGCTTTTTTTTTTTTTTTGAGATGGAATTTCGCTCTTGTCGCCCAGGCTGGAGTGCAGTGGTGTGATTTTGGCTTACTGCAACCTCCACCGCCCAGGTTCAAGCAATCAAGTAGCTGGAATTACGGGCACCTGCCACCACACCTAGCTAATTTTTGTATTTTTATTAGAGATGGGGTTTCACCATGCTGGCCAACCTGGTCTCGAACTCCTGACCTCAGGTGATCCACCCACCTCAGCCTCCCAAAGTGCAGGTGTGAGCTACCACACCTGGTCAACAATTGCTTTTTCATTTCTTTGTAGAACAACAATATTTCTTGTAGTAATCTTTTAAGGTTTTTTTTTTTTTTTTTTTTTTTAAGAGACAGAGTCTTGCTCTGTCACCCAGGCTAGAGTGCAGTGGTGCAATGATAGCTGACTGCAGCCTCGAACTCCTGGGCTTAAGTGACCCTCCCACCTCAGCCTCCCGTGGCTGGGACTACAGGCATGAGCCATCATACCCAGCTAATTTTTTAAGTTTTTGTACAGATGGGGGTCTTGTTATGTTACCCAGGCTGGTCTTGAACTCCTGGCCTCAAGCTATCCTCCCACCTCAGCTTCCCAGAGTGCTGGGATTACAGATGTGATCCACCTCAACAAGCCTGTTTTTCATTTTTAGAAAAATGTTTTTCACAGATTCTTGAATTCTGAGTGCATTCCTCCTAGGGGAAGAACAAGCCTTTTAAAGCTGCATGTTTGATCCCCAACAGGGAAGTGTTTGTATTCAAAGGGTCTGAAAGCTCCCGAGGGTTTTTTTTTTTTTTTTTTTTTTTTTGAGACGGAGTCTCCCTCTGTGCCCAGGCTGGAGTGCAATGGCGCAATCTCAGCTCACTGCAAGCTCCACCTCCCGGGTTCACGCTATTCTCCTGTCTCAGCCTCTCGAGTAGCTGGGACTACAGGCGTCTGCCACCATGCCTGGCTAATTTTTTGTATGTTTAGTAGAGACGGGTTTTCACTGTGTTAGCCAGGATGGTCTCAATCTCCTGACCTCGTGATCCACCCGCCTCAGCCTCCCAAAGTGCTGGGATTACAGGCGTGAGCCACGGCGCCCGGCCTGATCCTGCAGTCTTAATTATTCTATAAAGTAGCTGTATCTAGTAGGTAATCAGCAGGACATGATTATGGAAAGTTAGTGGCTTCAATCAAGCCATGTACTTGGTAAAACCTGTTTTTGTTTTGCTATAGTCACAGCTCCTAAATTAGTGCCTTCATTTATTTCTCCTCTAATGCACTTTTCTTTACATAGATCTGAGTTTCTGAACTATATCATTTCCCTTCTCTCTGAAGAACTTCTTTGGGCATTTCTTGCAAGGTGATTCCATTGGTAACACATTCCCTCAAGTTTTGTTTACCTTAGAAAGTATTTCTCCTTCGCATTTGAATGATGATTTTACTGGATGCAACAAATATTTTTAAGCACCTACTATGTACCAGACACTTTTATGTACATTGGGGAAAAAATTCTGCCTTTTCTGCCATGAAAAAAACCCTTCTGCCTTTGTTGAACCTATATTCTAGTGGGGGAGACAAACAAATACAGTAATAAAACAGTATGTTGGGAGTTGGTAAGTGGCACGTGCTATGAGGAAAAGTAGGAAAGGTAGGGAGGAAGCATCAGGGTCCAGTTTTAAATGGAGCCATTGGGTCTCACTGAGAAGGGAACATTCGAGCAGATATCTATAGGAGCTGAGGGAGATGGGTGTACACAATTTACAGGTAGAGTGAATGCAAAGGTCCTGGGGTAGACGTTTGCCTGGCAGGTTTGTGGAATAGTAAGGAAGCCAGTATAGTTGCAGCACTGTGAGCCAGTAGGAGAGTTAGTGGAGGTGAGGTCTGAGAGCTAATAGGAGCTTGGAAGAACTGTGACTGGTACTCGGTGTGAGATGAGATGCCCCTGGTGGGTGCTGAGCAGACGAGTCACTTGATCTGACCCCATTTTGAAAGGGCCACTCTGGCAGCTGTGGGGAGAAGAGACAGTAGGGCAAAGGTGAAGGTTGAAGCTGGGAGACATTGGGAGGCTATAGTAGTTATTCAGGTGACAGATGAAGGTGGCTTATACCAGGGAGGTAGCCGAGGAGTGTTGAGAAATTGCTTTTGAGTAGTTGCATTTGTGTAACCCTAGCTAGCGTACAGGAGATGTTGCCTGGCTGAGGCTGGGGAAACCTAGTGCAGGAGAATAAGAACCACAGGATTACCAAACTCGTTTTGGGGTGGCAGTTCTTTCCTCTCCTTGACAGTAGCGGACTCTCAAGTTCCTCTAAAGAGGAGGCTGGGACGGGAAGGGACAGGAGGGGAAGCAGCACAGGGTATTTCCTCTTCTTTGCTCAACTTTATCAACAGTACTTCTTGCTTTGGTTTCACTGCCACAGCACCCCCGTGCCGTCTGTACAGCCTGCCATTCAGCTCCCGTTAGGGGTACCATTCACTGATACGATTTATGGCAGTTTTGCAGTTGTCCAGACTAGAGGATGGGTGTGAGGGTAAAGGAGCCTTTCGCTTCTTTGCCAGACACTGAGCACAAAACTCCACGCTGGGAGCAGCCTGGTCACATTTCAGGGTCATCTCAGGAGGCTGGGGGGCAGCTCCAGGGCTGTGGGTTTTCAAAGCCTCAGTTATCCTGTGAGAGCACAGGGAATAGCCATGGAAATGTGCAAGATTTGTTTTTAATTTTTAGACTTTATTTTTAATGCCTACCTTCACCCAGACCCCCTTTTTAATAAAAGTGCTGTAAGAACTTATCCACAATAATGAAGCCCCTTTTCTCACCTTTCTCACTTTTTGGACAATTTGCTCCAATTATTATGCTTTCTGAGGAAAGCCCAAAGCTTTGAAAAATAGTCTCATTGCTTTCTGCCTCCACCTCTCCCTCCCCTCCAGTGCGTTCCTGGTACTCGGGGAGAGGCCCGCTGGCTCTGATGACGCGGTGACCTCCATGGGGCTTTTTTCTTCACTGCCAGGCAGCCTTGGTGGAACACTCCTGGCCTATAAATTCAGCCACGTTGAGGGTATTTCCTCCTCCCTCGCGATTCTAAAAGCCCTCTGGAATTCTGGAATGTGTCTGCTCCTAGCAGCAGGGAGGAAGTGTGTAACTAGAGAGGAGCCTATTCAGCAGGTGTCATGACTGTGGCTTGGCGTGGGTGACGCACCCTCATCCGGGGTGAGTTAACCATCTTATGATGGACCAGCGATTAAAGGAGACTCAAACACCACTACACCCCCCTGGTTGAGGACAGAGCTCACTTGTGTTGCTTTGTTTTGCTTTCTTTGTTTTGCTCTGTCGTCCAGGTGTGAGTGCAATGGCACCATCACAGCTTACTGCAGCCTCGACCTCCCGGGCCAAAGCAATCCTTCCACTTCAGCCTCCTGAGTAGCTGGGACTACAGGCATGCACCGCCATGCCTGGCTAATTTTTGTATTTTTTGTAGAGACGGGGTCTCACGATGTTACCTAGGCTAGTCTTGAACTCCTGGGCTCAAGCGACCCTCCCACCTCAGCCTCACAAAAGTAGTAGGATTACATTCATGAGCCACTGTGCCTGGCCCTCACCTGTGTTTTAACAACACAGAGAGATGATTGTACTTAATAAACCATGGACCTGAAAAATCAGAGACGTAATGCAAATACTTTTCCAGCTGTATTTAGAAACGAACTCCTTCCTTCCTGATTGCTGTGACCCAGTTTACAATCTTAGGTGTGGTCCCTGATGCAGAGAAAGCAGAGTTCAATCTAGGTGGTCTGACTGCAGCCAATCAGAATTCTCCTTCTGAAACATGTTTCTGTAGAGTGAAATTTTTAAATCCCTTTGACAAGTTGGACAAGCTCATGCATAGCACACAACTTGAAAACTCTTCTGGCGTAAAAACATTCTCGAGTTAATAATGTTACCCCTTATAACAGAAAGGAAGTCCTGTCCTGTGAGCATATACATAAGGAGGTTTTAAAGTGATTTGAAAAGTTTGGAATCACGGGAAATATTTAGTGGTAGGATAGAAATGTTCTGTCTAATCTAGTAATGTAGTAATGTCCTGGGTCGTGTGCTTTTTTAGGTGCCTCGAGTCTTTATTGGTAAAGATTGTATAGGCGGATGCAGTGATCTAGTCTCTTTGCAACAGAGTGGGGAACTGCTGACGCGGCTAAAGCAGATTGGAGCTCTGCAGTAACCACAGGTGAGTGGCAGGTGAGGTGCTGGGCCAGGAACATGGGAGACCGTGGAATTCTTCTGTCGTGGTTTGTTATACTGTATGACAGCATTCTGGTTGGGGGAAGAAATGATTTGGGGTGAGTTGAGGAATGGTGATGTCAATCACTTATGAATTTCACACTTTACAAAGAGATCGTGTCAATGAGAGAAATCCTTTCACTCAAGCTTCATTTAAGAAATATTTATTAAGCATGTGCCAGACACATGAGAATATAATGATGCATAAAATGATAACCTGGAACTTATATTTTAGAGAGGTAGACAGATCAAAAACAAGCAAATCCTGAAATAGAATAGAATAATGTGACAGAATATGTCATGGGGTGGGGAGAAAATTGAGCTAACATGGTAAGGGAGGGCCTTTCTCAGGAAGGGTTGAGCTGAGACCTGGTTAACAAGGGGACTGCTATGCAGAGATGAAGCAGAAGAGCTTTTCAGGCAGAGGGAATAGCAAGTGCAAAGGCTCTGAGGTGGCAACAGGTAAGGGATGTTCGTGGAACAGAAAGAAAGCAGGAATAGAGTGAATGAAGTGCAGTGAAAAGGAAGAATAGCGAGAAAGGTGGGCAGGGGCCAGAGCACCCAGGCCATGGTAAACAATTTGGATTTATTCAAAACGCAATGTGAAACACAGGTCATTTTGGCTTTACCTGTGTTCACTTGGCAAATCAACTCTATTTAATTGGCTTCCCAAAAGCCAAAACAAAGTTTTCTAAAATCAGTAACCTAAAGGAGATCTTTGGCTCTGTGGAAAACCACAGGGCGATGAACATTTCAGAAGGGAACCGTGATGGTTTTGGAGTCTGAGCTCCTCCCTCCCCCAGTTCCCCAGCACAGCTAGCGCTAGCTAGCTCCCAAGCAGGCCAATTCAGAGACCTGTACCCAGAGAGATGTAAATGCTGCTTTAGTTGAGGGAGAAATGAATGGTTCTTTAACCAAAATGTTCTTGGAGGGGTATCTATTGCCTGCTAATTAATAACTCATTTCTTGGGCAATGAGTATACATTATTTGTGATGGTTACTCAGCATAGCAACAGAAGGGGGAAAAAGGTCTGAAAAAATACCACTGATTTCTCTGAAATGAAATAGTCAATGCTATAAATCTTCTAATCAGAATTCTACGATATCATCACAGCAGGTGCACCCTATGTCTGTCTGAGTTCACTTCCTGGCCTTACCACTGGTACTAAAAGCACTCAAACCCAATTAATGGTTTCCTATTCTGGGACATGTTTAGCAATTTAGGCTTAGATTAAGAATGAGAGAAGATGGGAAATGTTATTTCTCCAACTGCTTCTATTTTGGTGTGGGCATTAGAGTCCCCCATATTCAGAAAGTCTCCTTATTTGCATTTGGCCTTTTCCTTCAGTGTTCTATGCTGTCAGTATTTTACTGGCAGCTGCATCTCAAGGCCATCTGCAACAGAGTGTGTTTAAATGGCAGGTGTAAGTGTTCTGGTAATGAGAGAAAGGAAGGATTTTGCCTTACAAGGAGATCCCTTCTTTCTTTCCTGGCAGAACAGGCCCCATGCTGACGTCCCTCCTCAAGAGCTGGATGGCATTGCAAATGATGACAGCACTTCTGGTGGATGAATTTGGGGGCACAAACAGCTTTTTTCCTCTTTTGGCTCAGTATTTAAAAGTGGACCAACTTGCTCTTAATCACAGGGCCAAGAAGGTTGACGGGCCATCTTGGTTTTCTTCTGGATGTGCTCTTTGGTTTTCAGAAGACTGTGACAAGTTCTGGCCCAGGATTCGCTCACTGACCCTCAATTGTCCTCTTTGGCATGCGTTTCTTACTGTTCTCCATGTGTCGGCATGTCTCTACCTCTAAGCCAGTGTTTTTCAACTATGTTTATCCAGACTCCTTCTCCACAATGATGAATCCACAGTTGGTTATCTGCTACTGCCCATTAGCTAAAATCATTTTGCTGCTTGACTTTATGGAGTTTGTATTATGAAATCAGTGGGTATTTTGAATGTGTTCTTTCTAACTACATGCATCTCTCCACTCAACTCCACCCCATCCCATCCCACCTTGAAAATCACTGCTCTGAACCAGTGTTCTCCACCTTGTCCTCCACAGATCTCATAGGAAATGTTCAACAATTCTGTGAAAGGTCACAGGACCCAATTGGAGAAATCATATGAAAAGCATAGTTGGTCTTGGTGTCATATGGATCAGAGGCACAAGTGCAGAGGCTGTGGTCATGCGGAACACTCTGTTATTTAAGATGGCTATCCAGATAATCCTGAACACTGTGTATTTATTTTATTTAGACTACCAGCAAAGATTAAAGCATGAAATGTAAAACATCTGATAAAACTTACAGCCCCCTACACCAAGAGTGTATCTGTGAAAGAGCTCCTACACTTTGAAAACTTAAGAATCCCTTATCATGAAGTTTGCCTGTTCTAGAATTGTAAGATTGTTAATTTCCTTCAATCTCTAGTGACAACACTTAATTTCTTTTCTAATAAAAAAAACCTATAGATGATTCAGTGATTTTTGTCCAATTCATTTGCATGTTCTCAAGACATTAAGGAATGTTATGCGAAATACACTAACTTAAAACTGTGTTTATATTTGGCCCTGCCATTATAAATAAAGACACGTGCTGCTGTCACTCACTGAGTACAAATGGCTGATATAATTTTGAAATTTCATATTGAAATAAATGCCAGCCCTGGCTTACTGAATAATGCTTAGGGTTTAATAACAGTCTTTTTCATTTCATATTCCTTTTTGCCATTTCCCACTTAAGGCCCTTGTACTTCTCGCTTCTTTCTTTTGTGGGCCCTAACCACTCCCTTCAACCAGGATTGCTATGATAATTGTTCAGTTTACACCAGGATTGCTATGGATAATTGTTCAGTTTACACACTGCACAATATGAAAGCCCTCCCACCGGAGGTTATAGTATCTGATCCACTCTGGACCACTTGCCTGCACTTTCACACTTCTTTGTCCATGTTCATTGTGTTTCTTTCTCCTGAGATGCCTTTTCTTCTTTGTTTTACTTTGAAACTCCTCCTCGTTCAAGGCCTGATTTACAGATCATTTCCCCTATATTTTCTCTCTCCTCTCATGGCCTTTTGACTGAAAAATCATCGTTCCCTCTTCTGGAATTCAAAAACACTGTGCATGTAGATACTCTACAGCTCTTATCAGGCTATGTTGTAGTTAATCATCTGTATTGGTCTCCTGCCAAATTCAGAAGTACCCAAAGGTGACTGGGCGCGGCAGGTCACACCTGTAATCCCAGCACTTTGGGAGGCTCAGGCGGGTGGATCATGAGGTCAGGAGTTCGAGACCAGCCTGGCCAATATGGTGAAACCCCATTTCTACCAAAAGTAGAAAAATTAGCCGGGTGTGGTGGCACGTGCCTGTAGTCCCAGCTACTCGGGAAGCTGAGGCAGAAGAATTACTAGAACCTGGGAGGTGGAGGTTGCAGTGAGCTGAGATCGTGCCACTGCACTCCAGCCTGGGTAGCAGAGCGAGACTCTGTCTCCAAAAAAAAGTACCCAAAGGCAAGAACCTAGACTTAACTATGGAAACCCAGTTCCCAGCATAGAAGAGCTGTTTTATCAAAGCAATATATGCATACGGTTTAAAAAGCCAAATAGTACTAAAAGTCTTTCCTGCTCTATCCGCCTCAAACCCAGGTCCTGGTAAAGTACCTTACAGGGCCGTGTGCCCCTCCCCAAGGGTATTCCCTCTCTCCATCCCTCCATAGAGGTAACCACTACTTCATTTTTCTTGTAATCATTCTGATACTTTATAGTTTTACTCCTTATAATATCTCTAAGCAATACATTTTACTTTTGAAAAACAATAACACCGACCTAGCTGTGTAAGAAAAAGGTGATATCACAATTAGACGAACAATCCCAAGAACAGGTAAACTGAACATTGACTCTGAGTTATAGACTGGCTTCGGCATCCCTTGGAAGTTTTCCAGAGCCTCTTCTGGGGAAGCAGAAGTGGTGCTGAGTGAGTCCTTGGAAACACGGCACCCCACGATCAGGGAGGCTATTGTGTGAGCCAAGAACGGGGTGTCCCCCAGAAATATGGTAACGGCAGAGGGCTGCTCTGCATTTTCTGCTTCTAAGCTCAGCATGTCCCTGCCCCCAGCTTTCAGGAGGAGATCAAAGCACACCCACACCTCCTCAGCTGGCCAGCTGTGTAGCAGGGAGAACGGAAATGTCATCGGCACCAGGCAAGCCAAGTACAGATAAGGATCTGCTTCAGGCCCATTTCAGCTTTCTGTCCTCAAGTTAAAAACTATACAACTACAGAGAACCCTCAACATGGAAAATTACACTGCTCCAATCTGGACTGCTGCCCTCTGTCCTGAGGCAGGCAGAGTTCTCTATCTGGGATCTCCCTTCACTGTCATTCTGGGGATTCCCTTTTTCTCTCCTATGTTGGGTCTCCTCTTTCCTGTAGCCCACATGTATGAGTTAGAATACATGTGAAGGGGGCCAGCCCCTCTACACCTGTGGGTATTTCTCGTCAGGTGGGATGAGAGACTGAGAAAAGAAATAAGACACAGAGACAAAGTATAGAGGAAGAAAAGTGGGCCCAGGGGACTGGCGCTCAGCATACGGAGGACCCAAGCTGGCGCTGGTCTCTGAGTTCCCTCAGTATTTATTGATCACTATCTCTACCATCTCTACGAGGGAGATGTGGCAGGACTATAGGGTAGTGGTGGGGAGAGGGTCAGCAGGAAAACATGTGAGCAAAGGACTCTGTGTCATAAATAAGTTTAAGGAAACATGCTGTGCCTCGATGTGCATGTAGGCCAGATTTACGTTTGACTTTACGCAAACATCTCAGTGCAGTAAAGAGCAGTATCGCCGCCAGCATGTCTCACCTCCAGCCATAAGGCGGTTTTCTCCTATCTCAGTAAATAGAATGTACGATCGGGTTTTACACCAAGACATTCCATTCCCAGGGATGAGCAGGAGACAGATGCCTTCCTCTTATCTCAACTGCAAAGAGGCCTTCCTCTTTCACTAATCCTCCTCAGCACAGACCCTTTACAGGTGTCGGGCTGGGGGACAGTCAGGTCTTTCCCTTCCCACGAGGCCATATCTCAGGCTGTCTCAGTGGGGGAAACCTTGGACAATACCCAGGCTTTCTTGGGCAGAGGTCCCTGCGGCCTTCCGCAGTGCACTATGTCCCTGGGTACTGGAGACTGGAGAATGGTGATGACTTTTACCAAGCATACTGTCTGCAAACACATTTTTAACAAAGCACATCCTGCACAGCCCTAAATCCATTAAACCTTGAGTCACCACAGCACATGTTTCTGCGAGCACACGGTTGGGGTTAGGGTTACAGATTAACAGCATCTCAAGGCAGAAGAATTTTTCTTAGTACAGATCAAAATGGAGTTTCTTATGTCTTCCTTTTTCTACATAGACACAGTAACAGTCTATCTTTCTTTCCCCCACAACATGCTAGGCTGCTATAACAAAGATATAATGCCTGATAGAAGCTTCTTTATCAAAAAAATTCCAGAGGCAGGCAGGTGGCATTTGCTCCAAGGGTTCATGACTGACCCAGGGGTCCTATGTACCACTTCTGCTCACATCCCATTAGCCAGAACTTAATGCCATAGCCCCACCAGCTGCGGGGTAGGCTAGGCAGAGGGGCCCCTGCCTGGGAAGCCTCTTACCTAACTAAAACTCACTAAAACTCGAGGAGATCTATATCAAAAGAAGGGGAGAATGGCTATAGAAAGAAAGTTAGCAAACTGCAGCTTTCTCTTTTTTATTGTTTTTCCTCTGAGCCCCAATTTTCTTTCTCTGTTTTACATTTGAAAGCCTTCCTCAAATGTCTGGAGATCTGACTATCTGTAAATATTTAAAGAATGAGGCACTAAAAAAACTGACTGGAAGACTTGTGTGCATAGATTAGGCTTGCCAACGGATAGCTTCACCATCGAGAGCGTCTTTGTTCAAATGTCACCTTCTCAGCAAGGGATCCCCCATCCCCCTATCTAACACTCTCCCTTTCACTTTCACTTAGCATTCCCTATCCCTCTTTTTCAATTTATTTATTTTTTTCTATAGCATTTATCTTTTTTTTGAGATGGGGTCTTACTCTGTCATCCAGGCTGGAGTGCAGTGGCACAATCTCAGCTCACTGCAACCTCTGCCTCCTGGGCTCAAGCAATCCTCCCACGTTCAAGCGATTCTCCCACCTCAGCCTCCTGAGTAGCTGGGACCACAGATGCACACCTCCATGGAGGCTCACCTAATTTTTTGTATTTTTGGTAGAGACAGGGTTTCATCTTGTTGCCCAGGCTGATCAACACTCCTGAGCTCAAGTGATCCACCTGCTTTGGCCTCCCAAAGTGCTGAGATTAGAGGCGTGAGCCACCACACCCAGTCTATCTTTTAATATATGGTATGATTTATTTAGTTTACTGTCTCTTCACTATTAGAATATAAGTGCCTTGAGGTCAGGGATTGGTGTCTATTTACCGCTGTATCTGCAGCATCAAGACTGCTTGGCAGATAGTAGGCTCTTTCTTGAGTGAACAAATTAAAGAATAAATGAACAGGTACAGATCTGGTTGCCTCACTGGGAGATCCCCCAATTATTGGTTCCTGGACACCTTTTCTTTTGAGCCATTCAGTCTCTCCAGCTTCACAGCTGGGGGTTGGGCCTCATCCTCAGGGTTCTGGCTGCCAAGCAGGGAAAAGGGACTTGGCAGCTTCCTGGCCAGTGTGTAGACTCTCATGTAACCTCCTGTTTTCTGCCCTGCTCCTTGCTGAGTAATTCCGTGTGATCTGCAAGGATAGAAAGAATGATCTTTCAAAGAACATGGAGAGAGATTGGCAATAGGGGCTGGCAGAAAAAAACAGCAAAAATTAACCACCAAAAAATTCACAGCCAAAGCTCTACTCTTTCTGTTTACTGAAGAAAGCAAGTGATCCAATCTCCTGCGAATGTTGTTGATTTTAATAACCACCTTCTCTGCTTCCTCCAACCTGGCCCTTTGGGCTAGACTCCAGACAGCCATTTCTTCCAATTCAAGGCTGTCCAAAGAT
Source organism: Homo sapiens (assembly GCF_000001405.40). Classification (NCBI taxonomy): domain Eukaryota; kingdom Metazoa; phylum Chordata; class Mammalia; order Primates; family Hominidae; genus Homo; species Homo sapiens. The sequence continues at coordinate 95,809,410 of NC_000005.10, read as the reverse complement.
GCCCCTTAAGGAGAAAGAACTGGTAAATTCTTAAACTGATGGTAAATTCCTAAACTGGTGGTAAATGGATCTATGTGGCCCAGACCACACTATTTATATCCCCAGTGAGTATTATTAGGTCGTTATCTTGACATTTGGTTGCCAGAGAAAGCCATGCTCCCTAATTTACTACACCATAATAATTGTTCACAGGTCGTGGGAAATATTGTAAAGAACTGGGATCCTGAGATATTTTACTTAGAGTTCCTTTCTTATATTAATAGGGGTCTTCTTACCAAATACACCGAATGTTTGAAGGGGAAGAATTTAATCCTGCTCATTAGGGGAAGAGAATTCTGGCCTGGTCCCTTTAAGCACAAGGGATATTTAAAAATGGGTCTATATTTATGCACAAGTTTATACTTCCTGTCTCCAGGCGACTTTTCTGGTGAGCTGTGCAGAGCTGAAGGTAGGAGAGAGAGGGGAACTAGGAGAGCCAATGACGGCACAGAACATCGTGCAAGCTGGGGCTCTGGGGTTTTTTACGGACTCTTCCAGCGCACTCAACTCCTCCCTCCTAGTTGGCGGGGCTCAAGCCTCTGGGGACCTGCAGCTGAGCTTTCTCAGAAGCAAGAAGAGATGCCTCCTTCCTATTCTCTTGTGTGCCTTGTGAAACTTAAAACATTTCATATGTAAAATTACAAGCTGTTTATGGGGTGGAGATTTTGCGCTTCCTCCCATTATTAAGTCATCCTTGAGAACTGAGTGTGGATGATCTTTAACACAGTCTGCCCAGGGTTCTAGCCAGATGTGTTAAATGGGGACCAAAGGACCCACTCTGGGAATGGAGGACCAGCAACTCCTGGGAAGACAGAATTAAAGAGCACGGCTGGAACCTGTGGCCACGGGGGCTGTCCCCCGACATCTAGAATGCGACCCTTGTGTAGAGCTGACTCTGGGTGCCTTCATCCAGCCCCCTGCATAGAAGATCTCCTTTAGCCTCATCAAATCAGTCACTGTGTGATTAAAAAGTTCAGGGGGTGGCAGGGACAGCTGCCCCCAGAAAGGGAACAGTGTGGGCATCTCCAGACAGGTAAACCACAGGAAAACCAAGGAGCCCTAGTTCTCCTCTCCATCCAGGAAGCCTTTAGCTGGCAGCACAAGGGAGGGGCGGCCACACCTTAGGTTATTTTTGAGTCCGTTTCCCCACCCCTGTGTGAAGGTGTGGCCCAGTGGCAGATAGACTGTCCTTAATCTAACCAGAGGAATCCTCCTCCTCCAAGTGAGAAAAGGAGCAAAGGATGCAAAGCGCCCCTTCAACACTCCTTGAGCTGGAAGGAGAAGAAAAATCTCTCCTCCTTTACAGGAATTTGGTAAGTGAGGGATAAGTGATCCCCACTAAGGAGCATGAGCTTTAGTACAAGGACTTTTTCTCCTCTGATTGAGCCGCTGTGTACTGTAGAACTCTGGTGAGGAGCGGTCCTCAGGCCTATTGAAAGGATCAGAGAATACACATATCCTGTTTTCCATTGTGTATGCATAAAGAGGTACGAGTCTACAAAGCTTCAACTGCATCTATTTTTTCCTTTTTTTTTTGAGATGGAGTCTTGCTCTGCCATCCAGGCTCGAGTGCAATGGCACCATCTCAGCTTACTGCAACCTCCGCCTCTCTGGTTCAAGCAATTCTCCTGCCTCAGCCTCCCAAGCAGCTGGGACTACCGGTGTGTGCCATGGCACCCAAGTAATTTTTTGTATTTTTAATAGAGACAGGGTTTCACCATATTGGTCAGGCTGGTCCCGAACTCCAGACCTCAAGTGATCTGCCTGTCTCAGCCTTCCCAAGTGTTGGAATTACAGGCATGAGCCACCATGCCTGGCCCTTTTCCAATATTTCGATAAAGGTGAACAGCTGATTTACCCAGTTAGAAGTTTTTCCTGGTTTATTTTCTGTGTGGCGGCAGCAGCAAGGAATAAAATATAAACTCAGTTCAAGGATAACTGCCATGTACATATAATTATCTATTCAAAATATTTAATTTACTTTTTTAAAAACAGTATTCCAGCATTCATAGTAGCTTTTGACCAATTCTGCTTTTTCAGTTGATGGCAAAAACACACCAGAATATGTGGAGAGGCTGTGGTCGGCCCCATCTTTTACTATGGCAAAAAAAAAAGGGGTCTACAAGCTTGGAAATGTTGAAAATTACTGCCCTGAACCAAAGAGGTGGCTGACACTGGTAGTTCTGAAGTTTCCTACTTACAGAGAATCTAGCAAATCACTGCCATGTGAGGATAATACCAAATAATGGTCTACTCCTGCCGAGGTCAGTGTATAAGGAATCCTTAGCAGCGTTTCCCAGGCACTTAAAGAGGCTATATACAGCACTTTGGGAGGCCAAGGCAGGTGGATCGCTTGAGGTTGCCTGAGGTCAGGAATTCAAGACCAGCCTGGCTAACATGGCGAAAACCCATCTCTACTAAAAGTACAAAAATTAGCCGGCATGGTGGCGCATGCCTGTAATCCCAGCTACTCCAGCTCAGAGTCTCCAGAGTAGCTGTCTCAGAACACTGGGTCCATGGCACATCAGCAAATGTTACATGAAAAAATGGGCTCCATGAGTTTGGAAACGCTGGGCTATACGATGCTGGCCTGCAGGACTTGTGCTCATTTTTAGAGTCTATGCCTTTTATCTGATAAACTTTAAAAACAGATACTCTTAGCCTCATTAAACCCCAAAAGCATTTAAAATATTTACCTCTTTCCCTTTGCTGAGATATAGGAAAGGGTAACAGAGGATGGATGGAAAACAGCATCCCTGAGAGGCACCTCCAGCTTAGAGGGATGAAGAGGGCATCAGTCATGTGGAGTCATGCAGCAGATGAGCTCAATCAGGGCTCCTAATCCAGTCTTACACTTGAGACACTCTGGAAGTACTGTGGAATTAGTATCTGCAACATGTTAGAAGTAGATATTTCGGCTGGGCATGGTGGCTCACGCCTGTAATCCCAGCACTCTGGGAGGCCGAGACGGGCAGATCACTTCAGGTCAGGAGTTCTAGACTATGCTGATTGACATGGTGAGACCCTGTTTCTACTAAAAGTACAAAAATTAGGCCAGGCGCCGTGGCTCACGCCTGTTAATCGCAGCACTTTGGGAGGCCGATGCGGGTGGATCACCTAAGGTCAGGAGTTCAAAACCAGCCTGGCCAACATGGCGAAACCCCATCTCTACTAAAAATACAAAAATTAGCTCGGTGTGGTGGTGGGCACCTGTAATTCCAGCTACTTGGGAGGCAGAGGCAGGAGAATCACTTGAACCCGGGAGGTGTAGGTTGCAGTAGTGAGCCAAGATCGTGACACTGCACTCCAGCCTGGATGACAGAGCGAGACTCCGTCTCCAAAAAAAAAAAAAAAAAAAGCCAAAAGCCGGGCATGGTGTTGTGTGCCTGTAGTCCCAGCTCCTCGGGAGGCTGAGGCAGGAGAATCGCTTGAACCTGGGAGGTGGAGGTTGCAGTGAGCAGAGAGCAGAGATCACGCCACTGCACTGCAGCCTGGCGGGCAAAGTAAGACTTCATCTCAGACAAAAAAAAAAAAAAAAGAAAGAAAGAAGTACATGTTTCATTTGTCCAGGACACTAGTAGCAGAGTGAGGGGGTAGCACTGGAAAGACCCCAAGCTTGGTAAATTTACTTAGCAGACATTCACACAGGCTTGTGAAGACTGCTGGGCTGGAAGCTTGACCTTGGAACTTGCCAGAGCCTTTAATATGTTACATGCATTGTGAATTTCCAAAGTAGTGACTAAGTACCCATTATATCTCAAAGATTTTACCTATCCTTTTTTCAAGAAGCACCTCTCTCAATTCATTTTAAGGGTCACAAGCACTGGAAATGCTAATATTTTGTGCTTTGACTTCTCTCCCCTTTGCCGCTCTCACTTGCTTTTCCACAGTTAACACCATTTCATGCAAGGAATGCTCTTATGGCCTGAATGTTTGTGCCCCTCCTAAATTCATATGTTGAAATCCTAACCCCTAAGGTGATGGTATTAGGAAGTGGGACCTTGTGGGAGGTGATTAGGTCATAATGGTGGAGCCCTCATGAATGGGATTAGTGCCCTTTTAAAGAGGACCCAGAGGGCTAGTTTGTCCTTTCTACCATGTGAGGACACAGTGAGAAGGCACCATCTACAAGCCAGTAAATGTGTTCTCTTCAGACACTGAAGCAGCCAGGAACTTGGTCTTGGACTTCCCAGCCTTCGGAACTATGGGAAATATATTTCTGTTGTTTATAAGCTACCCAGTCTATGGTATTTTGTTATAGCAGCTCCAACAGCCTAAGACAGATGCTGAATGGGTGCATCATGTCAATGTCTGGCATTTCTTCTGTCAGCATTCTGTAACTTATTTACGGTTTCAGCTAATAACTTGGCGTAAGTCCCAAGTTTCTCAATAATGACACAAAGTCCATCAGAGTCTTCATCTCCTGGTTCAATTCAAGCATCATTATAGACCAAAGTCTGTGCTAAGAGCTGTTAGAGCTGATTTATCAATACAGTCCCAAGCAACGACAACTGTATAAATGGCATCGTTAAGATTGAACTCTCCTGGAAAATCATAAATTCTAGGACCTGCTAACTGCAGCAAGCAGTTAGCAAAAGCAAACACAAAAAGGTGCACTTGCTCTTCATGGATTGTAGAATTCCGTGTCACAAGGCTGTATTGTGGGTGTCACGGTGGGTAATAAATTCAGAAGAAGATCACGAGAGGGTGTGAGAAGCATTTGCCCAGAAACAAAATTTTTCCATTTTTATCCAGTTTTGCTGGCCTTGCTTTGAACACATCACTGGTCTACAGTGGTTACAGAACCAGTCAGAACGCATTTTTCTAGCTACCTATACTTTTCTTCCTCCCTTCCTTCTCTCATGCCCTCTCTTCCTCCTTTCTTTCTTTCCTCTCTTCTCTCTTTCTTCCTTTTTCTACAACTTTACTGAAGTATATTTTCTTCAATGAGGGAATGTTTAAGCTGCTCAGCTCCTAACAGGAACTGGCCCTAGAATCTAAAATTCCTGCTCCTTTCATGGTTTAGAAGCCACGTGGACTGAATTCAAATCCCAGTTAGGTGATTTCCCAACTGTGTGACTGTAGGTAAGCAAATCTCTGTAGTCTGGCTTTTTATTATAAGAATTAAGGATAATGAAAATTAAATTAACTAATTAAATTAAAATTAAAGATGATTAACAGAGAAACCTCACTCTCTGGCTTCCCTGCGGCTGAATGGGCCATGCAACCAGCTCTCCATTCTCCCCAAACACTTCTTACCAAGCATGCTGTTTTTTCCTATTATCTGTTTTGGGTTAAGTCAAATATTAACCACAAGGTTGGTGTGTTAACAAGTCACAACATTTGAAGAATCCTAATCAGGTCAGACTTTGGAATAGTTTCCTCAGAGGTGGGAAGGAAAGTGGGGAGGGAGGATGACCTTAATAACTCCTTGACCTTGGAGAGTCAGCCTTGCAAGTCACCTAAAAGAATGTGTCTCCCGGCAACATGCCCAGCCTCCCTCACATTGCCCAAAGACAGCAATGCAACAGCATCCTCAAAGGAGGACATTGACTTCCGTGTTTGCTGGATTATTGTACATTTTTCTTAGAATGCTTGTGGAGGCTGTTTGCTAGTCAGTAGGGTATGTGAGCTTTGGAGTCAGGTCCTAGTTCTTCCCAGCTCTGCCACTTATTAACCATGTGACCTTAGGCTATTACTCACTGTACTCATTTTAGAATACAGACATGCAAAGCCCCTGGTCACTGGATTGCTGGGACAATAAAATGATAGAGATAATAAGAGTGGTTATACTTGCAGAGTGCTAACTCTGTGCAAGGCACTGGTTTCAGCACTGAATGCGTATGACCTCGTTTACTCCTCCCAGTGACACTATGGGGTTAATAGTCCATTAGCTGCATGTTATAATGAGCAGATAAAGTCCAGAGAGAGGTCACTTTACCTGTCAGAGGTCGCACAGTAAGGGGTGGAGCTGGGATGTGAATTTGCCTGTGCAGTCTGGCTTCATCACATGCTCAACCAGCCCACCAGACCACTTTCCTGTGCCATATCAGCTCTTCTGAAGGAAGTCATGTACGCAGAATGTCTGCCCCTCAGTAAGAGCACAATAAATGGTGATATTGAAATAATAACTAATACTTCCATTTCCTCAGGCCTCACCAGCTTATGGACTTCATGCAAACACCTCTTGCCTGCTCCCAAACCAGGCCCCAATGTCTCCTGAAGTTATTTCTGGGATGCCTCCCATGGACCTCCTGTCCTTTCACACTTGCCCCTCCCTGAGGTCCTGCCTGTGAAGTCCCTTGAGGTGGTGCCTCACCCTTCCACTGATGTTGGTGTCCCCTAGGCCTCTCCCCTGAGCCCTCTGGCCAAGTTCCCTGGGCCCCAAGCACAAATGGGTATCTGGGCCCAAACAGTCAATACCATCCACTTGGAGACCAGTGACTTTGTGTTCCCCGCTGTGTTCTGTTACATTCAACAGACATTTCCTAAGCAACTATTATATTTTGGAGAGAGTGTTAGAAGACACACAAAAAGTAAGAGCGAATGGTAGCCCATCTTCTTTGGATGTCTGAGCAAATGACATTTGTGAACAACAACAAAAAAGTAAGTTACAAACAACAAATATGTTTACAAGGACACCCTCTAGCAGTGTAGGGCCACCCAATGCCTACTAAGGTGCTATACAAGATCAGTCTTTCTTACCACATTCATTAAAAGTCATGAGGGCCAGGCTGGGAGCTGTGGCTCACACCTGTAATCCTAGCACTTTGGGAGGCCAAGGCAGGTGGATCACTTGAGGCCAGGAGTTCAAGACCAGCCCGGCCAACATGGTGAAACCCTGTCTCTACTAAAAATACAAAAATTAACCGGGTGTGATGGCAGGTGCCTGTAACCCCAGCTACTCGGGAGGCTGAGGCAAGAGAAACCCTTGAACCTGGGAGGCAGAAGCTGAAGTGAACAGAGATCACCTGGGCAATGGAGTGAGACTCTATCTCAAAACAAACAAACACAAATTGTGAGGGTTATAAAAGAGAAGGTTTTGTTATTGTTGTTGGTGGTGGTGGTGGTGATGTGCAGCTTAGCAAAATGCCCAGGCATACTTAATAGCGCCTATTAGCTTTTGTACATAATCTTTATATCTGAGTTCTTGCTAAGGAATTTTCTTAACTTTTGCTTTCCGTCTAGTCAAAGAAAGCATTTTAACCTCGCCTGGGCACTGCAGCATTGCAATCAGGGTTCTACCAGGTGGCTTCTCAGGGATTTTGGTATGTAGTTACTTTAAACTAGAATGGCTTCATTGCCTCAAAGGCCATCCACTCCTCAGAGGAAGTCACTAAATTTAGAAAACCAACCCTAGTCCTCTTCCAACCAATGGGACAGAAGCCCCAAAAACAATGGTGTGTTCAGTGACTCAGGCTTGACAATGGGGAGAGAATTAGACAAGAGATTTTGAGGAAAATGAAAATTGCCTATATAAATTTTAATTTTATGGAAACTGAAGCTGAGGATGTTGCATTTTTCCTCAGCCTTAAATTTATGAAAAGTAAAGGCAAAAGCAAGATACTTCCACTTGGGAGGAGGAAGGAAAAAGCACTCTCGAGTTCCAGGCCAGCCTGCCTGAGGACAGTGGTTACTCAGTAACTCTCTTTAGAACTTGCTTAGCCAAATTTGGTGTTGCAAGGCTCTTAGGCTTAAAAAGATTATTATTTATGATCGTGCTCCAGTATTTCTTCTCATTCTTACAAGGCAGCTGAATATTTTTTAAAAATCAGAAATTAACAAAAAGGTAGAAAACTCAGGTAAAAATATATATTCTGAGATGGTAGAAAATTCTATCATTGTAAACAAAAAATATTGAGGGACTCAAATTTCATGTTTAAAATGCTTTAAAATTCATATAAGACTGTTTCTAAGTTTTTTCAGAATTTAATTTTACATTAACTCTGATACAGCTCTGATGACTGGAGGAACACCAGGGTTCTTGGTCTCGAGCCAATAGGATTAATGACATGAACACACGTGGAGTGGTTTTAAGGAGCAAAAAGTTTAATAGGCAAGAAACAAGGAAGGAAGAAGAAAGTGGCTCTCCAGTACAGACACAGAGGGAGGGCGGATTCGAACAAAGAGAAAACCCCGTGTGCACAGAAAATTGGCTGCTTATATTGCGATGCTGGAGGAGGTGGTGTCTGGTTTGCATAGGGCCCAGGGGATTGGTTTGACCAGATGTGTCATTTACCTAGCCCGCAAAAAGCCTGGCCCTCCCACCTTAGCCCTTTAGTATGCAAATGCGGGCCGCCATGATGTTCTGAACCCATGGTGTTATCTGGAGGTGGCCATGACATTTGGTACACCTGGTGACAAGGAAAAGATGGCAGGAATCGCCATATTAAGTGAGCCCAGTTTTTACGGGCCTGCATTGGCATATCAAAGCTTGCTGGCCTGGCCCTTCAAGCCACATTTTCTGTTAGGAAAGAGATGGTTCAGGGGTTGTTTCTTATTACAGGAAAAATTCCACCGAGAACCTTACTATCTGCCTAAAAATTATTTCTTAATAACTCCTGTATCAACTCTATGAGAATTCATAGCCCTGGGTCATTGATTGGTCCAAAGGGTCAAGGACCCAGCGCTCAGTATAAGCCCAGAGAAACCCTGAGCAGGAGAGATTATAAGGTCAACAAAATGTGAAGGGAGGGCACAGGGCTGAATGTGTGATCCTGAGAAGGTCTAGGTCAGCCCCCAGCTCCCACCCACCCTCTCACAAAGAGAGATCATTTTGGGAGGTGGTAGCCGCTAGGCTGCCCTGGGCCTCAGGGAAAAGTGTGGTCTTTTGGTCAAATGTTTGTGAAACAGAATTAGAAAAATGGGGGTCGAGTGACGGAACTGGAAAAACTATCAAGGAGAAAGAAGGAGCCTGGGGTCTAGAGGTCAAAAGTCACGCTGGTGGTGGAAGGGCAAGGGAAGCCCCTGTAAGCCCCTGTGGGCTGGGGCAGTGAATGGAGGATAAGGAACGGCCCTCGAGGAGCTGGGTGCTGCTCTAGAGCTGAGAACTGAAATGAATTGTCTTATGGGTTCTCAAGGCATGATCTGTGGACCAGCAGCATAAGCATCGCCTGGGAACTTCTTATAAATGCAAATTCTCAGGTCCCATCCCAGATGGACAAAATCAGAACTCTGCAACTGAGGCCCAGCATTCTGTTTCTGGGTTTTTTAATTGTATTTTAATTTAATTTTTTTTTTATTTATTTTTTGAGATGGAGTTTCACTCTTCTTGCCCAGGCTGGAGTGCAATGGCGCGATCTCAGCTCACTGCAACCTCCGCCTCCTGGGTTTAAGCGATTCTCCTGCCTCAGCCTCCCGAGTAGCTGGGATTACAGGCATGCGCCACCACACCTGGCTAATTTTGTATTTTTTGTAGAGATGGGGTTTCTCCACGTTGGTCAGACTGGTCTTGAACTCCTGACCTCAGGTGATCCGCCCACCTCGGCCTCCCAAAGTGCTGGGATTACAGGCTTGAGCCACCGTGCCCGGCCTTAATTTTATTTTTTAGGAGACAAGGTATCGCTGTGTTGCTCAGGCTGTACTCTAACTCCCAGGCTCAAGCAATCCTTCACCTCAGCCTCCAAAGTGACTGGGCCTACAGGCACACTCCACCACACCCAGCCCGTTTTAATTAGCCCCTCAGGGGATTCTGATGACTGCTACAGTTTGAGAACAACTTGTTTATTAACAAAATGCTGTGTTTCAGCTATTAAGACACCACAAAGCAATTCATTAAACCAACTGTTTACTGGACTGACTGAGCTGCTGTAACAAATCATTACAAACACAGTGACTTAAAACAATACAGACTTATTCTCTTTACATCTTTGGAGGTCAGAAGTCCAAAATCAGAATGACTGGACTAAAATCCAGGTCTCAGCAAGGTTGGTTCCTTCTGGAGGCGCTCAGGGGAGACTTCATCCCCTTGGCATTTCCAGCTTCTAGAACCCATCTTTATTCCTTGGCTCAGGGCCTCTGAGGGCAAAGGGCAGCCACTTCAAATCTCTTGCCATTACACTGCCTTCGCCTCTAATGCTCATTCTACTGCCAGCCTCCTATAAAGGCCCTCATGATTATAATGAACCCTCTCAGAACAATCTCTGTATCTCAAGATCCTTAACTTAGTCAAATCAGCAAAATCCCTTTTGCCATGAAAGGCAACCTATTCACAGGTTCTGGGGATTAGGAATATGGACATTTTTGGGGAGGCCATTATTCTGTTTCCTATAGGGAGGAAGATGAGAAATATGCACTTTCATTTGCTTGTATTCACATAAATAAACAGTTTTCATGCACAAGACACTAATAAATCCGAATACCTGTGAAGGATGCGGGGCATGAGGGGAAGGAATGGGAGCACTTTCTTCTCAAAGATGACTTTTTATATTATTTTGAGCTTTGAGCCAGGCAAATATATTACCTTTTACACAATGTTAACCATCAAAAAATAAAGAGAATGAGACCCCTTTTAGTAATTTCTGACTGTTGAACCATTGAGTTTGAATATGACATGTCAGAGATCAAACCACTGGGACCTTTGGAGTCCTAGAGGTTACAAGTATTGAAAGCAAAAGCATTTTAGTGGTGATGTAGGTAGTAAGGGAAGAAACAGAATCTTGCTTGGGCATGAACAAAACAGGACAGGCACTAAGTCAAAGATGAGGGACTGGGCTTGACCTTCAAGGCAAGTTAATGTTTTGGCCTTTGTTCATATGTTTTAGAGTTAAAAAGTTCTTCAGATCTTCCAAGTGCCCAACAAAGGAAAAGAGGTTGAGATCCCCATTCCTTTCTCCTTAATTAAAAAATAATAATATACTGTGTCCACTAAATGAAACTGCCTTTGCAAAAATTATAGTAGTAAGGGAAATTTAATATAACTGACTCCATCTTGCTTCTAACAGTCTAAAGTACTTTTGCTCATTCTTGTGTGGAAATCGTTAACAGTCCTTTCCCTCCTTGAACCAATCTCTTCCTTGTTCAAAAATTGAAACCATACAAGGTCACAAGGTTAGAATTATGGTAGGGGCCTGAACTTTGCTAAAGAATAGGCATGGGTGAACACTAACCATCCATTGTTTGCTTAACTTGCTTTTCTGTAAGTTGCTTACTGCCCCAGGGTTACGCAACTGAAGGCTGCAAAATTTGTAATTTCCCCATCTATTCCTATGGATAATATCACTATTTTGAAACCTAAAGAACTGGTTTTTCAGGTGTTTTTCAGATTTAGCATTTTGGCAGACCAAGAGATACCACCTGGTCCTGAGACCCCCTTCTCAATGCATTAGTTTTTTGGGAGGCAGCAGGCAGGAAGAACTTGTCGGGCTGTGACATAAATTGCATGCTATTTTCTTAAATAATTATAAATAAGAGAGCTCTTTGCTCTGAACACGTGAGAGAATGCCAGACACTTTTATGATAATGCTGATCATTAGTTTACTGTTGAACATTAAGCTACAACAGTAGAGGACAACTGAGATTTTGAGACACAGCCTGCCTCATGACATGGAAAATTAAGTGCATGCAGTTAAAGGAACATCTGCATACAGTCGAACACTGTGTATAGCACCAAGAGAATTTCAAACTTCGTTATGCCCAACAAAAACTCTTCTGTCTCCCCATCTCATCTTACTGCCCAAACTCCAGTGAAGACTCCCAGGCAAAGATGTCTCCAAGGACTATTTTGTTCATGTTCTGCATCTCCTCAGTGGTCCATCACTTATCACTTTTCCATTCTATATGTTCATCAACTCCCCATACACTTGGCCTCCCTGATCACCTTGGTCCCACATGCGGGCTGATACTGGCTACTCCTGACATTGAGCAAACAGTTTTAAGTGTTAGCATGCTTTTCATTTTCATTTGCGAGTTTGCAATTATTGTTCCAGCTGAAGCAATCTGGCCTTTTCAGTTCCATGTATTACACAGGTTATGCCAGGCCCTATGCTAGATGGAGGGTTGGGAAACAGGTCACGAAGAAAAATCAAGACATGGTCCCTGTCCCTCAAGTAATAGCCCAGTAGAGACCACCAATAGCCAAATACCGAGAAATGCCATAAGCACCATAACAAAGGTATGAATAAAGAGCTAAGGAAAGACACGTACAAAAGCAACAAATTCTTCTTGGGAAAGTCACAGAAAACAAAAGAGAAATGATATTTAAGATGGGCTTTTCAGGATATGCAGGAGTTTGCAAAGTAGACAGGGAATGGCAACCCACCCCAAGCCATAGGAAGAGTTTAAAGTCTGCCAGTACACAATCTTAATGGACAGTGCAGTGTGTCAAGATGGCAGTACCTTTTCTGCCTGGGGGAGGAGTGCTCAGGCAGAAAAGACAGGGCTAAGTTATAAAAGGCCTCATGGCAAAGAGGACTGTGGAGGTAACTAAAGGCAATGGGGCTCTTCTATGAAGATGTGTGTCCAGATCAGATCTGTGTTAGGAACATAATTCCAAAGGAACTGTGGAGCCCTTCATGAGTTTAGTAGGCTTTACTGAAAATTTGGGAACCTGCTGGGGAGGGACTGCATCATTCCATGCACCATCCATTCTCATGGTATGGCTGCCTTGTCTCTTTCCCCTCCCTACCTGGGCTCCTCAGCCCTGGGAAGTTCCAAATTCTTTTCCATCTATTATCAGAGCAGCTTCTCCACTTCCCAAGCCTTGGTCCCAGACAACACTCAAGCCTACAAGGGGCTCACTTCTATGTTTAATTATCAAAGCATTTTTCTAAATAAAGGCAGTTATTTTGCTGAGATAAATTCTGGTCTTGACTTTTAAAGATAATATAAATTTCTTTATCTCACCACACATATTAGTCAGCTATAGTATCAGCAACATTCTAGATATTTTACACATAATGAAAATTATCTATGAAGCATAATTATGCTTGAGAAATACAAGGCAGCATTCTCCAAATCATTTCAGTATTTCAACATCCAAGGTAAAATAATTACAGGACACTTCGTTAAACTTGTTTTAAAAAAGGTTTATTTGTTACAAAAAGTTAAATACTAAAGCTAAAAACATATAAATTCAGGTCAGGCTATATTAAAATACACACATACCCTTCTTTGCAAAATTATTAAAGGTTGAATTAAACAGATGCTTTAAATAAAATAAAGTACTCTTTGAGGACATTTTTGTCAGATTAACTATAACAGTGTAGTGTAGTTTTTAAAATTGCAGTTGAAAAGTTTAGCTGTCTTGGAAGTCAAATTTATCCAATTGTTCAGACTTCTGTTACTACTTAATATGAAGCCACCATGCTGGCTTGGACAGAATTAATTTCATTCATGTTATGGAGAATTCTATATTACAAATCTGGTCCCCTATAATATGAACAGTGAGCAGTCAGAAATATACAAAGGGTTAAATAGGGTAAAGACTTTGGCCAAGAAAGGAAAGGCCTTAGTTCTACCATAGAGTATCTTCTCTAATTAAAATGACTGGGAAATATATGGAAGCAGAAACCAGCACAAAGCACTACCCATCTAGAAATAATCTTTCAGTTAAAAAACAACTCTCAAAACCAGCACTCATTTCTCTAAGATAGGTTATAAGTATTTTACGATTTCTTGTTATATTAAATTGAGTTAAAGGTACTGACAAGTCAATATGCAAATGGGTTTAAACACTAATTTGATTTCTCTTCTGACTAGCTCTGGAGAGCTGTGACATCTGGATGTTGGTGTCACTCACACAGGTAGGTGGTAGAGAACTTTCATAACAAAACTACACACTCCACACCAACTGGGCACCAGCTTCCAAACCCAACTCCACTTCAGGTCAAACAACCTTAAGGAACTACCTATAGTCTAGTTAAACATTAAATAGTATTTTCAAGAAAATACCTTTTTTTGCTTTGCAACTTAATATTTTTCAATTTCCTAGATTAAAAGTTACTGATTTTGAACTTTAAATGCTGTAATTCATATAGGGGTGCGAATATGCTCATGAAAAACAAAAGGCTATTATTCCATTTTAGAAGTCTTAAATGTGAATGAATTTCTAGAAATCTACCACAGTATCTGTTTTTTACAATGCTAATCTTTGTCAAATGGGATTTGCCAGTGGTTGATTAACTCAAGTGATTAAAATACAAAAGACATAAAATCGATTCCAGTAATCATCAATGATACAGCCTAATTAAAATCAGCCCAATTAAAATATTTCCTGGAATATATCTATAGGGAATTTTTAGTGTTTCACTTTGGTTTTTTTTTTTTTTTTGAGATGGAGTTTCGCTCTTGTCACCCAGGCTGGAGTGCAGTGGTGCGATCTCGGCTCACTGCAACTTCCACCTCCCAGGTTCAAGCGATTTTCCTGCCTCAGCTTCCTGAGTAGCTGGGATTACAGGTGTGCGCCACCACATCTGGCTAATTTTGTATTTTTAGTAGAGACGGGGTTTCACTGTTTTGGCCAGGCTGGTTTCGAACTCATGACCTCAAGTTATCCACTTGCCTCAGCCTCCCAAAATGCTGGGATTACAGGCCTGAGCCACCATGCCTGACCTAATGTTTTACTTTGGCAGTGTTGGTATACATACAAGGGCTAACGGTATGGGGTCCCAATATTATACTATAAAACCATTTAATCAAATTTTTGAAAAGTCGGAAAAACTGTGTGTATTCTAAAGTCACTGGAAATTAAAAGAAAAATATATTCCAGTAGTGACTTACAGATGAAAATGATGCTGACAATAGACAGTAATCTGTTTTTCCATGTCTAGGTTTGTGAGTTTCTGATATAATTATTTCTCTATACATGTGATATGAAAGAAAGAAACTATCAGTCTGTCCTCTATCCCAGTCCATTTTCCCTCTATGTAACAAGTCTTTGACTTACATCCTTTCTTTGAACTTACTGTGTAATATTAGAGCACAAGATTCATGCTACTCTTTATCAAATAATCTTGCAGTCCTTGAAAAGAATTCAAAGAATTTAAGCCACTGACGTCCTAATCTTGGTAAATAACACTAAAAACAAATTCTTGAGCCAACTTCGGTAGCAAATTCTCTACAGAGCATCTTTCTCTGTGAACATCTTTATACATGTGTATTAAAGTTAGGCTGGTTAGTCACTCTTACCAACCTCCTGGTCTTACAGAATGATCAAGAAAGTATTTGTTCATCTATGATAGAGCAAGAACTGTGACTGTTTTAAAGCTAAGACAACACAACACATTTCTCCCTTGCCAGCCAAGGTGGCAGTGGAGGCCCTGGGTGGTCCAGACCTCCCCAAAGGCGGGAATCTTCACTATGTTCTCTTCCCTCCGGTGAGCCTCCTTCTCTTCCCTTTATATCAGTGCCTTTTTCTGCTTTCAGAGAGAAAGGTGTTTGAGCAAGAAAACATAGGATATTTCCCACCACGAAACAGACATAATTTTGAGGGCTCAGCACAAAATGAAATCATGGGGCCCTTCTTCAAACATTATTAAGAATTTCCGCTATAGCAGAGCCTTGAACCAAGTGTGGGGTCCTTCTAAGTGTGGGCCCTGTGCTGCTACACAAGTTACACGCTAAGAAAGCCAGCCCTGCCTAGGTTCCCCGCCTACTCAGATTGCCAAAAGGAGATAAAGTGGCTCAATTGGGTTGTCCAGATGAAAAGCAGGTATTTTTTTTATGATGATTCAAACACTGTCATCAATTGAGAACTAAGTGGCATTTCACTTTCCAAATGGCCGGCAAATTTCTATTCCTAAAATCTCATGTTGGACTGATTGGTTTTCCCCTAGATTTCTCATTATACAAATGGTTATGCTGGGTCTTTAAATGCCCCTTATTTTAATAGAGCAATTAATCAGACATGATTAAATTTCTGTATTAATCCTACGTAATTTTTTTTTTTTAATCTAAGCATTTCTTAACTGAGAGGGGTCTAAATATCACTAAAGCAACAGGACATCTTTAAGGGAAAACAGCTGCAAAACAGCTTTGCATTCTAGAGTGAAAGCCTTAGTTTTAGCCTATGGTATATTTTGTTCCCTTTTAAGACCACAGTGGTAGTTTTTTTCCAAAGAGAACTAATAAACATATTAAGCTATATGGTAATTTTTCTAACACCCACATTGGTTTCGGTCAGAAGAATTTTACTGGAACCTGGAGGTATCCCATTCTTCATAATAATAAAAAAGAAATGTAGTGTATAAAAGCTCCAGGTTACATTACTAAGCAACGACATTTCCGGGAGTGAATATACTTCCTGTATTCCGCAAGCTGCTTCAAGTACATATTCGACGGCCATCTGTGCTTTTCAACAAAACTGCGTTCTTCCACTGAAGTTTTAAGAAAAAGACTGTTAACCGAATATGTTTTATTATGGATCAATTAAGATATCAGCTATTGATTTCCTCTTTAATAGATGAGATCCAGCTCTGTGATACATCTCCTACCATTCCCACAAGTTTTCCCAAATAATTTACTACCATTTTGGTTAAATTAGTATCAGGATTTAAGTTATTATGTGACTTACAATTATATATATCTTGTCCACTACTTCGAGTAGTATTTCATTATTTTCCTTTTCTTTTTTTTTTTTTTTTGAGATGGAGTCTCATTCTGTCGCCCAGGCTGGAGTGCAGTGGCGTGATCTCAGCTCACTGCAACCTCTGCCTCCCCAGTTCAAGCAATTCTCCTGCCTCAGCCTCCCGAGTAGTTGGGACTACAGGCGTGTGACACCACGCCCAGCTAATTTTTTGTATTTTTAGTAGAGACGGGGTTTTACCTTGTTGGCCAGGATGGTCTCGATCTCCTGACCTCGTGATCTGCCTGCCTTGGACTCCCAAAGTGCTAGGATTACAGGCATGAGCCACCACGCCTGGCTTCCTTTTCTTTTCCAATAAAGCTTTTGTTTTTCCTGGATATAACGGACTTATTTTTTTTTTCCATTTATAATACTTAGTTTTCTTTTCTTTTCTTTTCTTTTCTTTTCTTTTTTTTTTTTTTCTGAGACGGAGTCTTGCTCTGTCGCCCAGGCTGGAGCGCAGTGGCGCAATCTGGACTCACTGCAAGCTCTGCCTTCCGGGTTCACGCCATTCTCCTGCCTCAGCCTCCCGAGTAGCTGGGACTACAGGCGCCTGTCACCACGCCCGGATAAGTTTTTTTGGTATAATACTTAGTTTTCTTTGTAGCTAACTTAGTCTTCCAAAGTCCTTCAAGTCCTCTCAGTTGTGCTTCCCACCCAGCCAGTCATCAGATAAGCTGTTCTTCCCTGTTGCTGCTGCCCTGCCTGCTTTCTGGACCTGCTTCCTGCCTTGGAGTTGGATCCCTCCATTCTTGAACTCCAGGTCCTTCGCTTTGTTCATTCTCTAGGTTTGGTGAAGCACAACTGTCAGAGGCATTTGAACTAGAGCAACTGCATCTTGAATAGGGGCTGGGGACAATGAGGCTGAAACCTACTGGGCTGCATTCCCAGACAGTTAGGCATTCTAGGTTACAGAATGAGATAGGAGGTCGACTCAAGATATAGATCATAAAGACCTTGCTGGAGGCCAGGCACGATGGCTCATGTCTGTAATCCCACCACTTTGGGAGGCCGAGGCGGGCGGATTATTTGAGGTCAGGAGTTTGACACCAGCCTGGCCAACATGGCAAAACCCCGTCTCTACTAAAAAAAAAAAAGAAAAGAAAAGAAAAATTAGCTGGGTGTGGCGGCACATGCCTATAATCCCAGCTACTGAGGAGGATGAGGCAGGAGAATTACTTGATTCTCCATCTACTGTTTAACCTCATCTATTATAAGTCAGATTAACAGGGTCTTGATTCAGCCTGCAGGACCATACAAACTAGCTGCTCAGCTCTAAGTTTCAAGAGGAAGCAAAGGTGACATGAGACTACTCCCTCAGTAAATATTAAAAACCAGAGAAAAGTTATTAGAGATGAGCTCTGGCAGCCAGCAAAACAAAACAAACAAAACCCCATAACACAGAACACATAATATCGAGCTAAATTAAACTGCGAGAATAATGAATCCATAAATGCCAAGGGTAACATATTCCTGTGCACCGCTGTTTGTGTTCATGAGTCCAGTATATAAAAATCTAATACTTAATGACCTATTTAACTGGGTTCTGATGTATCTGTGCCTGTACTGACATGACATCTTTTCCAGTCTCACTTTTTGATTTCTAAACACCTCTAAAAATGAAAAATTCTCAGTCAACAGAAAACAAGTTGTAGAATTCCAATAATAATTTGAGAACTTTTCAAGCTGAAGATGGACAGTTCTATAAGGAAGCTGTAGAGTGACCGTGACAAGAAACTTTCCCAACTTCAGGTGACCATGTGCAGTGGGCCAGGTGTAAAGCACTGGAGAGAAGTGACTGCGACCCTCTGGAGAGGGCATGCTCCTTTAGGTGGGCCGTCAGCGCCAAGCCACATGTTGCCACTAGGATGATGGGCCTGGGGTAGCCAGATCTTCCAATTTTTCAAAAGAAGCCAAAATATGGTTATTTTTAAATACCAGTACTATATATTTTTAACTGTGGGGTCCCAATAAAACACGTTGGCAGGCTACACCTAAACCATAGATGGCCAGTTAGTAACTATTGATTTAGACAATTAAATTCTCCCTTATCCAAAAGGCGCTTTTTTCCTCTGCCCAAGAGGATGACACCTCATAGCAGGACCCTGGACAGGAAGAGGCACTGCAGAATGAGAGTTCTCATGATTCCCTTTTAATTCCCATCAAAGGAACAGAAGGCAACATCGACACATCGTTTCCTCCTTAGCCTGCCACCTCACATCGCACTGGAAGTCCTGCTTTGCACCATGCCAGGTGTCATAACATACTTTATAGGTAATTGGGTAATACCATATAATGAAAATTCATAACTAAAAGGATTTATAGACCATCCTTCTCCCAAGGTTGTAATAGTACTCCATATATACCATATATCTATACAAGATAGTAAGTAGAAAATAATCTTATTCTTCTCTTACAAATAAGAGTGACCTCAGGTAACATAATGAAACTGGCTCCAGGACCAAAGTGCAATTCATTTAACTTTTAGCAAGCTTCTTAAATAACTATAGAAGCAGCTACTTAAATAACTATAGAAGAATGTTCCTTCTGACAGCAAGCATACACAAGCCTTATCTTTATGAACTGACTGTTTTTTCCTTGCACAAAGTACATAGCTAATAAATAACTGTTGTTTTGTTTTGATGTGATTATGCTTCTCTACTGTACTAATAGTTGACTTATATAAGGAGGCTCCTAATAGACATATAATGTTTGTTGACTGGCTGAATACATCTCCCAAAAACGGATTGTGTGTTCCTGGGTTTTCTTTAACTGCACAAGTAGCTGAATAAAAACAAGAGATTTTTACTCTTTTTTCTTTTAGAGACAGAAGTCTCGTTATGTTGCTCAGGCTGGACTCAAACTCCTGGGTTCAAGTGATCCTTCAGCCTCAGCCTCCCAAGTTGGCTGGGATTACACCGAGGTGGAATCACCATCTTGACCATATGATTTTTATATCTTTTACCAGCAGAGTCTTTTTTACGAAGTAAAATTTTAGGTAGAACTCAAGATATGAAACAGATAAAGTGGAACTACTATGACTGAAGGAGGGAGGGAAGAGTCCAAGAACTGTAAATTTTAGCCTTCTCTTTCCCTTTCCCTTACTCCCTCTCTCTCTCCTTCTCCTCACCCACTCCCTACTTTCTGTCCCCCACCCTAGAAGACACTTCAGTTATCTCCACGGAGATTTATTTGTCCAGATTGTGAAACTCCTTGATCAGGTAATCTTTCACTTCCTTTTCTTTTTAGCTCAAATTTTCCTTGAGTCTATGCTAGATAATAACATGAGCAAACCACTGCATCTAAACTGTCTATTCTGACAACTATTATATTTTCATTTTTTTCTTTTTATGCAGTACTCAGTAGTTCACACTTTGGTTTTAATTTTTATAATTTACCTTAGAAAGCATATTACATACACTCCCAGTAAGTTTCACAACATTTTTTATATATGAAAAACTGTTATTCCAAAGTAATATAAGGGACTCCCATATAGGTATACTCAGTAAATACAGATATCCAGTACAATAAAGCTAAATATAATATAGTTAACAAGAGTTAAATTCCTTTATAAAAAATTTTTAAATCTGTACTGTTTAAACTTTGCTGCTGACTTAGGTAGTTAGAACTAAGATATCACTTTTCACAACCAAATGTCACCTGAGGACACATTTTGTCACCTTATCTATTTCAGGGAAAGAAAATGCATTTAAAAACGGATGGAGCTATAAAATAATCATTAGAAAACTTCTTGTGTAACACAGGTTAAGGCACTTATGTAACACAGGTGACTATAAATTGTTTCCTCAATTACCACACTGCATAATTTACAAGAAATTTATTACATTGACTATTCTTATTTTGCTAAAAGTACTACTTCTACAACTTATGTCTCAAATCTAAGAACAAAGAACATAAAGTTTTCTTTTCAAAACAGAAATTAGCAATCTACCTGAAAGATCCTGAAATTCAGGCTTTTGACTGAAGATGAGGTAGTTAGTAGCAATGAAATGAAGTAGCCAGGTTGAAAGGCAATCAGAGTGGTGAAACTGCAAGAAAAATGAAAAGTGAAATAATATTGCACATAATGGCCACTGGTATGATAAGATCAAGAGAACGGCCTGGGAGCAATCACGGAGAGCCCATATTCATGTTTAATGTGCCTTTACCTGATGCAGCTTTCAGTATACTGTGACAGCAGACAGGATGAGGGAGCACTATTAGCAAATAACGTTAAAAGTACATTCTCGGAAGAAGCCAGGCCAACAGCGAATAACAATCTACGGCTGCCGGAGTGGCCAAACGTCTTTAAGCAATGCATGGCTGCATCTGAGGTTCTTGAAGATTTAATTTGAGCTTTTAATCTGAAGCCACGGACTTCAATAACTGCACCTGTATCTGTGTAGTAGATGATGGTGAGCAATGTTAAAACAAGTTCACCTGAGGAGCAAGCCAAAAAATATTTTGAGGAGGAAACACCATCGGCCGAAGGCATGGGTTTCAATGTGTAAATGTTTCTAAGAGAAAGCTGTGGCTAAATATTTGCTTTTAATGAGATGTACAGTAAACTGAGCAGGATTTCCAGCTCCATTCTCCTCATTCTGAGTTCCAATAGCTGCTAATGGAGGGAAAACTCCAAGCAAGCAGGCCACTGACATCATCACCTTGGTGCCCATCCAGTGACACTCACTGATCCATCCAACCACCAATGCAGATGACAGTAACTTGCTGGCAGGCAACTTTGGCACATGAGTATAGAACTCTTTTTTTTATTATTATTATTGTGGTACAATATGTGTAACATAAAATTTACCATTTTAACAATCCTTAAGTGTACAGTTAAATGTCACTAATAAGTGCATACACATGGTGGGGCAACCCAACACCACTATCCATTTCCAGGCCTTTTCTATCACCCCAAACTGAAACTCTGTACCATTAAACAATCTGTTTTCTCCCTATCCCTATCAGATCCTAGCACCCACTGTTTTACTTTCTGTCTCTATGAATTTCACTATTCTAGGTACCTCATATAAGTGAAATTCTAAAATATTTGTCCTTTTATGTTTGGCTCATTTAGGGTAATATTTTCCAAGTTTCATCCATGTTGTAGCAGATATCAAAATTTCACTCCTTCTTAAGGCTGAATAATATCCCATTGTACATATATACCACATTTTGTTTATCTCTTCACCTGTCAATGGACATTTGTGTTGTTTCCACCTTTTGGCTAAGTATAGCTCTTCTAAGGAGATGCAAAAATATTAAATAAGCAACAAGTAATGCTAAATTGAAGAAAGATTAGTAATCTCTAAACCTTAATAAAAAAACTCAAGGATATGCTTTTTTTTTTTTTTAAAGCTGTATAGTGTGAGAGTATTTAAACACAAATTCACAGGTCCCTCTTATATTCATTATATAAAATCAATTTTTGAACTGGAAATAAATTTATAGTTTATCTAATCCCACATAACATTTTAACAGTTTTTTTCCTCCCCTTATCTTTTAGCAGATGAATGTGTGCAATCTCAAGGGAAAAGAATAAGAACCTTCAGCTTTTTAGAGAAGCCACCACTACTGTTACGTGATTAACCCAGAGCAGATAACAAAACACCAGGAGGTTAGGACATTGCCTTAAGGGCTGTGACTGAGAAGGAAAAGGGAGGTCACAGAAATAAACAGCTGGCTACAAAGCATGCTTAAAAATGAAGAATTTTATTTTTGACCAAGATTTAAGATATTATCCAAAATATCTTAAATACAGTAGGATGACACATCTGAATAAGCTTTCCGCTTCCAGGAATGAAAGAACTGAGGAATGAGGAATTGGTAGCACATGTGGGGGTTTGGGAAGTAGATTTCAACAGAGCAGTTCTAGCTAATGTACAGACCTGGCCCAGATTCATAGTCTAGGGACTCTGTAACAGGAATGGAACATGTCTCACTGTAAAAACTAGGTTTTAGAAGGATATGTGTTGACGTAAGAAAATGGGTTCAAACTGAAATAAGCAACAGAATTTTTAAAAAGGCATTAAAAAACCATAAACCAAATGCAATAGAACTTAAGAGCTACAAGAAGAACGTGGAGAAAATACCCATAAACTCACAAGAAAGTACCTGGAAACTCTCAGAAATACAACTTGTGCCTCAGATAGCCAAATATTAACATATAGATTATAAATAAGAAGATGCATTAAAATTTTTAATACAAGAATAAATACAACTTCATAGGAATCACCAAAGTTTGAACAGATAGGGTTTAAACAGGAGTAGAGATACGGAATCTCCACCTCAACTCTTGTATTTTAAGAGTCCTCCTTGATGGAAACCTGAAGGTAAATCATGGTAAAGAACTGAGAGAGGTTAGGGGAAAATGGACAGAGAAGTGAGAGAATACCCACACTGCTCATCTATCTAAGAAAGTATGAATGATGTTTCCTGACACACAGTACAAAACTGGCAGAGTGTTCAGAAATTTTGATTATTTGGAGAGCTACTGGGAGTCTAATTCTGCCAGAAGACAATTTCACTCCTAAAAGTCAGAGAAATGGCAAGGCAAAAGTTAACCAAATTCTGACCAACAGGGTGAACTGACTGGTGAAGTGAAATCTCAAACTAGGAACTTCAAAGAAAACTTGGGAAGAAAACTTCTGTTATCTGGAATTCACAATTGCCAAATTAGGAACCACCAGGAAAAGAATACAGGAAAACTGGTAAATTTAGGCTTAATCTTAGAAAATAAAAAGTCTTCAGAAACAAAATTCAAAATGAGCTTGTATCTTAGATTGTTTGAAATTCAAGGGGAAAAGATAAGGATAATCACAGAGTCAGAAACCAGAGAATCAGGGAAAACAAGTCAAGAATTTCTGACAGTGCAATCAAAAATGATTCTGATGAGGAACCAAGTGTAGGGGGGCAGTGAGGGGAGGCACCTAAAGAAATCAATGTGACCACACGGGAAGTTCTCTTATACATAAACAATTTAAGAAGATACTAAAAGATAAGGAAAAAGAAACTTGTGTCCAATTTTTTAAAAAGTATGAACAACTTGTTAGAATAGTATGAAAATGATACATCAAAAATGAACTGAGATTGTGAAACTACTAGAAAGAATTTTAAAAATTGTAAACTAAATTTAGAGGGGAGCTATTTATCATGAGATGAATGTAAACGTTTTACAAAAAGAGATCAGTGTTACTCAATTTTTTTTTTTTTTTGAGACGGAGTCTCACTCTGTCACCCAGGCTGGAGTGCAGTGGCACGATCTCGGCTCACTGCAAGCTCCGCCTCCAGGGTTCACGCCATTCTCCTGCCTCAGCCTCCCAAGTAGCTGGGACTACAGGCACCCGCCACTATACCCAGCTAATTTTTTTTTGTATTTTTAGTAGAGACTGGGCTTCACTGTGTTAGCCAGGATGGTCTCGATCTCCTGACCTCGTGATCCGCCAGCCTCGGCCTCCCAAAGTGCTGGGATTCCAGGCGTAAGCCACCACGCCTGGCCCTACTCAATTTTTAAATTTGTTTTTAGCCCTAATTAAATACATGTGATCGTAAGACTTGATTATGAGAGAAATGAAGTCCAAAATAGTTAAGGAGATAGTAGGAGAAGACCTAGATGCTTCAAATAAATTCCCTTCTATAAACAGAAGTGTTGATGAATGAATTCGTTTCAGCTTGGAGGCAAGCATTCAGCTGTCACAGATCTGGAATTTGCCCCATCATGTGGCTCCATTTTAGCAATGTGGATGGAGATAAAAGTTGTCATGCTTTTGTAACCCTGGACGTCAAAGTTGATAGGTATAGACATGTTGGATGCCAGATAATAGTTCAAGAAGTACTGACACTCTGTAGTGATTGAACAAATATATTCCTGTGAAAAAAACCTAGAGGGCTCGGCTTACCACAAGTTGAGTACACAAGAGTGTGCCATAACTACCACAAGTGCTGAAACTGTCTCGGGCAGTGGATGGAATGGCAGAATGGCCAACGGTAGGATGGCCCATCTGAATAAGCTTTCTGCTTCCAGGAATGAAAGAAAGTGGGAATAAGGATTTGGCAGGTTTTTGACTGTGAGCACATCTGGGGGTTTGGGAAGTAGATTTCAACACAGTAGTCCTAGTTTATTTACAGACCTGGCTCTGATTCATAATTTAGGGCCTCTGTAACTGCAGTTACTTAAAATTAACTTAATTATGTAACTCCCCCACCCCCGTTCTCTAAAATCAGTAATGATATAATTATTGAAAACAAAAGACTCCGAGCTTACAAGAGGCCCAGAAGAAGCATGTACACATACGGCAGTGATTGCTAATAAGGTGAGACATGAAAACAAAAGGCATTCTGCAAGGATAAATGAGGCACACCAATATCTCCTACATACAACTGAAACTTCAAAACATGTTCATTATATGGATGAAAAAATGAAGAAGTAAATTAGTTTAGCTTAACCATCGCTATCAGTATATATGGACCAATTCTGTCATTTCCCTTTTAGGAACCTGAAGATGTGATTGTTTGGGGAAATTCAACATAAATTCTATTTCCTACAATGCCTATGTGACATAGTATAGCACCACATTCAAATGACTCTACTAAGGGCCACTATTTAGTTAAAAAAATTCCGTATCTGGACATTTTGCCTCCTTATAAAAGGGACTGCACACAAACCCTAACGCTTCAAAATTATCTAGCCAGATAAACTGTTGTGAAGGCACTTTAGCCTCATTAGCCAAACTTCCAAACTAAGACTAGTATTAACGTATGTTAAAAAATGATAAATTTTAAAATAGTATAATTTGAAAAATATTTTATAAAAAACTAGGCTATCAGATACACAGAGTCAATTACCTTGGCCTTTTTAAGCAGGTCAACTATATCAAGGTTCATGGATGCCAGTTCCCTGCTTGGCATGCTCTGCAGCTGGGTAATGATGAACAGCTCACAGATGTGCTGCAGTCTGGACACTTGGTACATCTCGGCACAGATCAGGAGACACATGGCCTGGAATATGCCAGCTGATGAGAAAAGGGACATGAGAGAAAGTGGATGATGAAACCATTTCTTTAATGATCTAAACACCCCCCACCAACAAAAAACAACAATTAAAAAAACATGCTGACCGTAGCATCCACCATAGAATAGAATGGTTAGGAAAAGCCTCGAGGGAGTCAGCATTCTGCACTTTTATTCCATTTTATCTTTTTTTTCTTTCCTTTCTTCTTCTTCTTTTTTTTTTTTTTTTTTTTTTTTGTAGAGACAGGTCTCACTATGTTGCCCAGGCTGGTCTTGAACTCCTGAGCTCAAATGATCCTCCTACTTTGGCCTCCCAAAGTGCTGGGATAACAGATGTGAGCCATCACACCCGGCCTATTATTCCATTTTAAAAAGAAGGGCCGGCGCAGTGGCTCACACCTGTAATCCCAGCACTTGGGGAGGCCGAGGTGGGCGGATCACGAGGTCAAGAAATCAAGTCCATCCTGGCGGACATGGTGAAACCTCATCTCTACTAAAAATAAAAAAAAATTAGCCAGGTGTGGTGGCGGGCGCCTGTAGTCCCAGCTACTGGGGAGGCTGAGGCAGGAAAATCACTAAAACCTGGGAGGCGAAGGTTGCAGTGAGCGGAGATCATGCCACTGCACTGCAGCCTGGGCAATAGAGCAATACTCCATCTCAAAAAAATAAAAATAAAAATAAAATAAAATAAAAATAAATAAATAAAATAAAAAAGTAAAAATAAAAAGAATCCAAGCCTTCATACTCAGAAGTGAATCTATTTTTTTTTAATTCTTCAGAAAAGGTGATTCTATAATTGCCCTTAAAAATTAATTCCAGGACTATCTGGTAAATCTTTCCGTTAGCTAAACTAGATCCTTGCCATTTTTTTTTCTTGACATTAGTCTTCAGGTTGGTTGGTTGGTTTGTTGTTTTGTTTTTATTATGATAAAATAAACATAACATGAAATTTACCATTTTAACCTTTTTTTTTTTTTTTTTTTTTTTTTGAGATGGAGTCTCACTCTGTCGTCCAGGCTGGAATGCAGTGGTGCGATCTTGGCTCACTGCAAGCTCCTCCTCCTGGGTTCACGCCATTCTCCTGCCTCAGCCTCCTGAGGAGCTGGGAGCACAGGCGCCCACCACCACGCCCGGCTAATTTTTTTTGTATTTTTTGTAAAGACGGGGTTTCACCGTGTTAGCCAGGATGGTCTCGATCTCCTGACCTTGTGATCCACCTGCCTCGGCCTTCCAAAGTGCTGGGATTACAGGCATGAGCCGCCACATCCGGCCCATTTTAACCACTTTTAAGTATATGATTCATTGGCATGAAGTACATTCACACTGCTGTGCAGTCATCACCACCACCATCTCCAGAACATGTTTCTTCTTCCCAAACTGAAACTCTGTACCCAATAAACACTAACTCCCTGTTTCCCCCTTTCCCCAGCCCCTGGCAACCACCCAATTTGGCTGGGGGTTTTTTCAATACTTCCCTAGAAATCTGGTTTTTCATGTAATTCTCGTTCTTATCCCTCCTTACATTCTTACATTCTTTTGTAGCTATGGAACCAAGAACACTGTGTATGGTGAATATTTAACATAATAACATTACCTGTCTTCTGTGATCTTCCCAATGCACAGATTCCAGTATCTGGCTTAACTTTTTGATTATTCATTTTGACTCATTTTTCCCTAACACACTTTTGCCAATTTTTAAAAATCCTATCATTATTACTGCTTTCCTCTGTAATATTTTCTAATTAGCAAGGTAAAACTTAATATTAGCAGCTTCAATTACTTGAGTGAGAGGATGACTGAAAATCAAATTTTCCTATTACTCCAAATCTGGTCAATTTGTAAATTTAATATACAGATTTGCCAACAATGAAATAATAAACAATAAGCTTTATTTCCAAAAAGAACAAATGCTTTCATTTTTATTAGGCAAAAATACTAAGTCTTTTTTTGAGACGGAGTCTCACTCGGTCACCCAAGCTTGAGTGTGGTGGCGCCATCTTGGCTCACTGCAACCTCTGCCTCACAGGTTCAAGCGATTCTCCTGCCTCTGCCTCCCGTGTAGCTGGGATTACAGGCACACGTCACCATGCCCAGCTAATTTTTGTATTTTTAGTAGAGACGGGGTTTCACCATGTTGGTCAGGCTGTTTTTGAACTGACTTCAGGTGATCTGCTCACCTCAGCCTTCCAAAGTGCTCAGATTACAGGCATGAGCTACGGCACCTGGCCGTAAGTCAGTCTTTAACACTGACAGAAACAACTGCAACTGGCTCCAAAATACT
Source organism: Homo sapiens (assembly GCF_000001405.40). Lineage (NCBI taxonomy): Eukaryota > Metazoa > Chordata > Mammalia > Primates > Hominidae > Homo > Homo sapiens. Next base: position 95,781,517 of record NC_000005.10, on the reverse strand, counting down.
CTACAGAAAGCTGCAAGCCCAGAATTAATTTAATCAACACAAATACATTTGCTTCTTTTTGAACTTCTAAAATCTTTCACTAGAGGGCTCATGACTTGTTTAAAACTTATTTCAATACCCAGTGTAAGAAACCTTTCCATTCTAAAAATTAAAGCAGTGAATCTGAAGAGAGGTCTGGCTTGAAATGTGTGTTTGCTTTTTATGTTTATTAGGGTGCCTGACCAGGTTCTCTAATCAAGGTCTCAGGCTCCTGAACTGAGCTCCACGGGGCCGAATCTAGTTGTGCTTGTGGTGGGAGCCATCTGGTGGCCAAAGGCTGAAGACTACTCACAGAGGGCTTCCCTGCCAGCATCCCAAGCAAGGCTCCAGGCCTGTAGAAAAAATTTTGCTATTTCTTCAAGTGCCTCCAGCTAGAAGAACCCTGCTGGATCTGTTCCAACCTAGAGCTGTCACAGATGTTTGGTTCCTGGTCAAAGATAGTCCTTGGTCAGTGAATTTGGAAATGAATCCTACAGTCCACTGGGTATTCTAAACATCTCAAGAAAAGTTTTCAGAGAAGTCAGTTTGAGGAGTTTCTGACTTTAGCAGAAGTCAGAAGGAGGCCTTTACAAATCCCACATCCTCTGGGCAGAAGGAAGACCAAAAAAGTCTCAGAATATTGAAAGTCCTTAAAAGTGCCCCAATCAGAAGTCACAGACATCAAAGCAGTTGCGCAACCCTCCTCTTCTTGTGGAAGAGACAGCGCTCCAAGTAACAATCTGCCCCGATCTCTAGAATTACGGTAGCCATGGGTACCACAAGACACCTCCATTTCTAGTTGCCTACAGTGATCCCCATGCTGTAGGTGCTGGCTGGGACATGTGAACTTGTGCCGGCGTCGGAGACCCATAAAAGGCACCCAATCACTGCACTTCCACTTGAACTGAATGAAAATTCATTGTTGTTCCAGCACCACCTCTAATTGCTTAGTACATTCCGTGATGTCAACTAATAAATCTTAAATGAAAATAGATTCCACAGAGTGCAATTTAACAAAATGGGTGGCAAGGAAAGAAAGAATTCTGAGATACTATCAACATTTGTATTGCTAACCTGGGCAGCAGGAGTCTGTGTACAGGTATTCTAAAAATGACAAGAAAGTCTCTTTGGAAACACCATAAACGGGAATCAGGACACTCTTTGCTTCCATGTAATTACCATTAAACATGGCTGCCATCACTTCACAACGGGCCACCAGGATGGCCCTGTGGGCTGGCACTGTCGTACCTGAAAGGTTCAAAAGGGAAACAAGAAACAAGTGAGATAAACCTGCAGGGTTATTCCAGCAATTTTCCTTCTAATTAGACTACCACATTAGGGACAGCTAGGCTGATATGCAGAATCTGAATTTGGGAGTGATAACTACCATTAATCCAGAAACTTCTTAATTTTAAAGGGAGCAATAAAGAAAGTTCAGATGTTGACCTTGAAACCAACAATTTGCAAGTCAAGACAACAATTTGTTACTTAGTTTGTATTTCCAGAAATAGAAACACTGAAATGAAGTATTTTGCTTCATATTTTTATAATGAAACATCAATCCTTTCCAATTGGCTTGAAATATTAATAATACTACCCGTGCCCATGTGCCTCCCAAGAAAACAACCCCATTACCCTTCTGGGCCTGACTCACAGAACCATCTTGGCCATGCTTCCCCTTATCTGAAACAGGAAACTGTAAGAAGTAAACCATAAGCTGTCCGTACACCACAGTAGGAATAGCAAGAGGATCTCTTGTGGAGCCAAGGAGAGCATTTCAGACTTAATGAAAATCTGGAAGAGGATGACCTTAATCCCTGCAGTCTCCCCAGCACACTACTTCCTCAGGCAACCATTCTGTCTCACCTGAACAATGCCTGCTGCTGGGAGAGCCAGTGCTACGTTGAATTTTGAGGGCTCTCTCAGCCCATACTGCTCACTGAACTCACCGAACTGAATTAACTCTCTAGGAAAAGCTTGCTAGGCTCTCTAGCTACTGCTGCACCACACAAAGGCAGCGCTGGATAGGGCCGTGAGTGGCCAGGGCTCTCTACTTCCACCACCTTAGAAAACCACGAATACACACTGCCAGCCTTCAGTTCAGCCTGGATCACTTCAACAGATTATTACCGAGAATCAGCATGTGCCAATCATTGCATTTGGAATTGAAGACACAAAGAGGAGGAAGACAAAGCTACCTCTGCTTTGGAGCAGTTTTTACTTTCGTAGAAGACACCACAGCCAGTGTGAGTGACAAAGCTGTCGCATTCCAGGAAGTAACTCTCCAACCAAACCAAGCCACTCAGCCCTGCCCAAGAGTTTACCCACACATCTCTAAAATCTCATACTCATCAGGGATATATAGTCTTCTCTAAAGCATTTACAATTATTGGGTTCTTCATCCCTTTTAAATCCAAGCACAACATCTCCTGTCTCAGGAAAGAAGAAAAGAGTTACATCTAAGCCCAGTGGCTTTTTCCAAAGCCAATAATCACTCAGGATCTATAGGCAACACCTGGCACTGCCAGCTCTGAGCCTACTGCTCGGCACTGCCATTTGCACAGCCACACCTACCTGAGGAGCAGGGAAGTAACTTGGGAAGCCCTCCCACCCAGTCAACACTCACCTCCTGGCAGGCACACTCCCCTCCTCGCCTCACTGGGACAGTGTCCCTCCACCGGGAAGGACCAGTTTCCATAATTAAAGCAAGCTGGCTGTATTTGTATACAGCAGTTAATAAAGAATACAAACAGGTCATGCCATTTGACTTGTAATTGTAAGGTTTTAAAATGTTAAAGATAAATAGGGCACTATATTTTTAAAAATTAGAAGCATGACTTAAATAAACTGGATGATCTATCACTTGGGTTAAGCACAGGGATTTAAGATCTACCAAAAAATACCAAGTAGATAGTTGATGGGGGTAGAATTTGATAAGTAACCTTGAAATTTTAACAGAAATTGTTGATAATGTGGTTATAACAGAGTTGCAAAACCCAGCAACAAAACACTCAGTACAGTTAGCTCTCCGAATCCATGGGTTCCACATCCACAGATCGAACCAACAGAGAGTGGAAAATATTCAGAAAAAAAAAAAAACCCTGCAACTGTATTGAACATATACAAAGTTTTTAAAAAATTGTCATTATTCCCTAAACAATACAGTATAACAACTATTTATATAACATTTACATTGTATTAGGTATTGTAAGTAATCTAGAGATGATTTTCAGTATGCAGGAGGATACTCATAGGTTACATGCAAATACTAAGCCATTTAATATCACGAACTTGAGCGTAGCGGATCTGGGTATCTGCAGGAGGTCCTTGGAACCAATCTCCTATGGACATTAAGGAACAACTGTACTTTTTTTTTTTTTTGAGATAGAGTCTTGCTTTGTCGTCCAGGCTGGAGTACGGTAGCACAGTCTCACTCACCACAACCTCCGCCTCCCAGGTTCAAATGATTCTCGTGCCTCAGCCTCCCGAGTAGCTGAGATTAGAGGCATGCGCTACCATGCCTGGCTAACTTTTTTGGTATTTTTACTAGGGACAGGGTTTTGCTGTGTTGGCCAGGCTGGTCTTGAACTCCTGGCTTCACGTGATGCTCCCACCTCAGCCTCTCAAAGTGCCGGCATTACAGGCGTGAGCCACTGCACCCAGCCAACTGTACCTTAAAGCATTTTTAAGCCTATTTCAAGGTTGGAATTTAGTTTGGAAAACCATTACGCTTCCTGTTAAGAAAACATCAACTTCAGTTTTTCACCTCTTTAAACTACTGTTTTGATGTTATAAATTGTTCTGTTGTGAAACTGTAATACAATACCTTAGTATGGTTAGATCTTTCAACACTGTATATAAAAATATGCTGAAGGAACATAATGCGGTTTATGGTTTACGTACTAACTGGCAATAGGATACAGGTAAAGAAATTACTTAAGGAAATGGAAGATAGCATTTTCTAGTTAAAAGATAATCATGTTCCTTGAAACTGTCAAGGCCAAACTATCTTTTCTTTGTAGTATTCATTTGATGTTACAATTTTAAGAATTTTTTTCTAAGGAAAAGAACTACAAGAGTGAAACAAAAATGAAAAGCCCAAGTTTTCTAGTCACTTTACATAGATTATCAAGAATCTTTGACTGTTTACTAAAATAAAATACATTTGTCACACTTTCTTCATACTATTTTCCAGGTTTCAAAAGTGAAATTTTTAGAACTGTTTTTGGTTTCATTCCTAAAAAAGGATACCTACCTAGCTCAAGAGAGATCCAAAATATGTACTAGCTAAGTAAACCAGAAGGGAATGTAATTTTCTAAAGAACTCTTCATGTGACAGACTCATATCAAAAGGACATCCGTACCTCTCTAAATATTTACCAAGACTGACTTTAGAACTGCTATAGTAATTTTTTTTTACACGCCAAAACAACAAATTGGGAGTGGTAGAGAAAATATATATATTTGAGGATCACCTATTACAGGGGATGGTATCCCATTTTCTATCCTAGGCTAATTCCAGCCAGTTTTGGGGGAAGGCCTGGGACACTTTAAAGGAAAGATTGACTGCGAACGTGGGTTCAGCAGGAAAAAGTACAGCGATCCACCAGTACTAGCTGCCACTGCAGGTGAAGAGGAGTGGAGTCTGCAGGTGAAGCCTCTGCTAGTCCTTTGTATGCACTATCTCAACCCCCGTGACCACATCACAAAGTCGGAATTAGTATCCCTATTTTATAGGCAAAAAACCAAAAGAACCAGAAATGTAAAGTAACATAGCCAAACCTACATAGTAAGTATGCATCCAAGCAAAGATCTTAACCAGGCCTTTCTGACCCATGGCACTACCACCTCATCAAGGTGCCTCAGTATATCAGTTCTGGTCTAAATTGTTCCATAGATTCCATTCTCATTTAGTTTTCCTTAAACCGCTCATGAGGTTAATATTCACGCTCAAAACTGGAGTAAAGAAGCCAAAGACTTATTACATGTCACTTCAAATTTATTATTATTGCGTGAAATAATTACAAAATATAATTATAAAATAAATTACATTTTTTAAATTTATTTTTTTATTTTTTATTTTTATTTTTCTTTGAGACAGAGTCTCACTCTGTCTTCCGGCTAGAGTAAAGTGGTATGATCTTAGCTCACAGCTTCCTCTGCTTCCTGGGTTCAAGTGATTCTTGTGCCTCAGCCTTCCGAGTAGCTGGGATTATAGGCGTCTGCCACCTTGCCTGGCTGATTTTTGTATTTTTAATAGGGATGGGGTTTCACCATGTTGGCCAGGCTGGTCTGGAACTCCCGACCTCAGGTGATCCACCCAACTTGGCCTCCAAAAGTGCTGGGATTACAGCCATGAGTCACCATGCCCAGCCAAAACATTACATTTAGATAGATAATCATCTAATTTTTAAATTATTATTCCAATTACTTCCCATAAATTTGTATTGATAATATCAAAGTTACATTCCAATGTGAATTATTTCACAACTATGAATCTTTTGAAGTGTGTATTTTGCATCATAAATATTTTAAGTGTATAGAAAAAAATTGTAAGTTTATCTTAAGACTTCACTGTAACTTAAAAAAAGTTTATAATTAAGATTTGAGACTGATTACTGATCCTTACTTTGAGGGTCTGTCTTAAGTTTGACATAAATTTAAAATATAAAAATATTTTCCTTCCCAATTTTTTTTTTGGTTTGGTGTAAAACATTTAAATTACACATCAATGACAAGGTGAGAAGTACTTTCACACTTCCAATTGCTATTCCCATTTACAGCCCCCAAAATTAGACATTCATTTTTCAGAGTGACATTAAAATTTAGCTGTCTGTTAATAATTTAGCTACAATTCAAAACCATAGAGCCCAAAGGCTGTCACACTGAGAGGCATTAACATGATCTAAAAAGCAAACCTTCATGCCTGGCACAGGTTGAGTAGCCCTTATCTGAAATGCTTGGGACCAGAAATGTTTCAACATTTCCATTTTTTTTAGATTTTGGAATATTTGAGAGAAAGAGAGAGATATGTATATACATATATTATTAAGAATGTTTAATAGTATATATATGTGTATATATATATATATACACATATATATATACACACACATTCTTAATAGTTTAGGATCTCTAATCTCCTTAATAGTTTAGCAACTCTAATCCAAAAATCCAAAATCCAAAATGCTCCAATAAGCATTTTCTTTGAGCACCACATCAGCACTCAAAAAATCGTGGATTTTAGGGCATTTTGGATTTTGGGTTTTTAGATTAAGGGTACTTAACCTTTATAAGTTTTCAGATAATGACAAGAATGTAAAATAGGATACATGAGAGAATGCAATTTGACTTTAAATAGAGCCACAGTTATGATTGTGCCATTCTGAAATCAATCTAATTTTTCTAGGTGCACTAACCAGGTGTTTTAAGCACTCTCACACTCGCCTTTGAGTTAAAGTGCAAATCTCTGCTCTACCATCATGTGGCAAGTAGGGCTGTGAATACCAATACCAAAATACAACACTGTTTCAAGACTTGAGATTTACATATATAATCTCTAGCAGAGTTGCTGCCAGAGTCAATGCTATCATATATATATATATGTAATACAAATGTCTCAATACTAAAAGATTCAATGGATCAGAAGAGATTTGGATTTTGATTTTCACAGTCTGAACTTCTTGATTCTAGACTAGAACATTAAAAACATACAGTTGTATCAAATTTGCAAGAAAAATTAAGATATAAGCATACTTAATGCTGACAAGGATTTGTTTGTATGAAAACAAGCACTTTCATACACTGCCAATGGGAATGTAAATTAGTACAATGTTTCTGGACATATACAATTTCATAGCATTTATGATGTCTTACAGATGTTCCTATTCTTTGACAAGGAATCTATTCCAAGGACATAATGCTAATTTCAGAGTGAGATATTTACATTAAATCTTCAATGCAGCTGTTATTTCTAATAATGAAAATAAAGGAGATACCTAAATTTACACCTACAGTAAGAAAATAGGATATAGCCATATAATGACATTAAAAATGTTAACAAGGGGATTCTAATCCAGTGTAAAGTGCTTAAGACATAAGTTTAAAAATAAAAGACACACAATTGAGTAGACAGTATCTATTTTCCCAACCCCTTTTTCTAAGCAGAGGAAAACTGACTTGAGGGAAATTATGCCAAAATCAAACTGTGATTGTTATTAGGGCATAGGATTATGGGTGATTTTTATTTTTTATTTTTTGCATCTTTATATATTATCTGACTGTCCTACAATGAGCACTTACAACATTTTTCTAATCATCATGCCCATTTCATTTTCTAAAAAAAATGTTCATAATATGGAATATATCTTTCCTGACCTTTTTAATTCACTTATGAACAAAACAGACATTTTCTATAAGTGTGATCATTCTGTGCACACTTGGTTAAAACAATTGTATATGACTTTCATAATCAGAAAAAATTAAAGTTTCTTCATGAAATTCAACTATTTGCTATTCAAGGAGATGAAGTAGATTGGTGATTTGCTGAGTCATCTGCTTATTTCCTCACTCAGAATGCCTCTGGTTTTTCTACTTCTCCCTATACATTTTGGAAGAATTCCAAAGGTACATCAGAGAAATGGCCCTGGTAAGCTGAGCCTGCTTCCAGAGTGACCACAGTGAGGCAAATTCAAACACGCTCCATTTCATTCAGTGGGCTGGTGGTCACATATTTTAGCCATGAAAGGAACAAGAATTCACTCAACTTCTAACTCAAAATTTCTTCTTAGTTTTCTCACTGCTACCCTGCAAGTAGTGCAAGAAGAATCAAAGAGGGATGGCTATTAGTTACATAACTCTTAACACTAAAAAGAACCTCTTGTTATCTGTGTGGTTCGTCACCCTCTTCACTTCACAAATGAGACTTGAAGACAAGAAATGTCAGGTGACTTGCCCACAGACACACTGGTCAAGACGCAAAGCCAAGGCTGGAACTGGGGCCCATCCTGAGGAAATGACACTGCTGCTGCTGCCTACAGCTCCCCTCCCCAACTCTCAGGAGCTGGTGTGCCTTGCCTATAGCTGGCCTTAGAGAAGCTGCTCCCAGATCCTGCCTCCACCATTCCTGCTGTTCCTTGCTTCTGACTCCTAAGAAGACTTGGTTTTAGAGCTAGGGAAGCAATGAAGAGCACCACAGCAGTTGCTGCACATCATCAGCACAGACATCCAGCCAGCCCTTCCTGACCCCAGCCCTGCATAAAGGGTGAAAGGGGAGCAGGTGCCTACAGTAGGTAGAATCATGGAAGAAAAGCACGCCATTAGGAGGAGCAAGGATTCACCACATCACTGCTTATCTCTCTTTTTTAATATGACATATATTTTCATGTGCTACATATTCCCTTCGAAAATCTTTTCAGTGAGTTATGCTAACATAATGTTTGATACCAATGCCTCCTATGCAAATTATAAGCAAATTTGGTAGCTATTTTATAACACAGCAAAAGAGAAAAGGTGGGGATGGGAGACAACCCCTAATTCATTAATGTATGATGGGGCCAGGCATTCATATTCAATTTACTTGAAAAAGATTGCTCTCAAACTATGCTGCAAAATGAACATCGCTGGCAAAGAGATGGACCCTCTTTCATTTCACAAGTTTATTACAAGGCAAAGTCTTCTTCAAGCACATTTATGCTTCAGTGGTGGATTCCCAAGTTTAGGATGATTAATCTTACTACCAATAGCCATTTATTAAAGGCAAGTCACAGTTCTAGGGACTGTAGGAGACACAGCAATGTAACAACATAGATCCTTTATTAGTGGAAATTTTAAGTTTCCTCCTGCGACCAGGAATTATGCCTTCCTTCTCACAGTTAAACTTCTAAAGCACACACACAAAGAATGAGATTAGTCATTTAGAGAATAACCCAAAATTCCAGAGTCTTAGGGGATGACTGAGGGGTTTGGGAACATCCGAAACTCCAATCAAGAGGACCTAGGTTAAAAAAAAAGAGCAGACAAAGGTCTAAAACATACTCATGACCTAGGAAGTAAATACCTAATCGAGTATGCTGTACCTAATTTGTATCAAATACTGTGCAAATGTTAAGAGACTGGTCAGCCCTGGCCATGGAACCAGTAGCTAGAACATCCAGGAAGATCAGAGATGCTTGGTCTGGTTAATACAACACTATGTTATAGGACGGAAGACATCTACCAGAACTCACCAGGCCCTGGATCAAACACCACTAGACACTACTCTCATATGTTCACCATATAACCTTCAGATTACCAATTCTTTTTCTGGTTATGAAAAGCAGTGCCCTAGGTTGTTATAATGGTCACTGGAATGGTTTGCCCCCACCTTATCTCCATCTTGCAGAGTCTGCTCAGTGTGAGTCCAATCAACCCTAAATCACAGGTGACCCCAGTGCCAGGAAGTCATCTGGAAGACAGCATTCAGCCATCTCCAGCGGCATCATTCTCCTTCTTTCAGAATGCAGAAACTGATTCGATCTCCATAAACTAGACTTTTTTTTTAAAAGCTAATTTTAGAAAGGTGGAAATATTTTTTAATTTACCAATCATATTTCTTCTTAACAATGGATGTAGTCTTTTCTGTTGAAATGAGAAGCTTCTTAGATGATTGTACAAAATTATCTATTCCTGTGTTTCTCTGGTATGGATAGAGCGTACCAAACACTTTTAGTAAATGTCTTCATCAACAGACAGTTTTCTCCTAGAAGCTAATGAGAGAATTCTGTAATCACCAGGAGCTTTATCCCTGACTAGGCGTGTCCTACCTATAATGAGTAATTTATGAAAGTTGTCTTTAGATAGACACTTTGGATCTTTATTTAGGCAACAAATAAATCAAGGTGTGATCATATAAGGGGCTTAGAGCCAGTTATAGGTCTCTCTAAAATGACGAAAGCATGATATAAAGTCTGTGTCCTCTTGTTAGCTTTTTTCCCAGTTGTTTTTCTGTATCTCAAGGTCACTCTTGCTGCCCTACTTTCAGCGTCCCAGGCTCACACTGCACACAGGGCTGGCCGTGGCTTGTCGGAAGGTACATTGGAAAGTTTCCATTTCCCTGTCTTGGCAGATGACCAAAGTTAAAAGTAATGTGCATCTTTCTGAGGAAATATTTTTAAAAGTAAATGACTATTGTTCGCTGCTACACAATTCTACTATTAAATTAGATTATATCTTCCTTTTAGTAATTGCCCATCTAAAGTTCTACTCAGATTTTCACTGGAAAACAGCTCCTTCGATCTTTCTTGCCTAACTGAAGGTATCTGACAATTCATTCTTTTTTAACTTTAAACAAATCTGTATTACATAAAGGTTGTCACATAATTGGGTATTCCTCTACTTTGTACACAATTATTCTTACTCTCCACAGAAAAGCTGCTTCTTAACTTCTCATCTGCTGTTAGCAAGCACTAAAATCCTGACTTTAACAGCATAGTAGTAAAAATGCCTCAGTGATTTAAGCTTAAAGCAGTACATGGGTACGTGGCTCTTTCACCCAGTATCAGGAATGTAAAAATGTTTTTTTTTTTCAAAAATACAAAATAAATTATTTGTAGGCATGGACAATGACAGCAGTAAACTGCTATTTATTGTCAGCTGAAATCAGTAACTGATGGTTGTAGTGATTTTTTAAAAACATCACCCAGCATTTTCTTCAGTCATTTTCTTCAAATGACTTCTCTGTAGTTACTGGTGAGAAATACTGCCTTGAGCTTCCTATCACCGTTCATTAATAAATGTCAAGCCCTATTCTAGGAATCAGAAATGCCACCTCCCATCCCACCTACCGCACCCATTCCAGGGTCCTTCTCTTCTTTAGGAATTTCTGTGACTTCTGCTGTAATTAATGGAGAAGCCACCCAAGCAGCATCTAATAAAGCAGTTCTCACATCCTTCGTTGGGCCAATGATTCCTCTTCCACCATATTCACAAAACCCCCAACCATAGCTCATAACCAACTTCTGAGGAACGCTGCACAATTGTTGTAACTACCAAAGATCCTTCAACACCTGCATTCTTAGCAGTGGTCACTGCCAGAATGTTGAATATTCTTTTAATAATTTCTATACCAATTTTTTATTTTTATTAGTTGGAGTTAATGAGTCCAAGGCTGGAATGAACTGAAGCAAGGCACAACCCCATCCCAGAATGATGTCTTCTTCAGTAGCAGCTCTTATAGCATTAAGGGCATCTGTAACTCTGTCTTTCTTTTCATTAGTTTTGACATCACTTGTTACACCAACCTTCAGCACAGCTACTCCATTTTAAAGTTTTGCCATTCATTCACTTTTCCCTTTTCATATTCACTAGCTGTGATATCTAACTGCTCAATGATTTCTTGAATACAATTTTCAATTCAAGACTTGTCACCATTTCCTTTAAAGAGCATAGCATCACCTTTGGTCCCAATGACCTCTCCAACTTTTCCTGTGTTATGAGGCCTACCCCCTTCTCCAAACACTGCACCACCAACAGCAAGAGCCATATCTTTAAGCTGGTTCTTTCTATTGTCAACAAACCTGGAGCTTTTACTGCTATAACCTGAGGACCAGCTTTTAGCCTATTCAAAAGGAAGGTTCATAGAGCTTCTCCATCAACATCTTCAGCAATGACAACCAAAGGTGTATACTGAGCACTGGCAATTTCAAGAGTAGGTACAATAGACTGGGCACTAGACATTTCTGTTTCACTCAACAGAACATAGGCATCCTTGAATTCATGTTGTTGACCTTCTGATGTATCAATAAGTTATGCAAAAATTTAGCCTAATTATTCGATACATTAATAAGATATGCAAAAATTTTGATGTATTAATAAGGTACACAAAAATTAGATCTGGTGATTCTAACGCACCATTCAGTGTTTTTCCACCGTTTACTGTGATGACAACCCTTTTCACTGCTTCAGAAATGATGTTGCTGATTTGTCTCTATTTGCAGAAATTATAGCAAACTGAATAATTTCTTCAAGAGTTGTCATAGGTTTGGACTGCTTCTTAAGTTCAGCAATTAGAGCATCAATAGCTAACATCATACCTTTCCTGATTTTCACTGGATTAGCACCTCTGGTAATCTTCTCGAAGACTTTCTTGACCATAGGGAGTGCAAGTACAGTAGCAGTGGTGGTGCCATCCCCAGCCTCTTCATTTGTGTTACTGGCAACATCTTAGTGTTACTGGCAACAAGCTTAGCTCCAATATTTTTACATTTATCCTTGAAGCCAATTGACTTTGTAACAGTCACACCATCTTTTGTTACTCTGGGACTTCCCTAGCTTCATTCAATAATCACAGTTCTTCCCTTCGGCCCCACTGTAGCAGCTACGGCATCGGCTAAAAGGTCGACACCTTGAAGAATTAAGGCTCAGGCACCTGCACCAAATTTTACATGTTTGGCATAAGCCCAAGTGAGATGAGGATCCCAGTAACCTGGTCTCGTCTGCGGAAAGACTGGGTAATCCAAGTATTTCTATGGGGCAGCGGCAGAGCTTGTGCAGTCAGGCAGGTCAGCGGCCAGTGAGGGACAGAATGCAAGACGCACATGGCGATGAGCCACGTCCCCTCCCTCCGCCTCTCCCCCACCTGGTGGCACCTTGTGTGCTGGCAGCTCCCACCACATTCTTTAGATCTTAATCTACTAAAGTGACAAAATTATCCAAGCCAGTGATCAATAATGGGCACTCAAACAGCTCATCTTCATTAAAATTAGGTAGTCTTACTTTCTTAGAGAGATAAGCAGCAGCTCTCAGTTGCTCTGGTGATAAAATTCTCAGAGTGCTAGGAGGAATAAATGTAGCAATATCTATGGGTGCCTGAGGTGGGCCAGGCATAACCCTCAGTCCTTTTGCTCAAAAGAAACAGAAGACAGCTGAATAAAATAATGGTCAATTCCTTTTGCTCAAATAAAAAGGAAGAGAGCTGGATAAAATAAGCTAGAGATAAAATAATTTTAAGGGGGTTAGCTCCAGATGCAGCAAACACTAGGATCTTAAAGAAATACACACAAAAATATATAATAAAATATTATAGATCACCCCATCCCTTGCTAGGCCCTAAAAGTTGATGAAGCATATGGCAAAGGAAAAAATACTAAGGGAAATATAAATTTATTTTATCATTTTAATAAAATACTTCCTATTTACCTGGAAGATTTTGTTGACATTAAGGTAGTATTAATCTACATACCTCAGTAGGGAATAATCATTCCTTCACACCAAACATTCAAACCTGAAGTAGAAAGCAAGGAAAGAAAACAAGAAATAAAAATGAATCATAAACTTTGTAAAAGTTGATCCGTACCTTGAATTTCGAAGACAACATCGGCAAGCATCGGCTTATTAAGGAAAAACTTGAGGGAAGTGTTATAAAACCACAAAGGTTTTCTGGCTTGATAGGTTTTGCAATTCCTTAGGCAATTAATCTATAAGGGAAAACAAAAATACAGGGAAAGGTTGTTTAACATGCTTTGATAACATATAGGCTAGGCTAGGAATTTGGAAAATTATGCTAAATCTCAAAAGAAATATGATTCCCTACTCTATGACATCTCTGATCACAGGTTTCAAAGGAACTTACCTTTAAGAACTGTATGGGCTGCCTGTCAGTGAACAACACTGCTCTCTTTGGCATTCACAGCAGTAAACAAATTGCCTAAGTGAAAACTCAGCTCCATTGCTGAGAAGCTGCAAGGTCCTGAAACCCTATGAGTCTTTGTTGAGAAACAGACAACAGTAGTCCAACTCCATACAAATGCCTACTAAAATATGTTTACATGTACAACCTAATTTGTTCATTAAGACAGTCCTTGATTTGTAATTAAGAAAAATACATTTTTTGGCCAGGTGCAGTGGCTCATGCCTATAATCCCGCACTTTGGAGGCCAAGGTGGGCACTTGAGGTCTGGAGTTTGAGACCAGCCTGGCCAACATAGCAAAACCCTGTTTCTACTGAAAATACAAAAATTAGCTGGACATGGTGGCATGTGCCTGTAATACCAGCTACTTGGGAGGCTGAGGCAGTAGAATCACTTGAACCCAGGGGGCAGAGGCTGCAGTAAACTGAGATTATGCCACTGCACTCCAGCCTGGGCAACAGAGTGAAACCCTGTCTCCAAAAAAAAAAAAGAAAGAAAAATACAACTTTCCCTTATCACACCATATCCTTCTTCTACTTACTAGCTTAACATTTTCTCTTAAAGGAGTGAACAGTTAAAAAAATAACGTAGAGTAATGAAGTGGTTCACCTCCATCTTTTTTGAGATGGAGTCTTGCTCTGTGGCCCAGGCTAGAGTGCAATGGTGCGATATTGGCTCACTGCAACCTCCACCTCCCAGGCTCAAGTGCTTCTCGTGCCTCAGCCTCCCGAGAAGCTGGGACTACAGGCATGCACCACCACGCCCAGCTGATTTTTTGTAGAGACAGGGTTTTGCCATTTTTCCCAGGCTGGTCTCAAACTCTTAACCTCAGGCAATCCGCCTACCTTGACCTCCCAAAATGCTAGGATTACAGGTGTGAGCCACCGGGCCCAGCTGGTTCACCTCCATCTTCATCTCCAATCTTATAATCCTAATTGTCCTTCCTACTCACAGCAGAGCCCACTAGAACCTATAAAGAGTTTCCTGGGTTTTTGATCTGGCGTTCCGGAGACTCTCACCCTTGATAACTCGTCTGTCCTGTCGCGCCTGGCTGGAGCTAGTGGCTCCGGGAGCAGCCTCTCTGTCTAACTCAGACCTCAGTGCTTTATCCTTTCTGTGGTCTTCAGGTATCCCCTGTGTGCCAACCCTCCTGGAAGTCAAGGGCTGGCCTCCCTTTCCATACCCTCCACCCTTTTTTCTTTGCTTTGCTTTCTTTCTCTTTTTTTTTTTTTTTTTAAATTTTAGTCTATTTACAGTGGATAAACAAAACAAGCCTGAATATTTTCAGGTAGTGTTACCCAAATGATGATGAAATAATAAGTCATTTTAAATACTAGGATTCATTAGGACCACAATCTTGCCTAAAGTCTATGTTGTTCCCTAATTTGGAAAGACTTAGTTATGATTTTTATTGAAATATCATATTTTATTCACTTTAAATTCTGACGTCTCCACCCATTCCCCCTGCTGAATCTCAGAGCCTGAGAGCCCTGGTCAGAATGCTAATCCTCTGCTTGCCTAGCTAGGGAACTCTGAAAGCTTTATCCCTAAGAAATAAACATATAACATCAGCAGTAATAAGAATAAATGACATCTACTTCTTACTCTAATCTACTATGGTGGGAAGTTTAAAATCTTCGGTGAGGGGGGAAAAATGATATTATTCTTCCTCCTAAGGCAGAAGAAAACATTCCAGAATGGTATCCATAAGCAAAACAGAGAGGCAAAACAGGATCATACAAATCCTGGTCCTATAAAGTCATTCTGAGATCCTATACACAACATAACCGTCATACACATGGAAGGAATTCGGGCATGGGAGTCAAGTGACCGCCACGCTTAACGAGAGTAGCAGTCAAAAAGCATCACCGGGCTGGGCACGGTGGCTCATGCCTGTAATCCCAGCACTTTGGGAGGCCGAGGCGGGAGGATCACAAGGTCAGGAGATCGAGACCATCCTGGCTAACACGGTGAAACCCCGTCTCCACTCAAAATACAAAAACATTAGCTGGGTGTGGTGGCGGGCGCCTGTAGTCCCAACTACTCGGGAGGCTGAGGCAGGAGAATGGCATGAACCCGGGAGGCGGAGCTTGCAGTGAGCAGAGATCACACCACTGCATTCCAGCCTGGGCGATAGAGCGAGACTCCGTCTCAAAAAACAAAAACAAAAAGCGTCACTGAATTGGAGAGCTCGCAGAGGCTTCAGAAACCATCCAATTTACCCCTCATTTTATAGGAAGCCCTGACTTGCTCAAAGCCACAGAGATGATTTGTGGCAGATTCACAATTGTAATCTACATTTCCCAAGTCCCAATTCAGAGTTACACCCCTGTGTGGTACTCAGTAAATGAGACAGCCCCTTACCCTGGGAAAGCACAGGAAGAAGGTGTGAAATAACTCTTCTTTCTCCCCGTGCAGAGGAGGGAATTCAGCGCAATACCATGGAATCGTATCACCCAGCCTTCCCTTTCCCCAATAAGAATTCATTTTATTCTCAGTATTCAAAGGAATGTGTTCCGAATCAAGACTCAAGAAAAGGTTTAGGGTTAGAAGAAAAGGCAAGATTTCTGTACTTGTCAGCCATATAAAGGTTATGAATTTGCATATTATGAATATTTTATAGATGTATATTACACATGAATGTATGAGAGAACTGGAGAGAGAGGGAGAGAATCTATAAACAGATTCCCTCATCAATTCTGTTTTGAATTTGAAAAAAATGGGAGAGCAGAAGTTTGAGAGAACACAAATGTACGTGATGTACATTTTCACTGGTCCGTAAACAAGTTAATCAAGACAACTAGATGAACTGTTTTGAAAACGAGAATATAGGCATATGTGCAAATTTTTACAAATGATTATTTAGTTGAATTAGACTGCAAGAGCTACCATCCTGCCATATACTTGTAAAACTGGACAGCTTCTGTATACCTGCTTCAATGTGTTACTAAAAAAAAAAAAATCTTACCCCTTAATTCCACGTTACTTTGTTTACAAAAAAGACTATTTTCTCAACTAAAGAACAATCAAGAATCTTCACTAAAAGCTAGTACAGTTTCATTTTTGTAAAACATTAACTTTAAAATGTTAACAGGTTTTAGAAAACAGAAAAGTCATCTATATTAAAAAATTAAAGGAATCATCATTTTTCTTATAGTTAATATATACCTTTACTCCGCTAAGTATTGCATATAACTTACCTTACTTATCTACTGCAGCCAATTTGTTTATCACAAAATCAGACAAAAAAATACACTGGCTAAATTGTGTAATGTCTTAAAGTTTTGAAATGTTTTTTAAAGCCCTTACAGACTACACAATACCAAGTTACTAGAGTTTTAATGTGCACCAGTCTATGGCAATATACAAAGTCTGTTTTTATAAACTTGAATCTAATTTATAATTTTGAACCTATAATTGATGAGATCATCCTTAACTGTCCACCTCGTTGAATAGATTTCTCAGAACACTTGAAAAAGGGACATTCAAAACTGCCTTCCTCTCAAAAACTATTTGAGACTTAAATTGTGAGGAGTGAGAAGGCACCCTCTCTAATAACCTTAACTGTACCTGGACAAATTAAACAGCCTTTTATTCATGATATAGATTGTGTATTCCCAGAGCTCCAGGGGAATGTTTCAGAAGGCAGAATTCGCAAACGAGCATTTTAAAGACATGACTCACATGTATTTTAATTCTTACATAAATTAAAGTCTAAGATAGGGCCGAGTGTGGTGGCTCATGCCTGTAATCCCAGCACCTTGGGAGGCTACGGTGGGCAGATCGCTTGAGCCCAGGAGTTTGAGACTAGCCTGGGCAACATGGAAAAACCACGTCTCTACAAAAAATTTAAAAATTAGCCAGGTATGGTGATGCATATCTATAGTCCCAGCTCCTTGGGAGGCTGAGGTGGGAGATATCACTTGAGCCCAGGAGGTGGAGGCTGCAGTAAGCCAAGATCATGCCAACGCACTCCCACCTGGGCAACACAGGTCTCTGTCTCACACACACACACACACACACACACACAATCTAAGATACAAATAACCCATGTTTATGTTTTAAATATTTAAATGGTAAAATATACTTAAGGAAAACATTTACATTTATACAGTATTTGACTCTTCTAACGACTCAATTTTATATTCATCATAGTATGTGAGTTATAATTCAGAGGGTCAAAGTAAACTAACTTACAACAAATCAACTTACCTTTCCTGGTGTTTTTAAAATGCATTTAACTTTCTCGATTACATTTGAAACATCCCCAGAATCTTTCAACTTCTTCCTGATATCTTCTTCCAATTCTTCCCACTGAAAAGCACCTGTAAACAAATTAGTACATGCTGGATTTTTCTGTTAAATGAGGAAGTAACAAAAGTAAATCTCTTATTAAATACAACATTCCCTTTTTTTAGTGCTTTAATTTTTCTTTACCAGATATACATCCTTATAACTATACTAAAACATTTAAACAGTACTCACATTTCAAAACGATCAGTTTAACTTCCCCTAAATTATTTCTCAAAATCTGAAGTCTTCCTCCCCAGACTGCTGCTACCTCTCTGCAATAGGTGGGCAGCTAGTGATAACAGCAATGGTCAGAATATGAGTTCCCATGACAAGTGGTCCAGCACCCAAATTATTTACTTGCCCTGAGTAAAAAGGTAGATGTGGTCTTTCCCAAGGGTGAATTAAATCTTACCAGTTATGGGCAGCAGTGACTATCATCAGGTAGAGGAACATGCAGCAGCAACAGAATGCATTCAGAAGGTCTCAAGCATTGTCAGGGGCAGACTGGGATGCTTGAGAGCCAACTCTACAAAACCAGCCTGAGGAAGGGAGCTACTCGTCCACGTAGCTCATGTCATCGGAGCAAAATCACCCCACTGTCCTTTGCCTTTCCCTAGCCCACTTCAAAACTCTCTTCCTAGGCTCATTTCACTTCTCCCACTCTGTCAGCCTCTTTTCCTCTATGTCTTGCAAAATTCTTATTCTATGGTCAGCAAAAGCTGACCTTTTCCCCAAGGACTTCTCTTACTTGGTCTGCAGCAACTTCCTATCCAACCTCCCTGCTTCCTAACAGCCTTTTCCCCATCAAATCCATCCTATTACTCAAAGCTGGTGAGTTTTCAAAAGCACGAATCTGATCATGACATTCCAAGAGATTACACGCATCCATCCTATGATTTATAGAAGGTCCTATCTCATAAAAATATAATTCAAGAAGCCTAGTGTGGGCGGTATAGTTAGGAGACCTAGGATCCAGTTCTACCTCAGCTATTAACTACTAGTGTGATGAGTCACTTCACCTCTCTGGGTAATTCAAGACCCTTTTTTATCTGCTCTCAGTTCATTTCTTCTGATGTTTTCATTCCTGTATTCAGCACTCACCAGATGCCTTCATGGATATTGGGGAATGAGGCAGGCACATAAACACTTATTAAACCAATGAGATCAGGCAATTGCAGCCAGTCTGTACCAACTAAAACCAAATCCAATTGGAAGGGGCAGATTGCAAGTCCAGAAGCTCTCAGGCTCTTACAGCTGAGCCCTGCAGCACTAAGCACTAATGCATATCCTTTCAACTTCTCCCCACCTGGCCTTCCTAATACTTACAGTGTCTCCTGGGGGAGGGAGTCAAATGATATGTAGCATTTGCCATTTTTTGATGCTATCAACATGACATCACAGAACAAGGAAATGGGGATGATAAACACAACTGGGCTCTCACAAGCTGGTGCCAGCTCCAGCACACCACTGCTTCTTTCTGCCTTTGCTAGCTCTTTTTATGCTTTCACTGATTGCTCCCCTTCCTCCTCAAATTCTCAAAGCTGTGTAGTGTAGAAGAGCTCTATGATTTCTGTTTTTCTCTTTCTGCATGAATGCTTTTTAACTGTGTGGCCACATCCTCTTTTCCCATCTCATAAATTCTTGGGATTGTATGACCAGAAAATTTCATGTGCACACAAACATTAAAGTCAGTATAACAATGTGAGAGTGTAAGAACCCCTTAGAAGCCAATGGATCCCAGATCAATAAAATTACTCTATGCCAGTGATTATCAACCATACCTGTGTATTATAAATACCTGAGATCTTTTATAAAATACCATGAGAGGAGGTCTCATCTCCAGATCAAGTGAATTAGAATTTCTGGGCCTGAAGCCCCTGGCATCAGTGTTTTAAAATTCTCCCTGGTGACCCTAATGTGCATGGTATGCTGCTGACGGCCACTGCTTTCCCTTTAGAAATTTCAACCACTGAGTTCGAGACCAGCCTGGCCAACATGGGGAAACCCTATCTCTACTAAAAATACAAAAATTAGCTGGGCATGGTGGCGTCTGCCTGTAATCCCAGCTACCTGGGAGGCTGAGGCAGGAGAATCGCTTGAACCCAGGAGGCGGAGATTTCAGTGAGCCATGATCATGCCACTGCACTCCAGCCTGAGTGACAGAGTGAGACCCTGTCTCAAAAAAAAAAAAAAAAAAAAAGAGGAAAAAGGAAAGAAATTTCAGCCATTATCCAAACCCAGTGTTAGTGGTATGCAGGAAAGGGAACATGTAAGTATTTTTTATGTCTGCACTCATCCAATCTAAAGAAGAACATAAGTACTGTCTCTGTGTTCTTTTACATACTTATATATGTAAAAGTTACATTGTTATTTAAGTAAAAGCATATTAACTAAAAAACACCTATAAAATATCTCCATTCAGAAGATTATCTAAAAGCAAGCAAGCATCAAATAATCTAAATAGATGGAATCAGTAGCAGGTAAATCCCCACAGGCCACTGAACTGTCTGAGAACACACACAGGAAGAATCACTCACTGAAAATGAAAGTAAGACTAATTCTCAAGAGCACACTGCTGATTGGGCTGTTTTCATAATTAGAAACATTAATCAAGTCATCTTTGAGACTTTTAGGTCCTAATAAACCAGTAATCCTAAGGCTGGGACTTTCCTTTTATTTTTCCAGTGGTAAAAACATTTAACATCAGATTTACCCTCTTAGAAAACTTTAAGTATATAATGCGATATCATTAACAATAGGCACAATGTCATACAGCAGGTCTCCAGAACTTACTCATCTTGCATAACTTTACTGATTGATCAACTGCAGACAAGGGCAGGATGACATCTTGCATCACTGACTGGGATTTTCTTTAGTTAACTTCTTAAAGCACTGAATCCACTTAGACTTTTAGAGCGCATGGTATACTCATGTATACTAGGCTGTGTTTTTATGCAATACAGAAAAGGACATGCCACGGAATGATTCTAAGAACTGGAGAATGTAAACTGAAGATGAAAGCTTGCTTCCACATATTTGTCTACTCAGATGGCATTTCAATAAGTGATGTGAAACTCTAAGGGCCATCTGTGGCAGGAAGAGCTCAAAGCTAAATTCTTGAGGTTCTTACAAATACTTCACTTCCTAACCATCTGAGATCATATGACTCAAGAATGTGCAACCATAACACTGTATCAAGTATTATAAGAATGTTACAATTGTATGCCATGTAAGAATTACTCCCTGAAGACCAGGAAAGGGCTGGCTTCACTTATCACATTACTCCTCGTTCCTTAGGATTAGTAGTTAAGTACTTATACATTATGCAGTGTTTGTTGTTATTCAATAGAAAACTAACGTATACAAAACAGATATACCTTGACTGTGTCTACTGAATCAAAAATTTGAATAGGAATAGATAGGTGTAAAATGTTAACCGGACTGTTGTTAAACAGGTCGCTCCTAAATAACGAACCAAATGTTCATGGTGACATAACACACACCAAATTTCAAATTCCTAAAGGTTAAAAAAAGCATGTTATTTAAAAAGAATTAAGATATTCTTTGTAATCTGGTTCTTTAAAAAAAAAAAAAACAAGGACAGGAGATAGGCTTATTATAACTCTCTAGCCCGTGTTTGCTCAAGGCAAATATTCCTGAGCACATGATGGAGTTCAACCTCTGCTTTACCAACCCATCTGATGGGAACACAAACAAACAACTCCTGTCTTCAATGGTTCTCTAGCATAACCCAAGGGCAGACCACAGCACTTCTGTGGGAAAACCACTGCATAACTGTGCCTTAACACTTGTATTCTATTCACAGGTTTAAAAATGTTAAAACAAAAACAAAACAAAACAAGCCTGGCCCATTTACTGAAGTCTCTGAGAAAAACGTAGGTTTAAAATTTTTGTTTGATTTGATTACAAAATACATTTTTTCAAAAACAGTGTCACTTATTCATACACAAACAAATGACTAGAGGATCAAACAAAGCAATAAATGTTTAAACATTTTCTGTTGATAGTGGAATCTGGGTAAATTTTTTTCTCTTAATTTTCAGCATTTTTCAAAATTGTCTTTTCTGTGCAAATACAGCTTTGATATCTCTTTTTAACATAATGTAAATGAAACTTTTCCTTGAGCCAGAGGTTGTAATCTGTAAATAATTAAAGAATAATAAATAGATACCTGCAGAACCAGTTATTTTCCCTTTTCCTTAACCAGCATCTGGATCTCTGCAGCCCCGGGTCAATGGCCCGTGCCCCTGCTCAGACCAGACAGCACCTCCGGCTTTGGCCGTGACGTACAAGGAGAGATCACAGCCGAAATGGGACGGGTCAGTGTCAGGTTAAGAAGCCAGGACTCTGAACTGGTTGAAGACCTGTAGCTCAGCAGGCTCTCCACACCATCATGCCTGCCTGCCCTCCGATCCCTATTCCAGGCTTACTTAATTTCCACCCAACCACTAGGCATCCATTTTTCCTCGCGTCAGGGACACACAGGGCACTGAGAGCCCCAGTTCTGAATAGCACTGCATCAGTCAGCCTTACAGCTCACCCCATTTTTACTTTGAATCCTAAGCTGTTAACTTGGTAGCCTTCCTGGGCCTCTGCACTGAATTCTAGGCCCTAGTTTGCTGGTTTTGGCTGGTTCCCAGTTCTTCCAAAAGCAGGTATTCCAGCTGCTTCTGGCAGTCCAGAGATCCAGCACCACCTCGGAGACTACTGGAAATGCAGAATCTCATGCCCCACTCCAGGTAACTGAATCAGAATCTCCACAGGAACAAGATCCTCAGATGATCTGCACACACTTTAAGGTTTGAAAAGCACTGGTCTAGACGATGAAGGGCCAATGGCAGGGCCACCCACTGTCTGAATGTTGGCCTTCCTGAGGCTGATCGCCAGAGTAATGGGACCTCCTGATTGAATGCCTGTCTTGGCCGCACTGTTCCACCCTGCAACCACAACCAGAGATGAGCTTTCTAAAGCCCAGTCTGATCATGCTTAAAACTCTAGCACAAGTCTAAGAGCAGCAGGAACAGCTTCCACAGGCCTTGCCCACCTCATCACCCACCAGCCATCACCTTTCACTCTACGCTCCAGCCATGGGAAACGGCCTGTGATCCCTGGAAAGCAGCAGATACCTAGGATTACACTTTTATTAATCAAATGTCCCCAGAATATTAATCTCTTTCAAACAGTATCAGAATGAGTGCATAAAAAAATTACAACAGGTAAATGACTCCGGGGAAAGGGTCTAGGGTAGAAGGATAACTTTTTTCTTTTCTTTCTCTTTTTTTCCATCTGCCTGTATTAATTTTGCAATTAAATAAAGCACTCCCCCTAGGAGAAAGCTAGGCAGGATCAGCCACTGGAGATACATCTAGCTATTTTACTGCTACTATGTTAAAAAGGATATAAGACGTCAGAGTGCTCATATGCCTTTGAAAGTAGTCAATAATAATTGTGGAAGCCTACTGAATAATTCATGTAATTTCAACAGAAAATTATCATACAAAAGTCACATCCCTCACAGTTCCTTAAACATATGATTAAAAACATCTTTTTTCTCTTAACATGTAAACATGTTAGTTTTTCAAAATCTTAAATTCTGAACTGTGACATTCTAAGTTTAAACGTCAAAATCTATAGTACTAAATGAAGTCTTTAAATAGTTTGGCTTACTGATATGATGATGCCCGGCTACTGGAGCCTACTCTTTAATTCAACTAAAACTTACAGAGAACCCGTTGAAGGCAATGTGCTGGGTGTGTGCTGTACAGGTGCTTAATTTATGCTTTTTCCAAGCCAATATTTCACTAACCTAGCACCACATTCTACTCCAATATGTATTTTTTATCCACATAAATCTGCGTGCTGCAACTGTACTTTTCAAAATCATAATTTAAGTTTTAACTTATAAAATTACATGACCACAAACCACATGAACAAAGTAATACCTTATTTTTAACATCAATTACTTAAATAAAGGCTGCCCCAAATTTCCCTACCTGTATGAAATGATACTTGCCTTGCAAACCTTAAACTTTTTGTCTGTTCCCAATTAGGCTTTACTTGAACCCTAAAAACAAATTAATTATAAATGTTTCTCCAGACACACTGCAGAGCAGGAGTGACCTTAGCCTAACAGGTTATCGCTACATGATTTGAAGTGGGTAAAGAAAATTAAAGACAGGAGTTCTGAGAAAACTTATATTTAGATGCTTACATTAAAATTCATTTTACATCTGTTCTTTTCCACTCTTACATGGGACACTTAGATGTAAGACCTTCAATTCATTTGCTAAAATGACTCAGATAGAACTTCCATCTTTAAAATATAGTTGCTACTGAGTTTTTAAAAGGGCAAAGAGAAAAATACTTGATAAGCTAAATCTTAAAAAGAAAGGGCACAGTAAGGAAAAAAAAAAGTAACGTCTATGATAGTCATAGCCAAAGTTAATTAGACCTCAACTAACACTGGATATTGATTTCCAGTCCGTAAGCTGAATGCAATTCTCTCTTTCACGCCCTACAAAACCTAAGAGTCAAACCGAAGAGTGAATAGCTAGGTTTTAAGGTGTAGACACTTGATTTCATTTACTCTTGGAATATTTTATGTCTTTAAAACTAAATTGGACAATAAATTCTCACATTTCATATTTTGGATGTTTTTTAAAGAAATAAAATATTAACATACTTGTTTGGCAGATTATGGTTTTTACAAGTAGATTTAAAACCAAGGCAAATACAAAAACATATGAAAAGATGCTTGATATCACTAATCATTAGGGAAATGCAAATCAATACCAGAATTAGATACCACATCAAACCCATTAAGATGGCTACTATTAAAAAAAATAAACAGCAAGTGTTGGCAAGGATGTGGAGAAATTGGAACCCTTGTGCACAGTTTGTAGGCACATAAAGTGGTATAGCTAGTGTGGAAAACAGTATGGCAGTAAAAAATCAAAAACAGAATTACCATGTGATCCAGCAATTCCACTTCTGTGTATATATGCAAAAAATAAAATAAAAGCAGAGTCTCAAAAGAGATATTTGTACACTATGTTCACAGCAGCATTACTCACAATAGCTAAAACAGTGGAAGCAACCCAAGCGTCCATGGATGAATGAATGGGTAAACAAAATGTGGTCTATATGTACTACAGAATATTATCAACCTTAAAAGGAAGAAAATCCTGATACATGCCACAACTTGGATGAACCTTTAAGACATTATGCTAAGTAAAATACATCAATCACAAAATGACAAATACTGTATGATTCCACTTACATGAGGCACTTAGGAGAGTTAAAATCACAGAGACAGAAAGTAGAATGGTGGCTGTCAGGGGCTGGAAAGAGGTCGGAATGGGGAATCATCGTTTAATGGGTATAGAGTTTCAGTTTTATAAGATGCAAAGAATTATGGACACGGATGGTGGTGATAGTTACACAACATTATGAATGTGTTTAATTCCACTGAACTGTGTTCTTAAAAATGGTTAAGATGGTAAAATTTATGTTCTATGTATTTTACCACAATAAAATGAAATTGATAGGGAAAAGATGAGGCAAGTACATTTGTAAGGAAAACAGAAAGCTTGGACCAATTCTTATATATAAAGCAAATAATATTTCATGTATAATCTTAATCTCAGATGGTAGGTAAAGACCACTGTAAAACTAACCAGTACCCTTGAGTGTCACAGGCACATTTCATTTCCAAAGCTTATGAGATTGTAAGTAACCAGAACCACTTGACAAGATACCTGAATAAATGAAGCGAAGGATGTCTGATAAACAAGAACAGAAGAGGGCGTCTTTAACAATGACTCGTAATGGTGGGTTGCCTGAAGATTCATGGCTAGCACCTGGAAATGCAGTATCTCTGTTTATAGCAAAAAGATCCTGGGTAGTTCGGATGATACTGGAATCCTGAATGTCAGTGGGACTCTTCACATTGAAAAGCAGCATGAAAACATGGCTTACAGCGCAGAGAACGATCTTGTGGGCCTCTACAACTTTCTTTAAATTGGGGTTGTAAAATACCACGTCCACACACTGGCAGCAGAACAGCAAGTTATTTAAGTCAGAGTTATAATGTGACGCTTCAGCCTTTAAGACAGGCATTTTTTCTGTTTTGAAAAAGAAAATAAAAATAATAAACTCCTTTCAGGTTTACAGACCCAACAATTTCATGTTTACTTTAAATATAATTGTATAATATTTTAAAATATTATTAGGTTAAAGCATAAGAAACAGCCAATATTTAACCATTTTTTGATGCACAAAAACAGCGATTTTCTACTACTGCTTAACCTAATTTATAAACATATATAAACTAATTATTCAGGAACTGTAGAATGTTATAACACAGACACACAAATACTATGTTTATTTACATTTTATAGAGCAAATGAAAAACCCACTAATGACGTACGGAACAATAAAATAACATTTCTTCTTACTTGTGTGTCCCAAAATAAAACAAGCCGCCAAATACTGAACTTTAGTATTTCACAGTCATCCTTCTTTACTTTTACCTTTGATTTTAAAAATTCAAAGTACTGAATAAGTTCCAAAGAACCCAATCTCACATCTGAAGTCCTTTTCCTCCTGGGACCAGAAGTAGAGGTAGAGGGCTGAGCTGTTAAAATTGTGCAACTTCTCAGAGTCAAGGCTCAGAGTCTTGAACTCGATCGTTTGAAAACATTGTGACCCCTTTATTTGGATTCCAAAACTAGCATTTTTTCCTTCTAGTAAAACACTTCAGCAAAAGTGCTAACTCAGCTCCCTAATTTCTAAAAGAGAATATAACCTTCAGTTTACTAGTTTGATCACCAACAAAGAGAGATGAGCCCTCAATCAACTCAGAATACCTACACTCCAGGCCCTCACCACAGACCCTAACTGTAAAACATCTGCCATCTCATTTTTATCCAGAGGAGCTGAGGAAAGTGACATTTGTGAAGGGTTGTTTGAAGGGTATGCAACCGTCTAAATCAGTAGAATTCAAACTTCTTTAGCAATAAAAATGCTTGATTCCAAAGCAAACCCCAGCCTATAAAACAGATAATAACGAAGTCCTTTGGAGGCCAGGCTCTCCCTGCACTGTATTCCAGTCCACCCTCCTCCCTTCTACTGCCTGTGGCCCCTTTACAGAACCCTAAATGCCATGTGCCCCAGAGCCCAGGATCCGTCCTTGGAACAAATCAGCCCCAAATATGTACCCAGACTGTATTATTCTGAACCTCTGGAATATCTTTAGTGTTATACACACAGCTCTCTTAACAGAAGAGTACAAGAAACAGCCTTGTGAACGCTGAGGCTGCATTTCCTGAAGAGACACTTTTGAAAGCCCTGTCCACTATATCACTTAGTGCCCTCACATGAAGACCCACACAAGAGATTTTTCTTTTCTTTTCTTTTCTTTTTTTTTGAGACAGAGTCTCACTGGAGTGCAGTGGTATGATCTTGGCTCACTGCAACCTCTGCCACCCTGGTTCATGCAGCTCTGCCTCAGCCTTCCGAGTAGCTGGGACTACAGGCGTCGCCATCATGCCCGGCTAATTTTTGTATTTTTAGTAGAAACGGGGTTTCACCATGTTGGCCAGACTGGTCTCGAACTCCTGACCCCTGGTGATCTGCCCACCTTGGCCTCCCAAAGTGCTGGAATTATAGGCATGAGCCACCATACCTGGGCCAAGATATTTCTTTTAAAGCTAAATGACATGTAATGTTTTGCTTTCTCTGAGGATCTGGTATATTTTGTCTTCTTGATTAATAAGAACTAAGAACTAACTATCTACATTATTTATGTGGTCATTTCCCACCCATTTTCTAATCCAGAAAGGATTTAAGGCCCAAGGGTTTGCAACCTAATAGACCATGTCTCCCCTTTCACTTTGCACACCAGGAAATTAAAAGCCAAGTGTGTATCATTTATATATATATGTGGTCTATATATCTGCACTTTTTTAAAGAGATGAGGTCCCTTAAATTCCAAAGGACATTGATCCAACAAAGTGCTATCCTACTATTTCTATTACAAAATCATGCAGAAAATTCTGATAACAGTTGATATAATTTATTTATTTTAAAGTTTATTTGCCCTGAACTTTGTATTAAAAATATTTTCAAACAGTCAAAAAAGTTGAAAGAATGATGCAATGAACACACATATACCCTTCACATATATCCCTCACGTGGATTTTGCAATTATTAACATTTTTTATTTTCCCCTTATCTCTAGAGAGACAGAAAGACACACACACACACACACACACACACACACACATCCACACATCAACACACACACATACACACAGCTGAAATATTTAAAAGTTGCAGATATCAGGATCCTTTGGCTCTAAAACACTTTCTTTTTTTTTTTTGAGACAGAGTCTTGCTCTGTCGCCCAGGCCAGAGTGCAGTGCAGTGGCACAATCTCTGCTCACTGCAAGCTCCGCCTCCTGGGTTCACGTCATTCTCCTGCCTCAGCCTCCCGAGTAGCTGGGACTACAGGCGCCTGCCACCTCACCCGGCTAATTTTTTTGTATTTTTAGTGGAGACGGGGTTTCACCGTGTTAGCCAGGATGGTCTCGATCTCCTGACCTTGTGATCCTCCCACCTCGGCCTCCCAAAGTGCTGGGATTACAGGTGTGAGCCACCGCGCCCGGGACTCTACGTTCACCTTCATCTCCTGGGAACAGGAACATTCTCCTATTCATCACAATACCATTATGATGCATAAGAAAATTAACAGTAATTACATGATATAATCTAATTTCCAGTCCGTATTAAAATTTAACCCATGTCCCAAGAACATCTTTTAGATGTTTTTATTGAACCAGTATCCAATCAAGGTTCATGCATTGCATTTAGTAGTAACTTAGCATTAGACTTTAATCTAGAACAGCTCCCCACCTAGGACACATAGGATCTATAGGCTCAATTTTTAAAGCAGTATTTCTCAAAATGTGATTCAAGTACCAATCTGCTTTTGCATCACTTGGGAGGCTGATTAACACAGATTCTAGGCCTTATCCCAGGTTGACTGAATCAGAATGTCAGGTAAGCTCTGAGCATGCTCAAGTTTGAGAATAATTGCTCTAAGACCTGTGAGAAAGGATCTGTAATGAATGTTTAATGAATGTCTAGACATTGGCTAAGAAATGCACCTGGTTGTTCAAGTTGAGGTGGTCTAATTCCATGAAAGGAGTTGCTCATTTTTCTTTTCTTCATTTTTTCACTTGTCTTCTGATTTAAGGCTTGAATCATAAAATACTCCAACTAAAACAGGAATCAAATTTTAATTGAAGATCCAACAAAACTATATATCCAACATGAAAATTTGCATCTGAAGTCACAATTGTCAAACATTTTAAACGTCAGTACCATTTATACGTATGCATTAGCAAACACATATAAACAATGTTTTTATTTAAAAAATGAATCGAGTGGAGCAGATTGTGCCTTCTCTGAACATAAATAAACTATCCACTCAAGAAGGAATTGTTATTAATCATTCTGCCACAAAGAAACATGCACTATTCACAACAGCAATGACATAGAGTCAACTTAAATGTCCATCACCGATAGACTGGATAAAGAAAACGTGGCGCATATACACGATGGAATACTATGCAGACATAAAAAGAATGAAACTATGTCCTTTGCGGCAAAATGGATGGAGCTAGAGGCCATTATCCTAAACGAACTAACAGGAACAAGAAACCAAATACCACATGTTCTCACTTATAAGTGGGAGCTAAACATTGAGTACATATGGACACAAAGAAGTGACCGGCAGACACCAGAGCCTACTTGAGAGGGTGGTGGGAGGGAGGAGGGTGAGGATCAGAAAACTATCTACCATGTACTATGTTTATTACCTGGTTAGTGAAATAATCTGAACACTAAACCCCTGTGACATGCAATTTACCCGTATAACAAATATGTACCCCTGAACCTAAAATAAAAGTTTTTTTTTCAAGGAAGGAATTGTTGGTTCTCTTTTTCAAATTTAACAAATATATATATATATTCTTTTTTTTTTTTTTAATTTTAGAAATGGAGTATCACTATGTTGCTCAAGCTAGACTCAAACTCCTGGACTCAAGGGATCCTCCCGCCTCAGCCTTCCAAGTCACTGGGATTATAAGTGCATGCCATCCCACGCAGCTACTCTCTTGAATACTCGAGAAAGCCAAGCACTACAATTGTGTGGCTGGTAATAATTTTCTCAGTGGGCAACCACCACAGTTAATATTAGTGAAATTAAAGCAGGAACAGAGCTGCCTCTATGTCTACAGATGTTCCCATGAGCCAGGAAACTTCGCTTTCTTCTCTTGAACAAATTTCTTTAAAATCTGTCCTTTACAAACTAAAAATCTCTCTCAGGTGCATTTACGTAGCTTCAGGCCTGTGCCCTAGCTTGCAAGGCCTGGGGCAAAAGTCCAAATGGAGGCCCACCCACCACACACCTAAATATTTAAACGCTGTAAATCAAGAAAACAAACTGTTATATAAAAGATATTCTATACTTCTGTTTTGACAAATACATCATCATAAAAGCCTGGCAGGCAAGATTTATATTTAAATTCTCAGATTCTTCAGAGGTTCATACAGCAAAGGGAGAGCTGATCCCTAATTCCTGAGCCCTAAGACCACCCATTCTCTTCTCACCTCCTGCTCTAACACAGAGCTTTAAAGAGCTCTGTGCACACAAGTGGACATCAAAGCTCTGTCCACTGTCCCCTCCCCCATTCCCCATAAAGACTCACCCTTTGGCCACCCCGCAGGCCTAGGGGTGCATATACCAGCAATGTGGTCCACCATCAGGAGGACTGTCCCAGGAAAATGGCCTGCACAGGCCGAAACAGACCCAGGACCAGTGGCCGGAGAATTCTGGGGTACTGGATTTGGGAGCATAGTCCTAGCACTATTCCATAGACCTTTCTGTGTTGATGGAAATGTTCTGTAATATATGCATTATATAATACAGTAGCCACTAGCCACATGTAGCCATAGAGCACCTAAAATATGGTTCATATGCTTGAAGAACTGAATTTTACTTGGTTTTATTTCAATTCATTTAAATATAAATAGCCACATGTAGCTAGTGGTTGCCATACTGGACAGCGCAGGTCTAGAAAGGAATGAAGTCCACCAGCTCCAGGTGGGCACAACCCTTGGCTCCACTGACTTGTGCCCTGTGGGGAGGGGTGCAACTGGAGGACGGACAGATGGAGCTCTCTAAAGCTGGAAGGCAGGCGGCTTTCTCTCTGGCCTAGGTCTAAGGGTAGTATTGCACAGCTCTTCAACTCTGACCCTTAAATGCAGATTTTCAATGCTCCTTTCATTCTAACATTATCATCTCCATCCATATGTTTGCCAATGCCATTCTATTTTACACTCAAGATCCCAGTTGTACTTTACTAGAAAGTAAAACATCTAAAATGATACCATTCTGATCTTGTTTCCATATTCTCAACAGGGCTTGAGTTAAGGTAAAAAGAAACTGCCACGTCTTTCTCCCAACCTTGGCCACATCAATCCTCATCATGCCTCTAACCCTAATTGCAACATTAGATATTAGGAAGAAAGAGAAAAAAGGAGCCAGAAGAAGAGAAAGAGAGGAGAGAAAGTGCGAGTGGGAAAGTGGGAAGAATGATCCTGGGAATTTCAGGTTCAGGATCCTAGAACAGGGAGCAAGGAGACCTGTGGCTTCCAAGGGAACGGCCTCCCCTCAACAAATGAAACCAAATCTAGTGCATAAAACTATCTGACAAATGAACCTTCACAATAAGCAAAACCAAACCATCTTTTTGCTCTCCAGCTTCCCAGGTATTTTAGGAAATGCACCATTCTTCGCCAAATTAAGATTTTTTTAAAAGCCACTAGTATATAATCTGCTTGAAAGGAAGATTAAATTTCTCTTATCCACCTTTCTACTCACTGCTCATCACTATAAATGAATGCAACAAAAGTTTCTCACAGTCATCGATAATATCAATATTGTGAGTATATCTTCTTTAACATTGTAATATTAATGTTTCTTTATATTATTGGGTGAATAAAAGCCATTTATATTTGATGGAAATTGGCAGCATTTATATTTGGTCTTTATTTTACCCATTTACACAAATGGTATTTCTGTAGTCATCTGTGGAACCTCAACATTTTAACATGAATTTACATAATGAATATTGGGGCGTATTGGAAAGAGTACTTGGTGAAGAGCTAGGGAACCGATGGCGGATGCCAAAGTGCTCCTGCTTAAAGTAGGTTTTCTTTGCTTTTAACTTCTCATCCGTGTATATCAGATTTGTCTGTTGAGAGGAGTTGCTTCTTAGAGGTTTGGAAATGTAGTTTCTATGTCAGCAAATTCTTAAATGATACAACTCCACAGTATTCTCCAAGGACATTACAGTCCTAATACTATATGGGAGGTGCTATGTGTTAACATCAGCATCAAAATGACTGCAGAACCCAATATGCGCCACGGCAACCAAGCAAGCAAATTTGCTCCCACATATCCAACAAGCAGCTATTTATATAAGTAGTTCCTCTGAATCTGTTTGAGCCACAACAAGATTAGGAGGATATAAAATTTTGCCAAAGCACACACAGAGGAAGAAAAATTATTCTTTCCAACTGGTAGATGGAAATGAAAGAGAACTTTCAGGGCCTGCTGGCTCAGGCTGCCAGGCTCATTCAGCTGTATAAAGATGACTATTAAAAGTGGCATCACAGGTTTGGTTAAGTAAACATGCTTTTGATACATACAACAAAGACTACTAAAGATCACCAAATGAAAAATTCCAAAATATCATATTAAATAGAAAAGGTTCATTTGGAGAGAAAAATAAAATTATAATTTTATTCTGATAAAACCTTTGCCACTCACTCTCATTTTATTTCTCAAGGTTAAGTAAGACAAACCATGCTTTTAAAGCTGAAGTTCTAACTGATGTTCTACAAAATACCTAAAGAGGCAACCTGACAAATAACTTTATACTTAACAGGAATTTCCACTTACCACTCCTCCAAAATACTTTCCTATGTAGAAGTCATCAAGGCTGTGGAGTTCAAGATAGGTCGCTCCTAGTTCTTTTGCAAGTTGGATCCCTTCAGTTGTACTAACACAGCTCCCTCTGTCTGAGGTACATAGTGGGCATGTACAAGGTAACTCTTCTGAGAAAACAAATTTTAAAACAAAGAGTTTCGAAATTAAACAGGAAAAAAAAGGTACACAGACAATCTGAACATTAAACAACAAAGAGCTCATACTAGAGCCACAGTTCAAAAGCATTCAGTATATCCACTACCCACTAAACTCTGAATACAAAGTGTCAATGACTCCCTAAATAAACAAGCATTCACTGCAAGAATAATAAATAGTATTTTAGAAAATAGAAAAATTTAAAAGTAGGTGAATGGATATTAACAAACAACCAGTACTCGTGGGCCTGCTTCTTTTTACACAACCTTGACATCCTGAATATCAGTATTTCTAGGCCAGTAGAAAAGAAGATAAATGTAACAACTTGATTGCCATGGAGAGCATGGAAAACAGTGGATTTGCTTTTTTAATATAATAAACTTGAAATCTATTTACAAAGTTTGAGTAAACCTTACACTTCTATTGTAACAGAACCTTCAATTTGACCTGATTTTCCAGGCAACAAAATTGTCACTCTCTTTGTAAACTTCATAGGAAGTACATTCCTATTAATTCAGACATTTCAATCATTAAACTCTAACGCATTTGACTTCAGAGAACAAGTTCAATCATTCTTTATCTTTTTCTTTAAGATTAAAAAATTAAAAACTGAAGAAATAAAAAGGATTAACTCAAAAAGTGAAAGTCCCAAAATTCACAGTTGTACCATGTATACATCTATGGCTAGGAAGGTGGTAGAACAATCTATCTATAAGAACATCCCTAGTAAGGCTAAAAATATATGTTTAACTCCATATTTGTCAGCCAGATTTGTTATGTATCGTGACCACAACATCAGATGTGTCACCATTCAAAAAGGCTGCCAGATCAAAAGAGGGTAAATTCATTTCTAGAAATGCATGTTGTTGTAGATTGGCTTCCCGTGGGGAGGCAGACTCTAAGATGAAGAGTGGTGTGGAGAAGGTTAATTGGGGAGTGATCTTGGGAATAACGCTTCTCAGGGGTGAGGAATGCGGGACTGGGTAGAAGGAAAATTGGAATTGCAGTACTGTTGGAACAGGGACCAAAGCTGATCCTACAGGGGGCTCTGGAGCTTAGATGGCCTTTTAGAGTTGTTCCTCATTTGGGGAAAGGAGGTAGCTGAGCTGTATCCTATCCCTAAATCGACCAGCAATCAGACAAGGGCTGAGCCCCTGGAGCAGGGATAACTTGGGCAAGGCAGCTCCCATCAGCACAGAGTAATGCATGGAAAGGGGCTCAGATGTGCATCAGCAGCAGCCAACAAGCCCCAATAACTGAGGGAGTAAGTACACTGGCCCTGAAAGGACATTTGAGCAACTCCCCCATCGCATATGCAGCAACTTCCCTGTGAATGAATTGCATACAGATGGAGCAGATATATGTAAATATCGGGTATACGCTAAATATATTTAGTGCATATGCATACCATGTATGTAAAAATGCACATACACATACACACAGACACACATGGCTTAGATAATTTTAGCTTCACTGAAAGCATTTTGGAGCTCAGAAGCCATATATTCATATTCTCATTTTGCAGAGGAAGAAACTGAGGCTCAGAGAGGTTATGTGGCTTTTCCAAGTCTCTTTGTGGGTTAGAGATAGAGAAGCAATCATAACACTGCTACTTGCTCCACCTGATAATAAAAGTGACACCAAAAGGAAAAATAAAAATATAGTTTTAGTAGAGAATTACTGATTCCAAAGATACAGTGATTTAAAAATTAAACTTGAGTTCTCTAAATTATGCCATAAATTCTAATTTGAGATTTTACTTTTACTTTTTCTAAGATCATTTTAAGTTTGGAGCAAATAAAGTTTTCATACAGAATTTAGCCTATCTTGAAAAATAACATGTTGGTATTTCACATTCTTCACAAAGCCTTCCTAAACAGTGCCTTTGATTTTCTGAAAACAGAGGCCTTCTTATATCTACAAAGGTCTCCTTATGTTGATGGAATGGAGTGGGTAGCCAGATCATCTTATTAAACTTTATTTCTGGACAGAAATCAAGCAGAGACAGGAGTGTTTCAAGTGGAAAAGTGAAGTGAACATAATGTAAAATAATTTTTAACAATCTGATTTGAGGGAGAAAATACAACTAATTTCAGGTTTATGCTAGCAGGGTGGTTTTTCCACTGTGCGTGGTTGTAAGCAACTTACCTACACATGTTCCTAGAAAGTGCCCCTGTATCTCTTCTATGTCACTGAAGACATTTGTTTTTGTTCACTCACCAGAAAGGAAAAAATGTCTAGTCTTTCTACACCATATTATGCTGTAACTGTGTTGCCACTTAGCTACCTACCCTTTATCTGGATTCTAAAATCTTACTTCTTAAAACCTTCTTGAGAGGCTTTTGTTTCTTAATAGTTACTTTGTGGTTCTCTTTTGAACCATTCCTATATTCTTCAATATCAGTCAGCTATATGATCTAAGATTCCAAGTAGAAGTCTGGCTTGTATTGGTTATAGCAGTAGAACCGATTCTAAATTAAATTAATTTACATTAACCATTTAATCAGGAACAAGCAGAGGATTCAAACTAATTTTAAATTGTGGTGCGGCATGGTCACGTGACTCTGAATGAGTGCTACACTTCTAGCTAACATTATAGTCTTTTTTTCCCTTATATGCTTAAGATGTTATCATAAAATGCTGTCTATTTTTTTTTAAAAGCAAGCACAATGTAACTCTGACATTCAAATGGATAACATCTTTGAAAAGTAGTGGCTTTGGGAACCTGCAGGTTAATTCTTACAACATTGCCACTGCTTGGAAGTTTTAGAAATTCTTTTCAAAAATTCTAGCCTAGTAAAGGACCAGGCTCTACCAGAGCTTCAGAAATAACTGAAAGGATGCCTGTCTTTGGGAGCTTAAACCTATGAATACATTCTAAGCACATTCTGAAAAAAAATTCTCTTTTCAAGATAGATTCAATATTTAGTATAAGCCGAAAATTTATTCAGAGCCAAGTATGATGAAGACATCCATAGGGTCAAAGTTGTCAAAAATGTGTAACAAAGGAAAGAAATGAGACTGGATTATACTTGGCTGAATTCTTTTTAACTTTAAAAAGAATTTCAAGAAGCTGAGCATGATGGCGTGTGCTTAATTCCAGCTACTTGGAAGGCTGAGGTGGGAGGATCCCTTGAACCTAGGAGTTGGGGGCCAGCTTGGTTGACATAGCGAGATCCCATCTCCATTTTTTTAATTTTTTTAAATTTTTATGTATTTATTTATTTATTTTGAGACAGGGTCTCACTCTGTCGCCCAGGCTGGAGTGCAGTGGCATGATCTCTGCTCACTTCAACCTCTGCCTCCCCCAGGCTCAAGTGATCCTCCCACCTCAGCCTACCTAGTGGCTGGAACTACTGGTGTGCATCACCACACCTGGCAAATTTTTGTATTTTTCCTAGAGATGGGGTTTCACCATGTTGCCCAGGCTGGTCCTGAACTCCTGATCGCAAGTGATCCTCCCACCTCAGTCACCCAAAGTGCTGGGATTACAGGCGTGAGTCACCGTGGCCAGCCCCATCTCTATTTAAAACAAAAAACAAACAAACAAACAAAAAGTTAAAAAGAGTTCCAAGGGAATTACCAGGAGAGCACCCAACACAGTTTCATGTATTCCAAGGGATGGATGGGGGGAAGCCAATATAGGTCCTCGAGTTGAATAGCCAGATTTAGCTTTGTAATTACTTTGTAATTACATCTTGTATGGCAAATTAATTTCATCTTGTTAGTGAAATTGATTTTTTCACTTACTCAGATCATCCATAAAACCATTCACTCATTGAATAAACGTTTAGTGAGTACCTACCACACATCAAGTGCCAGGGATATAAAAATGCAATGATATAAAAACTCATAGTCAACTGAGAGAAGATAGACATGACTGCAAACAGTTATAATATAACATAATAAGCACTGAAATAAAGATGTCCAAAGCCACCACACAACAGAGGAGAGAAAGTTAACTGTCTGGGGGGATTACGGAAGGCTTCACAGAAAGTGTAATGATTTAAAAGATAAGTGTGAATTTGCTATGCTGATATGATAGGGGCTGTGTAGAGGGGCACTACAGTTAAGAATACAGCATGTACAGGGGACTGGATGTGAGAAGAAAGGAAAACATTCATTTCCAGTTTCAAGATGGAAAGCTAAGCCCACACTGTGATCTCCCCTCCCTGCCAAATCACAGAGATGATGAAATAAAGGGGGAAGGGGGGAGGAGAGAAAGAAGAGAGGGAAGGAGAGAAGAGGGAAGGAGAGAGGGAGGGAGGAAGGAAGGAAAGAAGGAAGGGGGAGAGGGGCCAGGTGCATTGTCTCATGCCTGTAATCCCAGCACTTTGGGAGGCTGAGGCAGGTGGATAACTTGAGGTCAGGAGTTCGAGACCAGCCTGGCCACTATGATGAAACTCCACCTCTACTAAAAATACAAAAATTACCCAGGCATGGTGGTTCATACCTATAATTGCAGCTACTTAGGAGGCTGAGGCAGGAGAATCACTTGAACCTGAGGTGGAGGTTGCCATGAGCTGAGACTGTGCCACTGCACTCCAGCCTGGGCAACAGAGTGACATGCTGTCTCAAAAAAAAAAAAAAATGGGGGGGAGGAGAAGAAGGGAGGGAAGGAGGGAAGAGGGGAGGAAAGAAGGAAGGGGGAAGGAGAAAGAGAGGGAGGGAGAAAGACAGGGAGGGAGGCAGGAAGGACTGAATACACAGCAACACTCAAAAACTAGAGGGGAAACCTCATCAGCCCAGAAACTAGGAGTGCTTGAGAGAATGAAGGCAGGCAGTACAGGACCGAAGAGGCCTCCTGAAGCTCTGAGTACAGGCTCACACTGCAGCCACACCTAGAGTGCTCCCTGCTCAACAATGCAGGGAGCAACAAGGAGGAGGCGGCCCAAAGGCAAATGACTGGGGATGAGTGGGAGAACCCCAGTGGAAGCAGCCAAGCCTGTTGATCCTGGGTGTTTTCCTACTTACACCCCCATCCCCAGACAGCAGCTGGGCAGAGAAAGAGGAAGGCATCAATCCAACAAGGAAAGTCAACTGCAAAAGTAGGCAAATTAAGAATTCCCCAATGTTTAAGAAGTATCCATACCATAAAATAAAATCTCATCAAGTAGAACGACTTATAATGCCATCTTAAAACCAAACTTAATAGAAAAATCAAAACTGAATTATTAAGCATCATTAATTATCCTGAGAGTTTTTTTTATTTATTTTTTATTTTTTTATTTTTTGAGATGGAGTCTCGCTCTGTCCCCCAGGCTGGAGTGTAGTGGCGCAATCTTGGCTCACAGCAACCTCCGCCTCCCAGGTTCACGCCATTCTCCTGCCTCAGCCTCCCGAGTAGCTGGGACTACAGGCGCCCGCCAGCATGCCTGGCTAATTTTTGTACTTTTAGTAGAGACAGGGTTTCACTGTGTTAGCCAGGATGGTCTTGATCTCCTGACCTCATGATCCGCCCGCCTCGGCCTCCCGAAGTGCTGGGATTACAGGCATGAGCCACTGCGCCTGGTCTGAGAGTTTTTTTAAATAAAAGTTTGCATCCTTAAGATTGGAACAAGAACTTATGAAAACAGCCATTAGAGATCTGGTATGAAAAGCTTTTGAAATAAAAAATTTAATAAGGCAGAATAGCAGAACAGACCCAGCAGAACTAATGTGTGAACCAGAAGAAAAGGCCAAGGAACTCTCCCATAATGCAACACAAAGAAATAAAGCAATAAGAAATATAAAAGAAAGATAAAATAATCAGAGAAGAGATCCAGAAGTTCCAACATCAGTCTAACAAAAGTCCCAAAAGAAGAGAATAGAGAAAATGGATGGATGGTGATATCTGAAGTCACACAGTTAAGACTTTCCTAGACCTAAAGAAAGACATTAAGTTTTTCAAGTAGTTCAGTGTGACTGATACATAAGGCAGGGGATTGTGCCCTGCAAGATTATAGAAACAGTCAGAGGCTACCTCATGAAGGATCTTGTATTTCAGGTAAAGATTTTACAAGAAAAAGTTATTGAAATGAGATACGAATACCAGATTGAAATAAGGGCATCAGTGCCCATAATTTAAATAAAAAGTATAATCCCTAGCTCTAGCCAATTAAAGGGCGCAGAAGTAAAGACACCTAAAGTCATGAGCATCCTAGAGCCCAGACCTTGGTTTCTAAATATCATTGCCCCCTAGAAGGAACCAGAGTTCCTGAAGAAATGGCTGATTCTAGGACTGGGATAGGCAAAGTCTGAGCCTGGAATATCTTGTGCCAGAAAATAAGGAAGGGGCTAAAAACTGATTAGAGGTAGCTTGAAATGACTCCCTGCAAGCAAATATGGAGCAATGTGAGCATCCAAAAGAATAATCAGAACAGATCACAAAATACTGAATTTAAAATAGAAATCCATGAATCATAATAATTCTAAGAGAAAAATTTGGGAGCAGAGAAAAAGGAAAGCTCCATTTACAGAAGAATATCAACCAATAAGTATAGGAAGAACGATAGAAACATCACTATTTTGCAAGCACATTTATCATAAATGAAGGAATTATGCAAACTAAAGGGCCTGGGCTCATTAAAAATGTTCATATTATGACAGACACGGTCCCTCCCCCCAAACCCACTGGGCGTACTGCTCCAGATTAAAAGAGATTAGAAGGCAGATGTGGTCATGCATGCCTATAATCCTAGCTACTTGGGAGCCTGTGGCAGGAGGATTGCTTAGGCCCGAGTTCAGACCAGCCTAGGCAACACAGCAAGATCCTGTTTCTAAAAAAAAAAAAAAAAAAAAACAGAAAGAAAGAAAAAAAAAAGAGAATTGAGAGATATAACAACTAAATGTAATGTGTAATATTTAATTGCATCCTGGATTGGTTAAAAGACAACAACAATGATAAACCCCAGCTATAAAGCACATTATAAGGAAACAACCGGGGAAATGAAAATATGGATTCTATCTCTTTTTTTTTTCTTTTCTTTTTTTTTTTTTAGTCAGAGTCTCGCTCTGTCGTCCAGGCTGGAGTGCAGTGGTGCGATCTCGGTTCACTGTAACCTCCGCCTCCTGGGTTCGTGCCATTCTCCTGCTTCAGCTTCCTAAATAGCTGGGACTACAGGCACCTGCCACCACGCCTGGCTAATTTTTCATATTTTTAGTAGAGACCGGGTTTCACCGTGTTAGCCAGGATGGTCTCGATCTCCTGACCTCATGATCCACCCGCGTCGGCCTCCCAAAGTGCTGGGATTACAGGCGTGAGCCACTGCGCCTGGCCAGATTATATCTTAAATAATAGTAAAAATGTAATAGTATGTTAGATTTCTTGATTGATGATTGTATTAGGCTTAATAAGATAACGGCCTTGTTCTTAGATGATACATGCTAAAGTAATTAGGAATAAAGAAATCTCATAATGTTTACAATTCACTCTCAAATAGTTCAGCCAAAAAAAAGTGTGTGTGTGTGTGTTTATAAAATCTAGGGTTCAATGTCTTATTCTTGTCAACTTTCTTAGGTTTGAAATTTTGCAAAATAAGAGGCAAAGAAGAAAGTTCTCAAAGAATTCAAAGCATTGAGCGCCATGATCTGACTTGTATTCTAGGATAACTATTCTGAGAGAATTTATTTCAGAAAGAGACAAACCAGGAATAGCACACCAGAGGCCAATTTACCATAAAGCTGATGAAGCTCAAGCTTCAAGACTCTTTTCTTGTGGATCCTTTCCAAGCCCCAGGAAGAACCTGAGCAATATATCTTCACATGGTCATATTCTTTTGTAAAATTTGCAAACTAAGATATTTAGTCAAGACTATTGTCTCTTTCCACTCCAAATCACTTCATCTTGTATCAGGCAGCTCTGGAGTAACTGTGGGCATTTGGGGGATGTTGCCAAAGGGAATTTAACCTTAGGCTTAATGAACTATTTGTGGTTTATAGTCACTTCCATGTATAGTTGAGTGTGTGATAACTGATAATCAGATTCCACTGATTATCATTCTCATCTCTATAGAAAATATCATAAAGTGGTTGTATTAGTCTGTTCTCATGCTGCTAACAAAGACATACCTGAGACTGGGTAATTTATAAAGAAAAGGAAGTTTAATGGACTCATAGTTCCACATGGCTGGGGAGGCCTCATGATCATGATGGAAGGTGGAGGAGGAGCAAAGTTACATCTTACATGGCAGCAGGCAAGAGAGCATGACCAGAACTGCCCTTTTATAAAACCATCAGATCTCATGAGACTTACTCACTATCATGAGAATAGCACAGGAAAAACCCGCTCCCATGATTCAACCACCTCCCACCAGGTCCCTCCCATGACACATGGGGATTATGACAATTCAACGTGAGATTTGTGTGGGGACACAGCCATAACCTATCAGTGGTTATCATATGAAGAGATGACCAAAGACTATGGTCACCCAAAAAACATAAGAAAAGTTGAAGAAGTATCAGGCTGTTAAAAAGATCTGTTGCCAGGTGTGGTGGCTCACGCCTGTAACCCCAGCACTTTGGGAGACTGAGGGGGGCAGATGGCTTGAGTCTAGGAGATGGAGACCAGCCTGAGCAACACGGCAGAATTTCGTTTCTATAAAAAAACTGGCTGGGTGTGGTGGCACGTGCCTGTAGTCCTTGCTACTCAGGAGGCTGAGGTGGGGGGCATCGTTCAAGCCCAGGAGGTCCAGGTTGCAGTGAGCTATGATCATGCCACTGCACTCCAGCCTGGGCAACAGAGCAAGACCCTGTCTCAAAAATATATACATACATTTAAAAATGTCTGTAGTATTTGACAACTTTTTAGTTGTAATTTGTTGTGCTTTCACTTATCATTCTAAATATTTACTTTTGTACATATATGTATCTGTTATTTTGTGGGTTTTTTTCCTTATGAAGGACCTCCCAAATTGTGTAAGTTTGAGGCCCTACAAAATCTGAAACCATCCCTTAAAGAGACCAAAAAGAAGGCCACCATGACAAATAACTAAATGACTAGAATGCGAAATCCAATGGAGATGAAGAGAAAGTAATGAGTTTGAGATTTGTTTAAAATGTAAAAGCAAAAGGGCTTCTTAATCAACTGGATATGCGGAATCGGGCTGGGTCTAGGATGATTCTTGTTTGGGTGAATGGATAGGACTGGCATCATTCACCAAGACAGGAAATTTGGCCAGAGGAAGATGATGTCTATGGTGATATGTGCCAGGAGCAAGACTAAAGCCAGAGAGACAGACTGAACAGTTATCGGTGTTTATATAGGAGAAGCCAGGACAACAGATTAGCAGGTTAATGGTTTGGCTGAAGAGTAAGAACAGGTGAGGTCAAAGGACGGAACCCTGGGAAACAATTCTGCTGTGTGTGTGTGGGAGGAGGGGAGAAAGGCAAAGGAGACAGATAGTTAAAAGAACCAGTAGCTTTATTAAATGGAGGGAGAGGTATGTTTCAATAATTTCAACAAGAGATAAGTATTATTATCTCTTATCTCTTCGATAAGAGATAATTGTTATTAAAGTGTATTAAATTTGGCTAACGAGGACATAAGTGGTGTCTTAGTCCGTTTTGTGCTTCTATAATGGAACACCACAGACTGGGTAATTTATAAAGAAAAGAAATTTATTTCTCACAGTTCTGGAGGCTGAGATGTCCAATATCAAGGTGCTAGCATCTGGTGAGACCTTCCTGCTGCATCGTCCCATGGTGGAAGGCAGAAGTACAAGAGAGCTCACAAGACAGAGGGCAGAAGGGGGCCAAACTCATCCTTTTATCAGGAGCCCACTCCCATGATAATTAACCCACTTTAAAGATAATAGCATCAATCCATTTACGAGGGCAGAGTCCTCTTGCCCTAATTACCTCCTAAAGTCTCACTGCCCAACACTGTGCCATCACATGAACTTTGGGGAACAAATTCAGA
Source organism: Homo sapiens (assembly GCF_000001405.40). Classification (NCBI taxonomy): domain Eukaryota; kingdom Metazoa; phylum Chordata; class Mammalia; order Primates; family Hominidae; genus Homo; species Homo sapiens. The sequence goes on along the minus strand of NC_000005.10, from coordinate 95,738,406 downwards.
CCACAGCAACTGGAGACCCTGAGGGAGAACAAACTTGGTGCACTTGTGAAAGTCAAAGTCAGACTGTAGCGGACTGAAGAATGAATAGGAAATGGACTCAGGAAGTGCAGATAACTCTTTTATGAATCATGACCAGAAATAAAAAGAAAGATAGGGAAGTAGAGGGGATATGGGGTCACGGGTAGGTCATGCCTGCCTTACTTGTATCTACTAATGCTATATATATACCTGCCCTCTGACCCAACAATCCCGCTCCTGGGTAACGACCTAAGCATCCTCAAAAGAAGAATGGATAAATAAATTATGGCATATTCATACAATGGACTAATATATAGTAATAAAAAGAACAAACTACAGATAAACACAACATGGACAAATCTCAAAAGTATTATGCTAACTGAAATTAGCCTAACCTAAGGCACTACTACATACCATATAATTTCATTTGTATGAAGTTCAGAAATAGGTAAAACTAATCTGTGTTGTTAGAAGTCAGAATAGCAGTTACCTCTGAGGAGGAGCGTTATTAACTGGGAAGAGCATGAGGGAGCCTTCTCAAGTGCTGCAAATGTTCTATACCTTGATGTATGTGGGTTGCGTGGCTGTATACATAGGTAAAAATGCATTTAGCTGCACTCTAAGATCAGTAAACCTTATGTCCTTTACTTCGCAATACCTCAATTTAAAAGTTTTTAGAATAATGTGTAAAAATAAAATTTTAAAAATAGCTTTACTAGGAAATACCACTAAGAAGATCTGTAAAATACCACCAAATCAAACTGAATCCTGAGTTGGCCCTAAGATATCTGACAATAATATGCACAGCAGCAATGGCTGAAGCAGCCTGAACCCAATGAATCTATCAGCCATGGAATAAGCAATCCTTTCTTTTAGGCAGCACTGTCAGTGTTTCCAGCTCACTCATTGTTATCTACCTAAAAATCCTGCTCCCAAGCCCACATCTTCATGTGAACAATCTATCCTTCCCAATCAGGTAGACCTTCAGATCATCAAAAAGAGTTTTCTAGGGCTCAGCATCAGCCTAATACCTCTCATATGTCAAAATAATACAATTGCTGACTTCCATCACTACTGTAGAAGAGCCATTTAGAAGACAGATTTGCACCCAGTGGAATCACAGCAGAAGTTCATGATCCTCTCCTTTGTTGTTTTTTTATCGTATCAAATGATGAAGCGATAGCAGCTGGCATTGAACCAAAGTCATTTTGGTTTTCAAAAACAAACCCTATTATCCATTAATAAACTTAGCACTATTTAAAGTATATATAATATTTGCATGCTCACTACAAAAAAGAATATTAAATACTTACCATTTTGTCTGGTACCAACAGCAGCAATAATTACTGGAACTGAATTTAATGCTCTTTTTATCACTGGAATATAATTATCCTTTACTTCATGGAATGAAAACTTGTCATTAACGTTGTATTTGATCACAATGATGTCAGCGCCCCCAATTAGATTTCGAGAAGTGTACCAATCACTGTCAAATATGTCCTAAACCAAAATGCAAATAGCAATCTTTAGTCTACTTATCGTCCAATCAATCCTGAAATAATTTATGACATTAATTTTTGGAATTCATAAAAAATTATTTTAAAATAAGTAACTACTTGAAATTAAAAGTGTTGCAGTCTGCCAACTCTCTTTTTAAAAATGTTTACTTACTCATGTAGCCTGGACAATTATGTAATGGTTAAACAGGAGAACCTGAGAATTCTTGAGAGTCAGATAAAATAAGCAACCTCTTTCACTATTTGCACTTAAAAATAAGCCCTTTGTTTTAAAATTACACTATATTTTTATCACCTCATAAATTCAAAAGTGTAACATTATGGCATTAGATGGAAGAGCAACAGTATGAGTAACGAAGCTTCAAAGGTTTTCCTCTGACCCAGTTAGACACTGCAGGATTTTCAGTGTTCTGAACTGCAATACATTTTAAATTCTGTGAAGTTCCATATACTTTATTCATATTTTCAAAATTCATGTATACTTTTCAACTTTATCCATCCTTTGGACAGTACTGTATATAAAGAGTATGAATGTGGGGTGAGGGAGAAATTCCTTTACTAAAAAAAGAGATACTGTGTATTACAAGGTGTTAACATGGTAAGGAATATATTTTCAATTCACGTATTTTGCCTACATAAATTAAAAATTCAGGATAAACTCTTCTAGTTCTGAAATATTTACTTTTGTGCTACAGCTAATAACATTTATATTTATTTAGAACTGGGGCCAGTAAGTAATTTATTACAAACACTATTCCTTAAAAATATAATGTTTTGATTTTTTTTCTGTCGACCAGCATGGAGTCCAGTGGTGCGATCTCGGCTCACTGCAGCCTCCACCTCCCAAGTTCAAGCAATTCCTGTGCCTCAGCCTCCCGAGTAGCTGGGACTACAGGTGTGTACCACCATTCCGGCTAATTTTTTTGTACTTTAGCAGAGATGGGGTTTCAACCACAATGCTCAGGTTGGTCTCCAGCTTCTGAGCTCAGGCAGTCTGCCCACTTCGGTCTCCCAAAGTGTGAGGATTACAGGCATGAGCCACCGTGCCTGGCCTGGGTTGATATTTTACATATAATTTTTCAGTTTCTGTATGAATAGTGATGTAAGGAAAATATCTTTAGGTATCTTAACTCCACTACCAAATAATGTACAAGTAGTTTTCTTCTCACATTCTAGTTAACTATTAATCATTTGTCTTTTTATGTGGCCTTTGGTACACATTTCTAGGATGTAATAAAGCTAGATTAAGAAAATAGCTAGGTCTGACTAACAGGTCCAAAAGCTGTTGAGCTAAGAAAGTTCAAACTTTGAAATATGAGTCTAAAACAGGGTTAACAGTGTTTGAATCAGCCAACCAAGGTCTATGTGACAGAGCTTTTATCCTACGATGGCACATTCTGGAGGAGTATCACACAGCAATGCCCTTCTGAAGAGAGAGCTTCTTCTCATCAGTGCCTCCCCCAGTTCCCCATACCCTCCCAGCCACTCATTTCCCACAAGTACACTCAGAGTAACAAGAACTGCAGAATTTTTTGTCATGAATACCCTATCAAAACTGGGATGTGTACAGTATTTTTGAAGGGAGGTAAAAGAACCAAAAAAAAAAAAAAAAGGCAAAATATGGACTATAAACAACAAAGGCAAAGGGTTGAACTTGGTAGAGGGTGCAAGGGGGCAGAAGGGAAGTGGGACACAGTGCAGAAAAATGGGAAAGCTTCCCAGCAGAACTCTCAAACTGCCAAATCCCAAACCACACAGCTCATTCAGTTCCAACTGCATCTGTTACAGCGTTCAAGTTCAAAGTATCCAAGTATAACAGAGTGCGTAAGTATAACAAGGAAGACAAATGAGATAAAAAACTAAACAAAAGTGGGGCCAATATTAAGCAGCCATTTAACTCTGAGAGAATAAATCAAAAGTAGCTGCTTTTTGAATTCCAAATAGTTCAAAATTCCAGAGTTACTGGAGAGGTATCCGGGGAAGGGGAGGACCTTTAAGGGAAAATGTTATGAAAAAATGGGTCTGGGCATCCTTAACTCTGTGGGATTGAGGATGTGAAGACTATAAATACTTAATTTGTAATCCAAATCAGAGCTTCAAACCCTGCAAAGAAAACTGTAAATCTATTAAACTACCTCACTGCTTTTTGTGGAATATTTTTAATAAACAGTAAAAGATATAGAAACGTGAAATGAAATAATAATGTACCACACCAAAAAAACGGATGGGAAAGAGAGAGAAAGACACACTAAATAATGTGCTACATCTAATGAATCTGCAGCACATTTGTTTTAAAAGTGCCAAGTATATAAGGCAAGGATCCAGGGTAAGGCTAAGGATCTATAGAAGAGAACTAGGGAAGGGAAACACAGCTACCTCATTTCAACTTCAAGGCAACAACAACACATCTCTTCTCAAACTATGCCAAAGAGAAAATACTCCAAAGATTTCTAGAATTATGAAGAAAATCAAATTCTCCCACCCCTTGTAAATCAGTTCCAGGGTTTCCTCTCGGGGTTATGCAACACAAGGCTTGGAGCCACATTTGGAGAATTGAACTCATCTTTTAAAAAAAAAAATCTGAATTTCTACAGTGAAACTATTTTATTTTACTTGATTGTGGGGCTGCATGTATGAAGTATGAACATCGCTGCCCCAGTGTACTGGTACTGTAGTTGTATAAATCTTGAATGACCTGTGAAAATCTTACTTTTGCTTAGTATTAATATAAGTGATACATAACTAAAGTTGTAACACTTTATTTTTATATTAGCTACCACTTATAGAGCATCTACTAAATGCCAGCCTCTATACTTAGAACTTGACACGTGCTAGTTTCTCATTCACTTCTCAGCACAGCTTTAGGAGGCATATTATTTTATAGATAGGGAAAATAAGGCTGAGAGAAGGTAAGTGATTTAACAAGGACACACAGACCTGAAATGGCAATGTGGGAATCTGAAATCAGATCCTTTTGATATCAAAGGCTATGCTCTATCTGCTCTGCTATATTTAATATTCTGGTTCCGTACATACGTCAAATAACAGTTGATTAATGCAATCAGCTTTAGAATCTCTGATGGGCTTTACTTACCACCAAGTGAAGAAAAGCACCTTATAAAGAGCAACTCTAGAAATGGAATCTCATATCTGAAGATCATTATAACCTAGAAAATTGTACCTGGTTACAAACTTGGTGCCTTAAATAGGGCCAGAGTCTAACCAAACAAAAAGTTATTAGCAAGATAAACCATAACAACCAGCATATGGCAAAAATCCGTACTATAGAGGTTTATTTTCTCCATTTGGAAGATTTCATTTTACTAGACAAAGTGTATGGGATCACAAGCATTACTGTTTGCAAAATTAACAGTATAAACAGGAAAGTGTTAACAGCTCAAATTAAATACGGGAAAGCAATCCTAACATCCTAATGTAGCTAGTTTTATTTTCCCTACATTTACTCGATTCGCTAAACATTTATTCAACTGCATGTTGAACCGTCATGTTTTTAGGCTGTAAGATCTTTCACAACGAAAGATCCCAAGTAAAAGAAGTGTTTCATTTGCCTGCATAGACTCTGACCAGTAAGTTCTCCATCAATACTTCTTATGAACAGCATCATCACTATCATAACTAGGGGTTTAATAGTATCTCTTAATTGAAAAGGCCTGTTTTTTATTTTACCAAATTAACATAACTTTCTTCTTTAACTGAAAACTTACACGAGCGAGTGATCTTTTCGTTCTGTTATGTGGAACTTTGCATAAGAAATTTTTCCAAGTATATTCTACACATTTTTTAGAATGGCGTGATACTTTCCTATAGTCCTAATTCAGTTTTTTTAATATTGCTGTTTAAATGTGAAATCTTACACAACGATAATTTGTATCTTTTCAGGCACTAAACTTTCTTCTGTTATTAAATGTAACATTTAGCTGAAACATACGTAACTCCAATATCAGTAAAGAATCAAAGATTTTCAAATAAGACTAAAGGAAAACATTCAAACATAATGTTATTGTATGCTGAAAATATTTATATGTGTCAGAAAGTAAGTTCCTTTCTCCCTTAATCAAACACTCAAGAATCGGACTATAATTTATCCACTTCACTACTATTTTGTTCAATTATTACAAATTTTAATTTTTTAAAAGTTTTCCAAACAACATTAGTAATGTTATTTCTGATTTATGAGTCACTAAGACAAATGGCTAACACATAAAGAGTATTTGCATTATTAAAATTAAGTTTTCAGAGATCAATTAATAGTGCTATAAATGAGTCATTTAAAATTAACTCCCAGTCCCTGTCTTTTCCTCCGCTTTCCAGAGGAACTATTTCTGAACTGTCCCAGTGAAAAGTATTTTTGCCTGTGTTGAGCTTTGAGAGGGATGTATTTTTAGAACACCAATATTACACTATCACCCATAGGGTAGACATAAAAAAACACTGCTTTTTGCTGATGAAACTTAGTGACCCCGTCCCTTGGAGTTGGCACATTCAACTGTCTGCTGCCTACCAAGGGTCAACCCACAGTCGTGAAGTGTACCAGTAAGTGCTCCACATTCCCACTGGGGCCTTCTATCTTCCTAAGAGTGTTCTCTGACAGGGCTGTTCCCTGCCCAGTGAAACAAAGGACCAAAGATTTTCTCAAAAATGTTTAAAAATTTGACCCATGTAACGCGGACACTCCACACTCACGGAAGTGGGCAGAAGGGGGAGGGGGAAAAAAAAGGAAAGAAAAGCTTCTTCAGCCTCAGCGCGGAGCAGCTGCTCTTCCTTACCCAGACGGGACAGTCGTGGACCACCAGCTTGACATTCCCAAACGCACTGGCCTGATACTCGGTGAACACCGGACGCGCGACCGTGCTGGCCGCGTTCAGCAACAAGCTGCTCTCGTCCCCGGAGACCAGAGGGCTTCTCCCCAGGTAAGTGCGGATAAGCCCCGACGGCCGGTTGTCCTGGTGGAATGTGTCCCCCTCGTTCCCCAGCGCCACGATGTGGATGGACCTGCACGGACAGAGGGGGCGAGGGGAGAAGGGAAGCACGGTCAGCGCGCGGGTCTCTCCTCGGAACAGGAAGTGCGGGGGACAGCGCGCGGCGAGGATGGGCACCAGCCCCTGTCCCTGGGGCGCACGGCACGCGCTGGAGAGAGACAATGGCAGGACGGCGGCGCGTACGTACATGATCTCAAATCCAAGGGCAGGGCGGCGACTCGGAGAAAAGCAGCGGCTCACGGCTTCGCGGGGCCCCCGGGCGGCGAGTTCACCCGCAATCCGCTCATCCCCGGCCGCGTCCCCCTCGCGCGCCTCCACCGCGGCGGGGCCGACGCAGAGCGGGGCCGGGGCCGCGCCAGCCAGCGAGCGAGCCGGGGACCAGGGCGGGCTAGCGGGCGGGGGATAAGCTGCCGCTACTCAGGGAGTGCCCGGGAACATCGCCGGGCGCGGGACCGCCGCACAGCCCCAAGTGGACGCAGCTGACCGCAGTCCCCTCTCCGCCGCGCCTCCTCGGCTGGCAGCTGTCGCCTCCTGCTGCCGCTGCCGCTGCTCCTCCTCCTCTAAGCAGAGAAGGGGGGTCGGGGAGATCGGGGCCTCCGCCCCCTCAGCGGACCGGGCGCAGCACGTGCCAGCCCCGGGGGTCGGGCGGATGCGGGGGACGCGCTCCCCGCGGAGGCCCCGGGAGCTCCGGTGGCGGCGGCTGGACACAAAGGAGCCGCCCGCGCGGGGCGCCGCGGAATATAAATTAATAAATACAACGCCCCAGCCCGAGAGCTCCCAGCCGCCAATCCGCCTGCAGCAAGTTTGTTCAACTCGCAAGGCCGTAACCAGAGCCAGGAAAGGGGGGTGGGGCGATGGGGCCCCCGCTCACTCCGGACTGGAAAAAGGAGGTTAGGGAAGCTAGGGATTCCAGCCCGAGTGCCGCCCCAGCAACCCGATTTCCCCCCCTCTTGGCCTTGACCGAAAGTGCTTTACCACGTCTGCCGCTTTCTCATTTGTCAACATGCGCTACAGCTGTTTTCTAAAATCATACTTGTGAGAAAAAATAAAGGCAACATTCATGCTGCTGCAGAAAGAGTTCTTTGTTCACACACCAATTAATTTGCTAATGTCGCCTTGGGGGGATTATTTACTATTTCAAGCTATATTTAGCGTATTTTACCGAAAACTTCAGGATTTTAAATGCTGGGATTTTTAGTGTGATCGTTTTTAAAGGAAGTTATGTATGGGGGTTTAACGTGTTGGTAAGTTAAATGCCAGTTTACTTGGAGATTTTTCTGTACACGTTATGGCCACATATTTAATAATAGCTCCGCAGACCAACTGAAAACATAATCACGTAAATGCAAAGATACTTTAGATTCTTTCATAATAATGCACTGAAGTAAAGGCTATGAATATCCCTAACGTGCTTCAAACTACCTCGATACAAACGAACACTGGGATCCACTTACTAACACCAAAATGGGCCAGGGATTACTCTGGGGTTAGACTCCTCCATACAGTATTAAAATTCTAACCAGTACCTTACTCTGTGTTGAAAAGAGTTCTTGCTTATCCTTTTATCTGTTTATTTTTCCCTTCTGTAAAATTGGACTGTTTCTTTTCTCAGCTGAGCTATTTTGAGGGTATGAAAGAGGGGGTATTGAGTAGGGCAGTAAAAAAACTAGGGCAACAGCTTTTTATTATGGGCCCTTATTGCTCGGTTGAAAGTAGTTTAATAGTTTCTCGTGCTCAGAGAGGATATAATGGGAGATATTCTTTATGTGGTCACTGTTTTTTTTTTTAATCTAATTTCCCTTTGCATTTTCTACGATTTCTCTTTGAGTCTCTAGAACCTAAACCATCCTTAAAAATTCCAGCATGCAAGATCACTTTTTCTCTTGGGTTAATAGAAAATATATTTTCTCATCAGTCTTTTCCGGAAACCCATAAGTCAAAAACAAAGACACTAGAATGGATGAATGGATAAAGAAAATGTGGTATACACATGTAATGGATGATTAGCGTTTAAAAAAGAAGAAAATTCCTTCATAAACTACAACATGGATGAACCTTGAGGACCTTGTGCTAAGTGGAATCAGCCAGTTGCAAATCACAAAAAGTGATTCCATTTATATGAAGTATCTAAAGTAGTCAAACTCTTAGAAACAGAAAGTAGAATCATGGTTACCAGGGGCTGGGGAGAGGGGAAAAGGGGGCGTTGTTCAACAGGTATAGTGTTTCAGGTTTGCAGGAAGAAAAAGTTACAGAGATCTGTTGCATGAGGTGCATATATAGTTCGTACTATACTGAACTATAGAACTGAACGCTAGAACATTGTTAACTAAACACTAGAGCGTGTACTGAACACTAGAACATGATTAACATGGTAACTATTGTTATATTTTATGACAATATAAAAATATTAATACAAAAATGAAACAAAAATAGACACCAAAGTTGCTGACAACTTGGAAGTGTCAGAAAGGGAGAAAGTATTCATTTTTTCCTTAGTTACTCAATAGGTGAGCCAAGCCTGTGCTGGGTAGGCATAGGAGATCCCAAGGTACATAAGACTTGGTCATTGACCTTAAGAAGCTAAAGCAATTTGTTACCAGAAAGGGGTCCCAATCCTGACTCCAAAAGAGAGTTCTTGGACCTCCAGCGAAGAATTCAGGGCAAGTCCATAAAGTGAAAGCCAGTTTATTAAGAAAGTAAAGGAATAAAATAATGGCTACTCCATAGGCAGAGCAGTGTCATGGGCTGCTCGACTGAGTATACTTATAGTTATTTCTTGATTATATGCTAAACAAGGGGTGGATTATTCATGAGTTTTTCTGGAAAGGGTGGGCATTTCCCAGAACTGAGAGTTCCTCTGCTTTTTAGACCATATAGGGTAACTTCCTGACATTGCCGTGACATTTGTAGACTCATTGTGCTGGTGGAGTGTCTTTTAGCATGCTAGTGCATTATAATTAGCATATAATGAGCAGTGAGGTTGACCAGAGGTCACTGTCACCACCATCTTGGTTTTGGTGGGTTTTGGCCGGCTTCTTTACGGCATTCTGTTTTATCAGCAAGGTCTTTGTGACCTGTATCCTGTGCTGACCTCCTATCTCATCCTGTGGCTAAGAATGCCTAACCTCCTAGGAATGCAGCCCAGTAGGTTTCAGCCTTAGTGTACCCAGCCTCTACTCAAGATGGAGTCATTCTGGTTCAGACCCCTCTGACATATTAATTAGTTTGTGAATATTAGCACACTCAATCCTTTTGAAAACATTCTAGTTCCTAGACCTAGGCCTAGGCAGTCAGTAAAAGAGATAGGTACAAAGGCAGTCAGTAAAAGAGATAGGTACAAAGTAAAAGATAAGTTCAGTGAATGTTAGGAAGAGATCTGTGCTTTCTGTGTCAGAAGTTCATAAAGAAAGTAAACATTGTCTTAGGTCTTAATAGATTAAGAATTTGTTAGATTTGGAAGAAGAGGAGGTTAGAAGGGAAGGAGTATTTCAAAGAACTGGACAGACATCACATGCAAAGGTATAAAGAAATGGAAGATCATGGCTTGTCTTAGGAACAGCAAGAGATGAAGTTAGTGCTGGCATGAAGGTTTCTATATTAAAGCAGGCAGAAAAAAGAGTGGTGGAGGCTTCCCAAGAGATTTCTGGAGTCATACCTGGTGATACTTAAGCTACAAATTGAGTATCTGGTACAAAGCCTGGCTACATACTCACCAAACCTGTTTTCTCTTCCAAGATAGCTAAATGACGTTTCTCAACTTTTGTGCATATAGGTAGGGCCACATGATTAGTTCTCATCAACGGAATATGATCCCTGCTGAGCAGTAGAGAAGTGTGTCTCTCCATTCTCTTTTATCTTCCTGTCTCAACCACATGAAGTCAGGTCAACCTTGAAGCCAGGTGTTTGAAGCTATTAGCACTGCAGTGTGGAACCAGTCCTTGAATGACTAGTTACAGCAGAGCCTCCTCACAGAATGCATTGTACTGTGATTTGAGTGATAAATAGATATTCAGTGAGTTGAGCCAGACATTTTGAGGTCAATTATTACAGCAGTTAGTGTTATTTATCTTGGCTAAAAGAATATCACAGATGGTCCATTTCCTGATATCCTAAAGATCTTTTCATAATTTTCTTATGACCACTTTTTTAAAGTTATTTCCCTTGTATTTTAAATTTTTATTTGGTTTATGTATTTGCAGTTTCTCTCATCAGCACATTTAAAAAATTTTATTTTACCAGTGTTAACAGAACAGATATCACATGTCCTCCAACCTCAAGGTCACTGGGGAACACACAGGAAGGGCTTCCAACCCAAACAATATTTTTTTCCTATTTTAGTGGCTGAAATGCCACCATTTCATATTTACTCTATTAGATGTTTTTATCCCTAAATAAGATGTAGCATAAAGTACAGTAAGGACATGTAAAGTAATTCAGTGGGCTATTACTAGTCCCCAAATTGTGAATATTCATATACCAGTTTTTGAAAAACGTGTTGGTTCCTTAACAGCTGGAGAGGAAGTAAGCATTGGTGAGGGCAGGCCTAGAGATCTCGGCTTGGCAGAAGATTTTTTCCAACTATGTTTTAAGGAAAACTAGGTTTGCATAGAAGAATCTTCAAATCAGCTTGAGGAGGTGGCAGAAAAAGAGTAAGCAGTGAGATCTGAACTCTGACAAAGGCATCTTAAAGCCAATCAGAGCAGTCTTATTGCTGTCTTTTAAAAAAATATTAAAGTTTCATATTCATTTTCATTAAAAAGATGGGTTTTCTAAGGTTAAAAACAAACGCAATTTTTAAGACTACTTATCTAGAGCCAGAGTCTTCAAGGTGGGGTACAGAAGATGATCCCTGAAATTCCAGAATAAACTTCTAATCACACACATTATTTTTTACTGAAAAAAAAAAGGGGGGAAACGAAATTAAGCTTTACTACTAGTTAATGTTGGGATTGATGCTGGTACCCCAGGTTGACCAGTAAGTGGGCAGATACAAGGAGTGTTGGGGGCATGGCAGCAATAGGATACACAGTGAGGGGCAGCGGGAGGGCTGCCTCCTTTGTTCACTTTCAATATATTGCCACATGTTGCAGTTTCTGTTTCTAAGGAGACTTATGAATGATATTTAAGTAAACTACTGTTACAGCAGGAACCAAGGGAGACAGTGTTAAAAATGCAAGCACAAGCAAAAACCCCCAGCCAAGCTGATGTTTCTGATACTCTTTGGGAGCCACATTGCAAGGTAAAAAACCGACGACTAATCAGATTTGCCAAGAAGTTGACCAAAATAATGGATTATAAAGAACACTGTTTTAAGTATGAATTTACAACCATTCTTGCTAACATTGATTTCACCCTAAGTGCATATTATAGTTAATAGACAATGATATTCTGAACTGATTACAATTAGCTAGCAACTTAAAAACTAAACACCAAAGTATTGAAGGCGAATTCAATAAAGTTTCTAGCATGTTTAAGTAGTGTACTATATACAAGTCAATACTTCCAAGAAAAGTCACCAAGAATAAATGCTACAAAGTCTCTTCTGAGCTGTCTTAAAAATGAAAGTCAAAAAGCAACACACTCTTAGTTTTCTTCTTGCCAAGATAAAAATATCTAAAATAATACATAGAACGCAAATGGAAAAAAACAACTGCATTCCTTTGTTAGCAAATACCTTGAGAATATTCACATGAAGTTTTGCTAAAATTCCAGTCATAAGTATTTGAACAAGTTAAACAATGTGGGAAGTTTACTATAAGGTTAAACTGAAAGCACAGATGTTTTTAATATGTTCCACTTTATGGTATTTGAGAAATTCTGTTTCAGTGTAGTATTTACTACATTGTGTTCCAATAAATGAAATACATTTTGAAATAACTTTTTTGTGATCCACTAAAGAAAAGCTGTAGTAGAGAAGACATATTTTCTCTTCTACATCTTTTGACAATACTGTAAACAATAATTGACTGTTTAAAAATAAAAACTGTGTTTTATGCAAAACTTCTTTACATGTAACCACTGATGGATTAGTTGTTTTGACTAAACATTCAAAAAAAAAAAAAAGAAGAATTCCAAGCTAACATTACAATGAGAGCAACCACATGAAATTCATTCACAGCCTATCTCCTATGCAATTTATTCTAACAAAGAAGTTGGAGGCAGAATACACAGCACTGTAAGAGGTTATACAAGTAGTAAATTTTGTGGAAACAAGAATTTTATAGCAGCTTGAAAAAGTTTTTGTTGTGCAATACAACACACAAAAAAAGTGCAGAAAAGTTATGCAGATGATTTAATAAATAATTATAAAATAAACATTCCTAAAATCTCTCAGGTCAAAAATGAGAACATTCTCAGGGCTCACGCAAAGGCGTGCGCTTGTGTGTGTGCACACATGACGCCCCTCTTCAGCTACAGCCCTCTTCCTCTTTCCCTCAGAGATAATGAGCCTGGCTTTTGTAATGATTATTCATTTTTCATTAGATTTTTACAACCTCTATGTGCATTCCTAAACAGATCTTTTGGTTTTGCTTCCTTTTGAACTCTTTCTAAGTGGGATCACACTGTAGGTATTTGTGCCTTGATTCTTTTATTCATCATCATTTGTAAGATTCAATGGTGTTGATGTAGCTGTGGTTTGTTTTTCTCCTTTTCATTGCTGAATAGCATCCAATGAAAATATATGCCACCATTTATTTATCCATCCCATTGTAGATACACTCGTGGGCTATTCCCAGGTTTTTGCCTATTATAAACAAAGCTGCTAGGATCACTTTTGCTTCAAAATGTAGTATATTTGTGGGTGTGCTAGGTCACATGGCATGTGTATGTCCAGGGTTCTACACATAATTTTTTTTTTTTTAAGACATGGGGTCTCACTTTTTTGACTAGGCTAGACTCAATTGATTCTCTCACCTCAGCCTCCCAAGTAGCTGGGACTACAGGTGCATGCCACCATGCCCAGCTCCATAATTCTTTATATACTTAAGTATACTTACCATGTACCAGGCATTACATTAAGTGCTTTGCAAATTTTGACTCATTTAATTCTCACAGCCACCCTATGGAGTAGGTTCTATTATTATCCTAATTTACTGGAGAGAAAATGGGGCACAAAGAGGTTAAGAAACTTGGCCACCTGAAAAAAGAGGCAAGAAACTTGTGGATTACCTGTGGTCAGGCGTTCGAAACCAGCCTGGCCAACATGTTGAAACCCCGTCTCTACTAAAAATACAAAAATTAGCCGGGCGTGGTGGTGGGAGCTTGTAATCCCAGCTACCCAAGTAGGGAGTAGAGGAGCTGGGATTCCAATTCAGACAATTGGCCCCAGGGTCTGTGCCCTTACCCAGTGTTTGAAACTAACTCCTTCATTATGTAATGTTTGTGATTGAAAACAATGCATGTAACCTACAAAAACTCTTCTATCTTATAGAATTTTCTAACTCCCCAAACATTTTCCAAATATAATTTCAGTCAGTTCTGAAACTATGTGTTAAACATGTAAAAATGTATTACACTTCTGATTAGTTTCAGAAACAGATGAGTAACATTTTGCAAGCGGGAAATATATTCATCAAATATCAACAAAAACCTTTGCATAATGGGACTGAAAAATGAGAGTCATGAAGCAGCTCTTCATTAAATTCCACATATCTTTTTAAGTTCTTTTCAGAGAGCCTTTAAATAAACTAATCATAAAACCAGATAACTGTATTGCTGTGTCATGAAGTATAAACCAAGATTTTAAAATGAGACATATTCAATTATCCTTCTCCCTGTAAAGCTTTATTCACAATAACTTTTGAGAGGAAAATTTCATAATGTATGTATCGTTATCAAATGACGTATCACCATTAATACATTAAACTATGATTGATTTGATCTTTATCTCATCTATTAAAAATTTTCTGTTTGTGTTTTATTGTATTCTTAGTAACATATGCATGTAATTTATAGCCCTTGGGAGTGTGCTCACATTTTTTCCTGATGGGGTGCTCGGTCAAAAAAGTTCAGAGACTCCTGGCTGGTGCTTTGGGCTGTGCTCTGGAGGACAAGCTTAGAGACAGCACAGTGAAGCTGGGACTGCCAGGATGCAGAACACAGCACTGGGGCTGGCTACTGTGGTAAGGGAGGCTGCGAGACAGGAAGTAAAGGAGAGATAGGGAAAAGCAACACAGATAAGCTGCAGACTCACTTGCCTAGAAATCAGCTCTGTGAAAAATGTATTTGTATTGTTTTAACTAATCTAATGGGAGATAAAGTGTGCAAATTTACACAAAATTTATAAAATTCAAGATTAGCTTTTTAAAAAAACAAACAAACAAACAAAAAACAACAAGAGTTTGCACGTACTTCATGAGAGTAACTAAGCAAAGTCATTCACCAAAGCCAATAACCATTTAGTCAGTCTTCAGCAAAGCTGACTTTACTCATTTTATTCCCTGGGTCATTCTTCCCAGAGAAGGAGACTACAGTCTTCTTCTAAATTGTCAATTTCTTTTAAATTGCAAGGCTGTAATCTCAGTTGTGTTTGCAGAAGTCCAAGTGAGAATCTAGAGTAAGCTTGTCCAACCTGTGGCCTAAGGGCCGCATGTGGCCCAGGATGGCTTTGAATGTGGCCCAACACAAATTTTTGAACTTTCTTAAAACATTATGAGATTTTTATTTTTTTGCTATCTTTTTTTTTTTAAGTTCATCAGCTATCGTTGGTGTTAGTGTAGTTTATGTGTGGCCCAAGACAATTCTTTTTCTTCCAGTGTGGCCCAGGGAAGCCCTGATCTAGAATGTTATGTACATGTGAAATCCAGCTATCCTAAACTCTTTCAGAAAATGTCTATGTTTGTTTCTTTGTTTGAATTTCTGTTATCCACCCACCTCTATCATTGTGCTCAGTGATGTTTTTAAAACAACTGTTTGGTTTTACAGTTAAAATATTACTTAAAAATAGCAGAACATATGTTTCTTTGAATCAGAACTCCCTGTTTCTACTAGTATTTTTCGAAGGGTTGAACTCCAAAGAAATCTGGTAATCTGGCCTTTAATATGCCTGCTCTGTTATTTAGCTCTTGAAAAGCGATAAGACTCTTTTAGGCTGGGCGCAGTGGCTCACGCCTATAATCCCAGCACTTTGGGAAGCCGAGGTGGGAGGATCAACAGGAGTTCAAGACCAGCCTGGCCAACAAGGTGAAACCCTGCCTCTACTAAAAATACAAAAATTAGCCGGGCATGGTGGCGGGAGCCTGTAGTCCCAGCTACTTGGGAGGCTGAGGCAGGAGAATTGCTTGAACCCAGGAGGCGGAGGTTGCGTGAGCCGAGGTCACGCCACTGAACTGCAGCCCAGGTGACAGAGCGAGACTCCATCTCAAAAAAAAAACCTCTTTTACATTATAAAATACCACCCCCAGGGATGTATATAAATAAATACAAGTATTATTATCAAGCACCATTGATTGTGTATTATGCAGTTATGCATAATTTTTTGGAAGTTTTCCATTTGTAATCATACAGAAATACAGTATGTTAGAGTTAAGTGGTATAATACTTTGCTGGTATATCTTCTTTCCAACAAACTCTAATATATTAAAAAATAGATTTTGTTCAGTATTGCTATAATTTGGCTCATGTTTTAACTGTACTAAAAGCCTTCCCCATCTCCTGCACTCCCTTTGCTTGCTGTGTTGTTTACATGCATCTCTGCTATGGCCATCCATTGGGTACTATCCCAGCTGGCACGTTTTACAAATATGCTTAGAAATGTTCTCCTTTTTTATTCAGAAGCTATCACAGATCATTTCCCCTGACCTCATCTGCCCTCACACAATACATTTGGTCCTCATTTTTCTCAACTTGTTTATAACTTTTCACTTCTCACTCTATAATCCTGTCTACAGTTAAAAATGATTTTACAGTTAATAGTAATCAAAATTTTCTTAGAGATTTTTCCTTTTTTGAGAAAAGCCCTGCTAATGCCATTATATATTAGGTTGGCAGTTCTACCCCTCATGAATAGTCCTTTTGGCATTCTAATAGATCACCTAGCTGAAACATTTAACAATTTTGGCTTATCTTACAGACATTTTTTCACTTTCTGTTTTTTTCCTGCTGATTACTCTCTCCTGAGATTCCCTTGGACACATTCTTACTTATTCTGATCTTCATGTTCCTTTTTTTTTTTTTTTAATGCTCTCAGTAGAATCAGATATTCCTCTTTAGAGCTCCTTAAATATTTAAAATATTAAGCTGGGACCTCAGTAATATCTCTGATTGATATTCTCTCCTCTTTTACCTTCAAATTAAAACATATGCATTTGTGTAATCATTACCATCTTTCCAGCTATACTACTAGTTTCTTTCCCCTGGCTATATTTAGCCAGATCCAAACCCCCTGCCCAGTCAGTAACTGTCACAACTCCGACAAGGCCCATTCTGTTTCTGCTAATGAAGGAGTGTTTTCAATGTTCATCTTCAGCATGTTCTTGTGTTACCAGCTCCCTCCAGTTCTAGGACCTGGGTAGGACAAGGACACTCTCCATCTACATTAAAAGACACTTAGACCTTTCTCAGTGATGTGATAAGTACGGACAGCCAAGCAAAGATCCTTCTGGACTAATTTCAGTGGCAAGCAGAGCTTTTCAAACTTCTCCACTAAGTTAGAGATACCTGAAAAAAGCCTCCACTATTCCCATCCCTAAAATCTCATTCAGGCTGCAACGTAAATAGTGCAGTGCAAGCCCAGATTTCTTCAAAATCTTGCCAAGGTTTTTTGCCTTTAAGTCATAGTGTATCCTTATTGATTTAATATAAAAATAAGGATTAATTACCACCGGGTAAAATTAAGGGATGTGTCATGTTTAGACTGTGACTTTTCTTTTATATACTTTGGTTTACCACCATAGAAACTGACAAATCATAAGAAGAACCCATTAAATTCTAAAGAGCCAGAAAATCCTTTTCTTCGGTAAAATATGGCAACAAATGACATTTTGTTGAACAAGTTAGTGCACAGTTCTTTTTGTAGGTGAACAGAAACAAAAGAATAATCAGTCGTTACTAGAATGCTTGTCATATTGGCAAAAATCTGTTTTTACTGATTATTATGTCTAACTCTTCAGAATCATGGGAAAAGTCTACGAGTCTATCTATGAACAAAAAGAATGAGACACTCAGAAATGTGAAGCCCTGGTATAACATAAGAAGCAGTGACGTATAATGTAATACAAACAAAACAGACCAAAAAAAAAAAGCAGAGTTTACTTTGCTTCATTTTGTTTCAGCACAAGCATTGTAGTACTCATTAGCTTTAGCCTTGAAATGGAACAGTCTGTTACTAGGCCACCACCCACAAACAGGCACAAATTGTACACTATTAGTAACTCTCCATGCTAGACTCTAGAATTAGGAGACATTTTCAACCAGTGCATTTTATTAACTCACTATGATCTAATATAAATTCCTCAGTCCTTTTGCATTAACTATGATTACAACAACGTTTTGCTAATGATCCCCATCATAATCTCAAATATTTTTATTGCAGGAAGTGAATTGATCTAAATAGAGTCACTATTCTAAACAACTGAGCTAGAAATGTCATGGGGAGAGGCCAGCTGGGCTGCTCAGGCTGGCCTCAGGATGACATTGCCTCTTAAGTCACATTATCCAAGGCTCATTCTTCAGTTTTGCAAGTCCAGAAACTTTATTTTGTCAAGGTGCCCAGGGTTGATCACACTCAGGGGACTAGGTTTGTCTCAATCCAATGCACAAGAGGCCAATGTGTAAACTAGAATACTAATTTGCTCATTTGTAATGAGACTCTCGACTATTAAAGGGGTAGAAACTTATAATAGGTAGCAAACACTGTCTTCCCTTATAGGAAAGTCTACATGGGAAGCCCATTATTATCTTTTCAGTTCAACAGACATTTTTTAAGCACCTGGAGTACAGGTCATTTTGATCCCAAGGATGTTTTGTGTCTATAAACACTTTTATTAGAACTATACCAACACCGAGTTATCACAGAGAGATATCATTTCCAGAGCAAACTGCATTAAGCCAATTTATGCCTTGACCAATTTTCTAAAATTTTCTCTTCTGATTGGCAGGTTCAGCCATTTAGGAAAGATTGGTGACCTATCTGCATGATGGCATTAACTACAAGGATCATCGAAGAGCCACAGTCACAAAGCCAGTCTCTGAATATGGTTCAAAGAAATCTTATAACTCTCTGAACAGGTATGCAAATAATTGCATGTAATGTATATATGTTTTTTACTATTAGATTCTCATATCAAGTAGTGATGTAAAAACTTGGAATCTCCAGAGCTAGACCAATACTGCTCACTACCCAGTATCAGGGTATTACTAAAATGAATTCTTGAAAATTTTAGAGCCAGTTTAACCTAACTTGCCCCATTCCCTGATATCCTTATTACAGGCCCAGCTGTAACTTATCTTGGCCATCTAGGTTTACCCATCTAGGTTTACCCATGCTTTGCTTCCTGCGGAATCTTTCTAGTTCACCTTCTGGAATTCCAATCTGGGTAGAGAGGGAGAGTCAGTTAATTACTCTTTCATCCTCCTGAAGCACTTCTGTTCTTCTGAGATTCAAGGAAGACATTTACTATACTCCCGTCTGTCTCTCTCCAGTTGCTGTCATTTAGCAACCTCCCAGTCAACCACCTAACCTCATTCCGGAACCTCAACACACACATTGTTCATTAAATGCTCAGTATCTAGCCTCTGTCTTTCTCTCGACCCCAGATATGTCCATGTTCTCTATGATCTCAATGTCTTCATGAACTCCTCAACATCTCAGCCCCTTTTTCCATGATGACCTTCACCTCCCCTCCACTTTATACCTCCTTACCATGGGCAAATCCTAGATAATATCACTGCCTACAACAGCTCCACATCTAAAACAACACATTCAGTTATCCAACAACTTGGACAAGCAGCCTTCTACCCTGTTTCCATCATCCAGTTGTTCCCTGCTTGTGCTCTCCTGGGACCTCCTAACTCTTGATCCTCCTGCTTTCTCCCTCTCTGCTAGACCTCTTCTGTCTTCGTTTTCTTCCCTATCCAACTGAGATTTCATGCTGCATCTCTTGTCTGTTCTCATAGCCCCATTCTATTGCTTTTCAGTCTAAAACCCCAACCCTGGATCAACCTTAGTGTGTGATTTTTCGATTCCCATATCTGGGTTGTAAAATATTGCTGTAGAAAATCTCAAAATAGTGCATATTGATGGCACTATAAATTCATGGCCTCCAACTTCAATTGAGCATTTGGTATTGCCTGGCTCTCCAAAGTGGTTCCAGTCTTCTCACTTACCCCTGTCTCTAACTTGGATATCTCTTCCCTCAGTCTCATGTTTTCTGTCAGAGAAAACGGAGGCATCAGCTGGGGAACTTCCCTCAGCTTCCCACAATTAGCTAACAAATTTGCATGTAGCCACATCCGTTCTTTACTTTTTCCTCCAGTCAAAATTCAATAAGAATGCCTTATCTGATTTCAGGCTGATCCCTCTGATAGTGCCTTGTGTAGACCTTTTAACTTGCAGGGACTGTACTGCATCTACTTCCCCTTTCTTCTCCCCTGTCTTCAACTCTTATCTCTCTACTGCTCTTGCTGTTAGCATTTAAACATATGCAAGTCTCTAGCTATTATTCTTTCTTCCCCATACGGCTAGAAGCAACTTTTTTTAAAAGAAAAAAAAAGAGGGAAAGTATCTTTTAGTTCAGGTTTATTTAACTTTTTCACTTGTTAAGACTTGTATAATGGTCCATAACATACTTTCTAGTGTTTAAAGCTAACTGGTTTTAAATGCTACAAAATTGCTCACCTGGAAAATTATTTACCACTTACCATTCAAATATTTTATAAGTTCTTAGTTGCTCAGCATTGTTTTCTTCTTTAAACTTTTAAATTACAAAATATACAAAAGGCATAAAACATAAATGTATAGTTTAATGAATAACTATAAACCAAATACCTGCTTAACTGTCATTTAGATCAAGGAAATAACCCCATCCTATATGTCCCTTCTAAATCAATCTTCTCACCCTTCTAGAGACAACCACCATCCTGAATTTTATTATAATGATTCCTCACCTTTTCTTTTAACCCTTTGTTTGTCCCTCCAGGCCCGTTCTTCCTCTTCTCCATCCTGCTCCATCCACTGGGAAGCTAGCTTGTATATCGACAGATTCCTTTGGCCTCTGGCTTCTAGTTAGGTTTAGTCAATGCAGAGATCAGAGGCAGCAGAATGAGACAGGATATTTTCTTCCCCTGGCTCCTCCCCTTCAGAGTCTCCTTTGTCACCAACTGTATTAGCTGAGTTATCTGGAGTAATAGAACCAACATGATGTGTGTATATATATGTGTGTGTGTAGTGTGTGTGTATATACAAACATATACATACATGTATATAATGTAAATAGATACGTGTGTGTGTACCCACACACATATGCACACATATACACACACATATCTATATATTGAGAGAGAGACAGAGAGAGATTTATTTTAAGGAATTGGCTCATGCAATTGTGGAGACTCAAATAAATCCACAGTCTACAGGATAGGCTGGCAGGCTGGAGACCTAGGGAAAAGTTGCAGTTTGAGTTCAAAGGCAGTCTGCTGGCTGAAATCCTTCTTGGTTGAGGGAGGACAATCTTTATTCTGTTAAGGCCTTCGGCTGATTTGATGAGTCCCATCCACATTACGGAGGGTAATCTGCTTTATTCAAAGTCCAGCAATTTAAATGTTAATCTCATTCAAAAAATACCTTCACAGAAGCAACCGAATATATGGACCCCATGACCCAGCTGTATTAGTCTGTTCTCATGCTGCTAATAAAGACATACCTGAGACTGCATAATTTATAAAGGGAAGAGGTTTAATGGACTCACAATCATGGCAGAAGGTGAAGGAGCAAAGGCATGTCTTACATGGTGGCAGGTAAGAGAACATGTGCAGGAGAATTGCCCTTTATAAAACCATCAGATCTCATGAGACTTATTCACTATCATGAGAACAGCATGGGAAAATCTCACCCCCATGATTCAGTTACCTCCCACTGGGTCCCTCTCATGACACGTGGGGATTATGGGAGCTGCAATTCGAGATGAAATTTTCTTGGGGACATAGCCAAATCATATCATTCCACCCCTGGCACCTCCCAAATCTCATGTCCCCACATTTCAACGCCAATCATGCCTTCCCAACAGTTCCCCAAAGCCTTAACTCATTTTAGCATTAACTCAAAAGTCCACCAGTCCAAAGTCTCATCTGAGATAAGGCAAGTACCTTCCACCTAGGAGCCTGTAAAATCAAAAGCAAGTTAGTTACTTTCTAGATACAATGGGGGTACAGACATTGGGTAAATATACTATTTCAAATGGGAGAAATTGGCCAAAATGAAGGGGCTACAGGCCCCATGCAAGTCCTAAATCCAGTGGTGCAGTCAAATCTTAAAAGTCTAAAATCATCTCTTTTGACTCCATGTCTCACATGCAGGTCACACTGATGCAAGAGGTGGGCTCCCATGGCATTGGGCAGCTCTGCCCATGTGGCTTTGCAGGGTGTAACCCCCACTCCTGGCTGCTTTCATGGGCTGGCGTTGAGCGTCTGTGGCTTTTCTAGGTGCACGGAGCAAGCTGTCGGTGGATCTACCATTCTGGGGTTTGGAGGATGGCAGCCCTCTTCTCACACCTCCACTAGGCAATGCCCCAGTGGGGTCTCTGTGTGGGGGCTCCCACCCCATATTTCCCTCTGTTACTCTCTATCCTCTCTACTCTCCATCCTCACCAAAGTAACCATCCTGTTGTTTTCACACTTTTGTATTTTTGCCAGTTCTGGTGGACAGTGAGTCATAGTGATTTTCATTTGCATTTCCTTGACAACAATAAGATTGGCTTTATTAGTCATTTGGATTTGTCTTTTTATGTGGTATCTGTTGAAATCTTTTGTCCGTATTTTACATTGAGTGGTTTTTGTTCTTGATCTGAACAAATTCTTTCTGTATTCTAGATTTTAGTTTTTGTTAGCTATATCTGTTACATATGGCTTCTCATTCTGTAGTTAATCTTTTAGTTTCTTTGTTTTGCTGAACTGAAGTTCTTTAGTTTAATGAAATCAAATTTATCAATATTTTCCTTTATAAGTAGGACTTTTTCTGTCTTGTTAAAGAAATTCTTCCCTACCCTGAGATCATAAAATTTTTTCTATATTATTTTTAGTAGTGTTATATTTTGCCTCTCACATGTAGGTATTTAATCTACCTGCAAGTAATTTTTATACATAACACAAAACAGGAAAACAATTTTCTTTTTCTCCACATGGATATTCTATTGTTTGAATTTCATTTTTTGAAAAGAGTTTCCTTTCCCTGTTGCTCTGCAGTGTCATCTACTTCATGTGTTAAGTGTCTGTGCTTTTCTATTCGTCTACTTGGTTATCCTGTCAATACTATGCTGCCTTAATTATTTCACCTTTGAAAAATATGTCTTGTCTTGGCCCTTTGCAATCTTACATAATTTTTTTTTTTTTTTTTGAGATGGAATCTCTCTCTGTCCCCAGGCTGGAGTGCAGTGGCATGATCTCAGCTCACTGTCACCTCTGCCTCCCGGGTTCATGCCATTCTCCTGCCTCAGCCTCCCGAATAGCTGGGACTACAGGCATGCACCACCACGCCCAGCTAATTTTTGTATTTTCAGTAGAGATGGGGTTTCACCATGTTGGCCAGGGTGGTCTTGATCTCCTGACCTCGTGAACTGCCCGCCTTGGCCTCCCAAAGTGCTGGGATTACAGGTATTAGCCACCACACCCGGCCACAATCTTACATAAATTTTATAATCAGACTGTCAAGTTACACAAAGAAAAGAAGTTAAGATTTTAATTGGGATTGCATTAAGTCTATGAATTAATATGGGATTCAGTTTTCCAATTTATGAACATAGTATATATCTCTTCACTTATTTAAGTCTTCTTTAATGTTCTTCAATAATGTTTTATTCCTACATACTGGATATTTTTAGATGTTATTATAAAGGGAATATGAAGGGAATCCATTTCCTATTTCATCATCTACCTCTTTCTTATTGGTGTATAAAAATACAGTGATTTTTTTTTTTTTTTTTGAAATTGATTTGCCCTCATAACTCTGCTAAGTCCCATTATTAATTCTAATAATTAAGACAAACTTCCTCAAAGTTTGTTAAAAATGATTCTCTCTTTCTTAAATGCCATTCATTTCTCAACTCACTACAAACAAATTTTCTTCCTCCACCACTCCGGTCACACTGCTGTTTCAAGGTCACCAACAGCCTTCAAATTGCCCAATCCGAAGGACACTCCTTAGCTTTCTCAAGAGCTTGCAGACCTTTCCCCCTTTTTGAAATGCCATCTTTTTTTCCTTCTATTGCAAAACACTTTTGTTTTTTCAACTTCTCTGCTACAGGATTACTTGTTCAGTCAGTCTCCTACATGTTGATGTTTCTTCGGGTTCTGTCCTAGACTCTTTTCTCTCCTCTTGCTATACATTGTTCCTCCTGGAGCCCTTTCATCTGCTCTCATGGCTTCAGTGATTGCTCCTACATTGATGACTCTCAGATTTCAAATTATCAGATCCCATATTACTCTCTTGAGCCTCGAGCCTGTATATCCAATTGCCTAGTCATCCCCAGTTGATCCTTCCCCAGCAAGCTTAATAATAAAAATTAGCTAACTTTGTCTAAAAATAATATATTTATGCAAACTCAGCATGTATGGAATTTATATTACCCAAGGCAAATATAAAAGAAAAATAAAATAGAGATATAAAAAATTAGGGAAAAGGGATAAAATCATCATTTTCAGATGATATGATTGTATGCCTGGAAGTCCCAAGAGACTTTAAAGTCAAAATATTAAACAAATATTAATAAAGGTATACTTTGCATACAAAATTATATATATATATGCACATGTGTATTTGTGTGCATATAAAACAATAAATATTGTTGAAGGTTTGGATAATGTATTCAGAGTTTCTGTTTAGAAGATAAGATTGAGAAGAGGAGAAATTGTCCTCTTTTCTAGTTACTGAAGAAAAAAAAACATTGGAATTTAAGAATTTACTTAAATGATGAAAGGAATGAGAAGGGAGAGAAACAACTTAATTTACCTGTCTGATGTAAAGGAGATCTACCTTAGATTATCTACTGGTGTGTTAGTCTCTTCTCACACACTATAAAGACATACCTGCGACTAGGTAATTTATAAAGAAAAGAGATTTAATGGCTCACAATTCTGCAGGCTGTACAGGATTCTGCTTCTGGGGAGGCCTCAGGAAATTTCCAATCATGGCAGAAGGTGAAAAGGAAGGAGGCACGTCTCCACCCATTTGTGGCTGGAGCAGGAGGAAGGGAGGGAAGGGGGAGGTGCTACACACTTTTAACCAACCAGATCTCCTGAGAACTCACTCACTGTCACAAGATCAGCAAGGGGGAAATCCACCGCCATGATCCAATCACCTCCCACCGGGCCCCTCCTCCAACACTGGGAATTACAATTCGACATGAGATTTGGGTGGGGACACAAATCCAAACCATATCAACTGGGCAGTTCCTCTAGGAAGTAAGTGAATCCACTCCTTATTCAGGAAGACTTCATAGCTTGATGGACTCAAGTGGGCCATTAAAGGATCTGTTACAAACCAGTCTAAAAAAAGGTCTGGGACATGGGTTTTTGTTTTTGCTGGGAGTGGGAGAATCAACAGGAAAACCAACTAAAACAAATTGAAAAATTAAGTAAATTGTCTGGGAACAAATGTATGCATGCATAATCTATATATGTAAACAACACCCACTTGCAAACTTAATAGGAGAATATATTTCACTTACAGTAATAACAAAAAGGATAAAATCTCTTGGAATGCAGCTAACAGGAAATGCATGAGATCTATATGAAGAAAACTTTAAACATTGATAAAAAAAGCAATTAAAAAAACTGAACATGGAAAAGGCATTCCCTGTTTGTTCTAGTTACTATTAAGATAACAAATAAAATTATCCTAAAGTTTAGGGGCTTAAAACAGCCATTTCATTTTACTGACAAATTCTGTGGGTCAGAGGTTAGACAGAACACAATAGGAATGGCTTTTATCGGCTCCATGATGTCTGGGGCCTCAGGTGGGAAAACTCAAATGACTTGTGGTGATTCAACATCTTCAAGTGGCCCAGTGACTCAGGCTGGAATCATCCTGAGGCACCTTCACTTTCTTGTCTGACAGTTGATGCTTGCGGTTGGCTAGGACTTCAGCTGGGGCTGATAACCAGATGCCCTACACACACCCTGCCCTTGCATTCCTCACAGCATAGAGGCCTCAGGGTAGTTGGACATCTTACATGGTGGCTCAGGGGGTACAGAAGTGAGTGTGCCAGTGAACAAGGAGAAAGTTGCATCACTTTTTACAACCTAGTCTTAGAATTCACACAGTGTCACTTCAGCTGCATTCTACCAGTTACAACTCAGAGACAAGATGGCTCAGGTTAAAGGGGCGAGGACATAGACCCCATTTCTTAATGAGAGGAGTATCAAGGCCACATTGTGGGATAGGAAATATTGTTGCAGCATCTTTGGAAAACGTAATCTGACATGCATGTTCTTGGATGAAACAGCTTGCCATCATTTGAATCTCAATTTTTTATTAGTTAATATATAAATCTTATGTGAATGTCCCCACGCCCAACTTACATGTAATTGTTGTCCAGTACTTTAGCATTCTTTTTTTTAACTGTAAAACTTAGTCATTTATGGAGTCCCGGCCTTGCAAGGGTTGGAGCCCCCTCCAGTGCATGCTGAAAAATTTTTCTCTTGGTTTCTCAGAGGATTATGGAGTCCGCCTTAAGAAAGGCAAGCTCCGGACACTCTGTAAAGTAGAATGGCCCAAGTTTGGAGTTGGGTGGCCCTCTGAAGGGTCATTGAATCCTACAATTGTTCAAGCCGTGTGGCGGGTTGTTACCCAAGCTCCCGGCTATCCTAATCAGGTTCCCTGTAAAAATCAATGGTTAAGTTTGGTCAGGAATCCTCCTCCATGGCTCCGTTCATGCGCCATTCACAATTCCACCTCCAAAGTCCTCCTGAGCCAGGCCGCGTTTTCGCCTCAACCCTCTGCCGGTTCGGCTCCCCCTGTACTGCCTCCCTCTGAAGAAGAGGAGAGTCTCCCTCACCCAGTCCCACCGCCTTACAACCAACTTGCTCCCTTAGGGTCGTCCCATATCTCCTTGACGACGTCCCCTGTGGGCTCGCCACCCATTGCCTCTCGACTGCGGCCGCGGCGGGAGGAAGCAGCCCCTCTACTACCACTGAGAGAGGCACAAGTCCCTCCGGGTGATGAGCGCTCAGCCCCCTTCTTGGTTTATGTCCCTTTTTCTACTTCTGACTTGTATAATTGGAAAACCCAAAATCCTGCCTTCTCTGAAAAGCCCCAGGCTTTGACCTCACTGTTGGAGTCCATACTCCAGACCCATCGGCCCACCTGGGATGACTGCCAACCGCTCCTTTTAACTCTCTTTACCTCTGAGGAGAGGGAGCGTATCTGGAGAGAGGCCAGAAAGCACTTCCTTGCATCAGCCAATAGACCGGAGGAGGAAGCTAGAGACCTCCTTGAGAAGGTCTTTTCCTCTACCCGGCCTAACTGGGACCCAAATTCCTCAAGTGGAACGAGAACTTTGGACGATTTTCACTGGTATCTCCTCACGGGTATTAAGGGAGCCGCTCGGAAACCCATAAACTTGTCTAAGGCGACTGAAGTCATCCAGGGGCCCGATGAGTCACCAGGAGCGTTTTTAGAGCACCTCCGGGAGGCTTATCGGATTTACACCCCTTTTGACCCGGCGGCCCCCGAAAATAGCCGTGCTCTTAATTTGGCATTTGTGGCTCAGGCAGCCCCAGATATTAAAAGAAAACTCCAAAAACTGGAGGGATTTGCTGGAATGAATATCAGTCAGCTTTTAGAAATAGCCCAAAAGGTTTTTGACAACCAAGAGTTTGAAAAACAAAAACAAGCAACACAGGCAGCTGAAAAGGCTGCTGATAAAGCATTCAAAGGACAAACAAAAATCTTAGTGGCGGCTATCCAAGAGGTACAGAATGAAATGGCCCGTTAATTTGGACAGACACAGAAGAACAGGCTTTTCGAAACCTGAAAAAGGCATTAACTGAAGCCTCTGCTTTAGCCCTCCCTAATATCTCAAAGCCGTTTCACCTGTTTGTCCATGAAAGCCAGGGAGTTGCTAAAGGGGTGCTTACTCAGACTTTAGGACCCTGGAGACGCCCAGTGGCCTATTTATCTAAGAGACTGGATCCCGTGGCCTCTGGATGGCCAAGTTGCCTGCGAGCAGTAGCAGCTACAGCAAGCCTAGTCCAAGAGGCTGATAAGTTAACTCTGGGCCAAAATTTAACCCTTACAACTCCTCATGCCATAGAGACTTTACTTCAAAGTGCTTCTGGCAAATGGATGTCAAATGCTCGCATCCTGCAGTATCAGTTTACTGTTAGATCAGCCTCGTTTGACTTTCTCTCCCACATGGTGTTTGAATCCAGCTACTATCCATGACTGTCAGGAACTGTTAGAAACTACCGAAACTGGCCCACCCAATCTTCAAGATATGCCCCTAGAGAAGGTGGACGCCACTGTGTTCACAGACAGTAGCAGCTTTCTCGAGCAGGGAGTATGAAAGGCCGGTGCAGCTGTTACCATGGAGACAGATGTGCCGTGGGCTCAGGCTTTACAAGCAAACACCTCAGCGCAAAAAGCTGAATTGATGGCCCTCACTCAGGCTCTCCGATGGGGTAAGGATAAACGTATTAACGTTTACACTGACAGCAGGTACACCTTTGCTACTGTGCATGTACATGGAGCCATCTACCAGGAGCGCAGGCTACTCACCTCAGCAGGAAAGGCTATCAAAAACAAAGAAGAATCCCCCATCTTCAAAGCCTAACAGATCAAGCAGCTCTCCAGTGCACAACCTGCGCCCAGGTAAATGCCAAGCAAGGTCCTAAACCCAGCCCAGGCCACTGTCTCCGAAAAAACTTGCCAGAAGAAAAGTGTGAAATTGACTTTACAGAAGTAAAACCACACCGGGCTGGGTACAAATACCTTCTAGTACTAGTAGACACCTTCTCTGGATGGACTGAAGCATTTGCTACCAAAAACGAAACTGCCAATACGGTAGTTAAGTTCTTATTTAATGAAATCATCCCTTGATACGGGCTGCCTGCTGCCATAGGGTCTGATAATGGACCTGCCTTCACCTCGTCCATAGCTCGGTGGGTCAGTAAGACGTTAAACATTCAGTGGAAGTTCCATTGTGCCTATTGACCCCAGAGCTCTGGGCAGGTAGAATGCATGAACTGCACCCTAAAAAACACTTTTACAAAATTAATTTTAAAAACCGGTGAAAATTGGGTGAGTCTCCTTCCTTTAGCCCTACTTAAGAGTAAGGTGCACCCCTTATCAGGCTGGGTCATCGCCTTTTGAAATTATGTATGGGCAGGCGCCACCTATCTTGCCTAAGCTAAGAGATGCCCATTTGGCAGAAATATCACAAGCTAATTTATTGCAGTGCCTACAGTCTCTCCAAGAGGTACAAGATATTATTCTGCCACTTGTTCGAGGAGCCCATCCCAATCCAATTCCTGAACAGATGGGGCCCTGCCATTCATTCCAGCCAGGAGACCTAGTGTTTATTAAAAAGTTCCAGAGAGAAGGACTCACTCCTGCTTGGAAGGGACCTCACACCGTCATCCTCACGATGCCAACGGCTCTGAAGGCGGATTGAATTCCTGCTTGGATTCATCACTCCCACATCAAAAAGGCCAACAGAGCCCAACTAGAAACATGGGTCCCCAAGGCTGGATCAGGCCCCTTAAAACTGCGCCTAAGTCGGGTGAAACTGTTAGATTAATTCTTTTTATTTACTTCTCTTGTTTGTTTTCACCTATTATGTCCTCCGTGCCTTCCTACTCCTTCCTCCTCACCTCTTTCACAACAGGACGTGTATTCGTCAACACTACTTGGAGGGCCGGTACTTCCAAGGAAGTCACCTTTGCAGTCGATCTATGTGCACTGTTCTCAGAGCCAGCTCGCACCCATGAAGAACAACACAACTTACCGGTCATAGGAGCAGAAAGTGTCAACCTTGCAGCAGGATTTGGACACTCTGGGAGCCAAACTGGATGTGGAAGCTCCAAAGGTACAGAAAAAGAACTCCAAAATGTTGACTTTTACCTCTGTCCTGGGAATCACCCTGACGCTAGCTGTCGAGATACTTATCAGTTTTTCTGCCCTGATTGGACATTTGTAACTTTAGCCACCTACTTTGGGGGATCAACCAGATCTTCATTCTATAACTCGTGCTCCTTGTCCTAAATTATGTACTAGAAAAAATTGTAATCCTCTTACTATAACTGTCCATGACCCTAATTCAACTCAATAATATTATGGCATGTCATGGGAATTAAGATTTCATATCCCAGGATTTAATGTTGGCACTATGTTCACCATCCAAAAAAAAAATCCTGGTCTCATGGAGCCCATGCAAGCCAATCCGGCCTTTGACTGCTCTAGGTGACCCTATGTTCCAGAAACCCCCTGACAAAGTTGATTTAACTGTTCCTCCACCATTCTTAGTCATAAAAGATACACTCCAAAAGTTCGAGAAAATCTAGATAGGCACCAACAGGAACGAGAAAATAACATCCCCTGGTATCAAAACATGTTCAACTGGAACCCCTGGCTAACTACTTTAATCAGAGTTAGCTGGACCTCTCCTCATCATACTATTAACTTTAATTTTTGGGCCTTGTATATTAAATTGGTTTCTTAATTTTGTAAAACAATGCATAGCTTCTGTCAAACTTATGTATCTTAAGACTCAATATAACCCCCTTGTTATAACTGAGGAATCAACGATTTGATTCCCCAAAAACACAAGTGGGGAATGTAATGCCCAACCTGGTTTTTACTAACTCTGTTTTTAGACTCTCCCTTTTCCTTTAATCACCTAGCCTTCTTTCCACCTGAATTGACTCTCCCTTAGCTAAGAGAGCCAGACAGACTCCATCTTGGCTCTTTCACTGGCAGCTCCCTCCTCAAGGACTTAACTTGTGCAAGCTGACTCCCAGCACGTCCAAGAATGCAATTAACTGATAAGATACTGTGGCAAGCTATATCAGCAGTTCCCAGGAATTCATCTGATTGATAACGCCCAAAGCCCCGGGTCTATCACCTTGTAATAGTCTTAAAGCCCCTGCACCTGGAACGGTTTACGTTCCTGTAACCATTTATCCTTTTAACTTTTTGACTACTTTACTTCTGTAAAATTGTTTTAACTAGGCCCCCCGCCTTCCTAAACCAAGGTATAAAAGTTAATCAAGCCCCTTCCTCGGGGCCGAGAGAATTTTGAGCATTAGCCGTCTCTCGGTCGCCGGCTAATAAAGGACTCTTAATTCGTCTCAGTGTGGCATTTTTCTAACTCGCTCGGGTACAACAATTATTCTTGTTCTAAAGGTCCATGTCTGTTTTAACTAATCCATGTGTTAATCACTCTCTTTTCTTATCATTCTTTCTCACATTCATTCTTCCTCCAAGATTTCCTTGTTCCTAATATTCCTCCTTTAGTAGTTCTTTCACAGCTAGGGCTTATTCATGGTAAATTCTTCTGATTTCTGTCTGAAAATAAGCTTTCATTTCACTTTTATTCTTGAATGATAATTTAGCTGACTTAAGAATTCTAAGATTCACTAATGTTAGTTTCTGATTTACATATTTTTACTAAAAAATGCTTTTCTATCAAAATACCCTCAGGGCCAAAAACAGTAGGGTCAAAATGACAAAATCAAACTCTACATTGCCCTGTTATGTTATACAAGTAACTTGAGAAGACTTGTTTCTGATAGCAGGGATCTTATTGTCTCTTTAATATTAAAGTCAAAATATTAAACAAATATTAATAAAGGTATACTTTGCATACAAAATTATATATATATATGCAAATGTGGCATTTGTGTGCATATAAAACAATAAATATTGTTGAAGGATTAGATAATGTATTCAGAGTTTCTGTTTAGATAAGACTGAGAAGGGGAGAAATTGTCCTCTTTTCTAGTTACTGAAGAAAAAAATTATAATTTAAGAATTTACTTAAATGATGAAAGGAATGAGAAGGGAGAGAAACAACTTAATTTACCTGTCTGATGTAAAGGAGATCTACCTTAGATTATCTACTGGTGTGTTAGTCTCTTCTCACACACTATAAAGACATACCTGCGACTAGGTAATTTATAAAGAAAAGAGATTTAATTGGCTCACAATTCTGCAGGCTGTACAGGATTCTGCTTCTGGGGAGGCCTCAGGAAATTTCTAATCATGGCAGAAGGTGAAAAGGAAGCAGGCACGACTCCACCCATTTGTGGCTGGAGCAGGAGGAAGGGAGGGAAGGGGGAGGTGCTACACACTTTTAACCAACCAGATCTCCTGAGAACTCACTCACTATCACAAGATCAGCAAGGGGGAAATCCACCGCCATGATCCAATCACCTCCCACCGGGCCCCTCCTCCAACACTGGGAATTACAATTCGACATGAGATTTGGGTGGGGACACAAATCCAAACCATATGAACTGGGCAGTTCCTCTAGGAAGTAAGTGAATCCACTCCTTATTCAGGAAGACTTCATAGCTTGATGGACTCAAGTGGGCCATTAAAGGATCTGTTACAAACCAGTCTAAAAAAAGGTCTGGGACATGGGTTTTTGTTTTTGCTGGGAGTGGGAGGAGGTCCATGGATGTGTTTTAGGAATTGTTGAACCCCAAAACATTATAGGTAACATTTTGTCTTTTCTCCCTTTCTCCTCCCAGCATCCTTTACTTTCCTTACAGAAACAGAAAAGTAAGGAGATAGCTAAATCCTTTTGGAATATCAAAAAAGAAAATCTGGGAAGGTTTCTGAGTAATAAAAACCCATGGAAAAACACTAGAGATATAATTCTGTTGAGATAGATTTTGACCAACTCTTTTGTTGAGATGTCAGTTAATGTTTGTGTGTTTCTTGACAGTTATTAGCTGTAAAATAATCATTGAAAATGAAAAGGCTTTTCATATTGAAGTAAAAAACTGGGTAACTATTACATTACAGTAAAATTTAATCTAGTTTATAATCATTATAGAGTTGGGTTTAAAGCAAGCTCCCCACAAATACTCAATTCATTTTCTTTTTATAAAGTTATATTAGAGGAGTGTACTTCATACACATTATTACCAGCTGACCTTTACTGAATTTTTAAAGAAAAATTTTAATCACTTAGTTCTGTACATAAAACTGAAAAAGTTGAAAATCAGAGAACTTTTTGTTGTGATTAAACCATTAATATATTTTTAAATGGTCATTGACATGCTAGTAACATGGAATTATTGAATTTCATGAATGAAATACTTAATTATATATGCTATGGATTAAATTATGGTGTCCCCTCCAAAATTCACGTTGAAACTTTATCCCCAATGCAACCATATTAAGGGATGTGGCCTTTGGCAGGTGATTAAGTCATAAGTACTCCAACCTGGCTAGGCATGGTGGCTCACGCCTGTAATCGCAGCACTTTAGGAGGCTGAGGTGGGCAAATCATTGAGCCTAGGAGTTTGAGACCAGCTTGGGCAACATAGCAAAACTCTATCTCTACAAAAAATACGAAAAATAAAAATAAATAAATAAATAAAATAGCCAGGTGCAGTGGTGTGCATCTGTAGTTCCAGCTGCTTGGGAAGCAAAAGTGGGAGGATCACTTGAGCCTGGGAGGTTGAGGCTGCAGTGAGCTGAGATCTTGCCATTGCACTCCAGCCTGGGTGACAGAGGGAGACTCTGTCTCAAAAAAAAAAAAAAGTACTCTATCCTCATGTATGGGATTAATACCCCTATAAAAGGGCTCAAGTTTGAAGGGTACACTCTCTTGACCCTCTGTCTCATCCACTATATGAGGATGCAGCATTCTTCCCTTCCAGAGGATGCAGCAATAAGGCACCATCTTGGAAAAGGAGACTGATCCTCAAAAAATGTCAGTGCCTCAATCTTGGACTTCCCAGCCTCTAAAACGGTGAGAAATAAATTTCTGTTCTTTATAAATTACCCAGTCTCAGGTACTATGTTATAGCAGCACAAATGGACTAAGGCAATATATTTATTTATTTATTTATTTTTAAGGCAATATATTTATAAGGAACATATTATGGGGCTGGTTTTAACTCTTTAATTGATACTTTATTTTATTAATCATTTAAAGGAGACCTATATTTTATTTAAAACTATTTTTATAGATTGACATGTAACATTCTATACATGAGTCTAAATAAAATAATTATAAAAGTTAAGTGGAAAAAATTACTACCTCCTATCAACTATTTCATATTAATCTGTTTTGATTCCACAGAAAGATTTGCCATCTCCTTAGACTAGCAGCTGCTACAGTCATGTGTCTGCCACGTGTCCTTAGACTGTCTAATACCCAGAGCTAATAGAATAGATTATTTAGGAACAAAAACAAACAGAGGGGTCAGACAGAGAGCTATTTTTCCAATGAAAGAATTTATACATTTTGTAATACACAAACATGAAAAATATTGCATTCAGGGGTTGCAAATGAAAGAAAAATCTAGAGAAATGTAGAGAATAATGAAAACTATTTCCAAGGTCAAAACCATCAGATCTCTGCCAGACTCTTTTTTCACTTACATCAAAGTGAGACTGTGTGTTTGTGTGTGTGTGTGTGTATGTGTGTATATGCACTGTGAGGGAGACAGTCTTCTATTTGTGTATCTGCATGCACGTTTGTCAGTGTTTGTGTGTCTGTTGGGTCTTGAATGTAGAATACAGGAAGGGGATGATTGTGGTATAAAATGAAAAAGTCCATTTCTATTGGAGTCTATCTTCCATGTGTAAGAAAAAAGAAATATATTTTAATTACCCAAAACTCTGAACAATATGTGAATAATTGATGATTTAATGCCTATAGGTTTTTAATTTTTATGAAACTATTTTATTACAAAAGAAATACATGTTTACTATTTTGTTTCAAATAAATAATCCAACCACCCATTGATAATCACTTGATATGTACATTTCCATATATTTTTATGAATATATGATATATATCCTTCCAGATATTTTTGAAAAATGAATTTTTTTTTTTTACTTTTTTTTGAGATGGGCTCTCACTCTGATTGCCCAGGCTGGAATGCAGTGGTGCAATCTCGGCCCACTGCAGCCTCCACCTCCCAGGTTAAAGCAATTTTCCTGCCTCAGCCTCCCAAGTAGCTGCGACTACTGGCGTGTGGCACCAGGCCCAGCTAATTTCTGTATTTTTAGTGTAGACAAGGTTTCACCATTTTGGCCAGGCTGGTCTCGAACTCATGACCTCAAGGGATCCACCTGTCTCGGCCTCCAAAAGTGCTGGGATTACAGGCATAAACCACTGTGCCTGGCCCTAAATAAACCATTTTTTAAACAATGTAGCATGGAGTCAATAAATACTTTTTCATTCTATCCCTAATACATAGCACAGCATGGTAGACATTCAGAAAGTATCTGTTAAAGAAACAGAGAAATACTTTGTGATCATCTGTATAAGTTCTTTGCCATTTTCCCTAATTTCAAATGTTTTTGTACTCATTTATAAATTCCATATGAAGTGAGGATTTTAGCCCTTTGCTAAATATGTTCCAAATACTGTTTTCCCCTGCTTATACTTAAACTTTCCTTTACCAAAAGAACAGAAAATAATACTCAAACATATAGTTAGACTTAGTCAAATGAAAAATACTTCAGATTTAATGCAAATGGTACTTTATAGGAAATTTTAAAGAAATAAATGAAGTCAATGCAAACTATAGGAGTGAAGTGCTGCATGTTCCGCAGTAGAGTTTTTGCTCTCTTTCTTTTTTATTTTTGTTTTTTTGAAGCAGAGTCTTGCTCTATCACCCAGGCTGCAATGTAGTGGTGCAATCATTGCTCAGTGCAGCTTCAAACTCATGGGCTCAAGCAAACCTCCTTCCTAAACTTCCAGAGTAACTAGGACTATAGGTGTGTGCCACCATGCCCAGTTGATTTATAAAACTTTTTTTTTGTAGGGATGGGGTATTGCTATGTTGCCCAGGCTTGTCTGGAACTTCTGGTCTCTAGTGGTGGTCCTGCATTGGCCTCTGAAAGTGCTGGGATTACAGGTGTGAGCCACTGTGCCTGGCCTCTGACTATTTAAATAAAGATACAGGAATGACTCTTAGATGGTAATGTAGAATATATCTAAGAGCAGCAAATTTTTGAGTTAGACAAATTGGTTCTTATTTTATTTCTGCCCCTGGGCAGCTGAGTGGTAGAGTAAAGTCGCTTGATGCCTCTGAGCTTCTGTAAACTGGGGACACTCAGGCCTCTCTCCCAGAGTTGTGCCTGGAAGTGCTCTGCAAATGGTCTCTATGTGAATTCTATCCCTTGATGGATATTTCCAAATCAGATACGTATTTTTAAATATGAGGACAAACTACTTTTTGAGCCCCAGGATGTGCTGTGGTTCTCTACCAAAAATTTGAAGATAACATGAAAAATTGTGTGTGTGTGTGTGTGTGTTTTGGTTTTGCCATAATTTTTTTTTAACACCTGGGCTTTATGGTGTCATGTTTTACTCCTCTTAGTGAGAAGGCTTTTTGGTTTCTTCCCCTACTGACTCTGTTGACTGAAAGCAAGTACTATGTGCTCTTAAGTTTCCTCTTGAGAGAATTTTGGTATCATGAAATGGAAGTACTAGTACAGTTTAAAATGGAAAAGGCTACTGAACAATCCTTTAAGGATTTAAATATACTCCATTAACTTTTGTTCAGTAAAAGAATATCATCAAATTATGTAATCCGCTATTGTTGTTACTGTTTTTTTCTAGAACATTACTGAATTAGAAATGTAGCTTTATGATTGCTGTGTATTGCCATCAATCTGTAAAACATATGAAGTCTGTCAAGCTCTCAAATGTAACTGTTGTACAAAGTCTACATCTCATGGCAACTTTCACAAAGTGGTGTTTTCTCAGCATGCAAATATTTGTTCTGACACTGATCTTACTTATAGGGATTTTCTAACATTTTGTCTAAGCACAAAAGCTTTCACTATTTTCATGAAATAAATTATAGACCTGTTGGGGGGATCTAGTATATAAATGATTTTCTTGACAACTAGCTTAATATTATTTTCTTCCTAAACTGAGGATGCTTTCTCTTTGTCTAGCCAAGATCAGAATACTACAGATTTGGATTTAAGTGAGTGGGAATGAAGCTCAATACTAATATACTGTATGCTACCAGTATAGATGTTTTAGTTAAAATATTATTAAAACAATATGATAAAAAATATTTTTATTACAAAAAATGGTAGATTTTTTGTTAGAGCAACTATGGATTAGTTTATTTTCTCCTTACCAAAGGTTTACAAAGTCCTCTTGGAGAAGCAGATTCCTGTGGGAACCTGGTTAAATCTCCCAAGCTAGCAGTGTTTTTACTACAATAAGACAGTGATTAATTGTGTCCCACTGGGCACTGTCCTGATAAGGTAAGAGACTGAGCCTGCTTCCAAAGAATTATTGCAGTTGCCACAATTTTCTGCTTTATATCAAGAGGTTAAGTGACCTAGGAATTAGAATTCTAGAATTGTAGAATTTCAGAGTTATAAGGGACTTCAGAAATGATAACTCACATTTTACAGATAAAGTACTGTAAAATACATATGTGTTACTTGTTAATTAACTATTTTAAAAATCTTTGTGGCCTTTGCTATAATGTTTGAACATTAGGGAGTATCAGTAAACTACAAAATTTGTTTTTTCAAATTCTTGTGGTGTGGATTCTTCACCTCATCTAAGTAACTGAAGTGATAAAAAGGAAAATATTTTAAGAAATAAAGATGAAAATTATATGAATCCATATATGTGATAACATGGCTTAGAACTACACTCATACCACACACTAGTACATGTAAAACTGGTGAAATCCGAATCAAGTCAGTGGTTTATAGCAATGTCAAGTTCCTGGTTTTGATATTGTACTATAGTTATATAAGATGTAGTTATTGGGGCCGGGCACAGTGCCTCATGCCTGTAATCCCAGCACTTTGGG
This sequence comes from Homo sapiens, assembly GCF_000001405.40. Classification (NCBI taxonomy): domain Eukaryota; kingdom Metazoa; phylum Chordata; class Mammalia; order Primates; family Hominidae; genus Homo; species Homo sapiens. The sequence goes on along the minus strand of NC_000005.10, from coordinate 95,700,683 downwards.
AGGCCGAGGTGGGCAGATCGCTGAGGCCAGGAGTTTGAGACCAGCCTGGCCAACATGGCAAAATCCCATCTCTAAAAAAAATTTTTGGCCAGGCGCGGTGGCTCAAGTCTGTAATCCCAGCGCTTTGGGAGGCTGAGGCGGGCATATCACGAGGTCAGGAGATCAAGACCAGCCTGACCGACGTGGTGAAACCCTGTCTCTATGAAAAATATAAAAATTAGCCAGCCATGGTGGCGCGTGCCTGTAATCCCAGCTACTCTGGAGGCTGAGGCAGGAGAATCGCTTGAACCTGGGAGGTGGAGGTTGCAATGAGCTGAGATTGCATCACTGCACTCCAGTCTGGGTGATGGAGTGAGACTCCATCTAAACAAAAAAAAAAATTTTTTTTAAATGTAGTTATTGGGGGAAACTGCATGAAGGGCAAATGGGCACCCACTACTATCTAAAATAAAAATTTTAAAATATAGATAGCTACTATGAAATTGCTTTATTGACATGATTAAATATTATAAACTATAGGTGGTTAGAATTTAATATAAAAATAATTACAACATGAGACACTGCTTTAGCTTTCACCCCTTTGATCATTCCTCATGACTCCCTGTTAATATTTTCATAAGTTTTTTCTTCTTGACGCTCTTCATAGAAAACTAATTAATATCCATGGTTTCAGGGGCTAGCTCTATGTTGGAGTCCCCAGATCTTTCTGTCTGGCCCAGATGTCCCATTCAAACTCCAACTCGTTACTAGATTGCTCTTGCTAGATCTTTGCATGGTGTCTGACACAAAGTAGGCTTTCAAGAAATATTAGATGAATGAATGAATAACTTTTCAAATAACTATAAGATATTTGTACTTGAAACTCTCAGAGTCTTCTAAATTCAAAATATAGCAAAACAAAACCAGTATTTCTTCCCACTATGCTCACCCACCAAACTTGCTCACTCTGGCAATTTCCGTATTTCTCCCATTTCTACTATTTTCCAATCCAACTAAGCCTTTAAAATGTAAGCTGCCTTGGACTCTTCCTTCACTTTTATTTACCATATATGTCTAAGCAGTTATCTCTTATGTCCATTTTCCTCTCAAATATCCTTTATATTTGTCCCTTCTATTTCATTTCTATGGCTACTGTGTTAGCATTTTTTGTTGATATTGCTAAATGTTTCTCATTTTTCTCCCTGTTCTTAGTCTTGATTCCTCTTCAGTCTATTTTGTGCACTAGTTCCTGGTAAATGTTTCCCATTGGCCAGGTCACCACACTAAGAGCATGATCATAATTCTTGATGCTACCTATGGAGTGCTGATTGTATACCAGGCACTGTGATACTTACTGTACATATATTATCTCATTTACTCTTTATGATAGCCCTGTAAAGTAGGCATGATTTATCCCCATTTTATAGATGAGAAAACCGACGGTCCAAGAGATTTACAAATGTGCCACATTATTTAAGTAGCAGAGCCAGGATATGAACTCAGGTTAGCCTGGTTACAATCATTATGAAACACCATTCTCCTAAATATAAATACATTTTGTTCCTTCATTAAAATATACCCAGCAGAACCTCAACCTGGCAAAAATAGAAGCTCAATGAATCGCAGCATTGAAAGCACTTTATTAAATGAGTTGAACTGAGCAGGGTGCATGCTGAAAGCTCCCACTGACCTTCAAGCCTGCGCCTTCCATTTGTTCCAGCTCATAGTGCTCCACTCCCACCCCTTTCAAATCTCAGGGAGATTTTATAGTTATGTTGTTGCATTCAGGTAGTAAATGAATAGTCTTTTTTTTAGTAATTGAGTTGAGTTTGCTGTAATAAATAAATAAATAATGATAATTTTGTTGTTGCTCTCAGGTAATAAGTAGTAGTCTTTTTATTTTTGTAATTGAGTCCAGTTCGATGTAATAAACCAAATGTTAATCTCATTTCATTTAAAACTTCTTCCCATTCCCCGTTGAGTTTTGCTCCAGGCTTGGAAGTCTACAGTGGAAGAGTGAGGGAACTTTGGTCAGCTGCTTTTCCTCTCCTCAGCTCTCCTCCCTCATCGGTTTCTGCTTTTGGCCTCTTCAAAGCTGCAAGAGGGAAGGAGAAAAGGTAAGATAGGAAAAGCTCTTACTTAACTGCATGGTTATGACTGACATTGGTGCCCTTAGGAGTGGCAAATAACCCGAGGTTATTTGTCTCTTGGAAGCCTTCCGGGAACCTTCTACTGCATTTCTGGCCAGATAACAATCTAGTCCCTGAGCGTCTAGGAGTCTGCCTGACACTGCCCCTTCAGATGGAGCCTGCTGTGAGAATTTCAGACTGGCTCCCTTCACAGATGCTTGCATCAAGTCCACAGCTTGCTGTGAACTTAGCCTTCCCTCTCTTTAGTCTAGACCATAACATGCTCATTTCATTCCAGCCCCACTGTCTGCTTATTTTCCTCTCCCACGTTTCCTCCTCTCTGCCAATCTCAATGTAATTCCCATCTGATCGCAGTGCACACCTTTTTCCATGAAGCAATGCCTTATTTATTCCTTCCCACAGTGATTTTCCCAAATGAAAGTCCCAAGCACTCTATTATGTACCAAAAGAAAAAAGAAGAAATCAGTTTTACTTAAGAAGCTTGAGTACATATGTTAAATATTGACCCCAGGGTACACATCATTTTTAACATTCCATGTAATTAAATATGAAGTAGTAGGCATAGGCACTTCTGCTGCTTACTGAAACACATGATTGCCTCAAGGAAATGTACTTGTGTAATTGAGCTGTGAGCTGCTTTTTTTTTTTTCATGGAATGTCATTTTCATGGAATGTCATTTCATGGAATGTCATTTTCACTTGAAAGAATGACTGACAAAAACACCCAACTATGGTTATAGGGAGCTGGGTATTTGGCAGGTATTTTCTCGAATGTAAAAGAAGCGAGTCTGTCATTTCAAGGAAAACAATTGACAGTGTTTATTGCCAATGATAAATGTGAGCTTTAAAGCAAAAATTAGAACTCGGGAAAACTTGCATCCACAATGATGAGCTTGACAATTTGTGGTGGTTTTGTAGCTGTGGCTACACATTCTTCAATACAGCGCCCTACAAGAGACGGAGGTTACCTTCCCTCCCCTTGATTGTGGAGTTGATTGTCTCTAGTGATGAGCTATCATACTGAGATTAGTTATAAAATGACTGTGGCTCCCATCTTGAGCAGACTATCTTGTTCTCTCTCTGTCTCTCTCTCTCTGTGTGTCTCTCCTTGCCACCCCTGTTTCTTTTGAACTGCTCACCATGGGACAATCCGCCAGGTTGTGAGGTGGCCCTGAGAGAGGGAAGCCAGCTGAGGACATACTGAAGCAGTCTATGGAGAGGCCACATGGTAAGGAACTGAGGGTTCCCAGCAACCACGGGAGTGAACTTGGGAGTAGATCTTCTGAAGCAGCCAAAAGGCACACGAGTGAGCTTGGAATTGGACCATCTCTCAGTTGAGTCCTAAGAAGACCATAGCCCAGCCAACAGTTTGACTGCAACCTCTTGAATGATTTCAAGCCAGAACCACCTAGCTAAGCCACTCTTAAATTCCTTACCCAAAGAAACTGTGAGATAACAAAAGTTTATTGTTTTAAGTTGCTGAGTTGGGGTAATTTGCTATGCAAAGATATTGAGAGAACCAATATTATTCAAATAATCAATGCATGATGTTATAAAATTATGCATTAGTAAATGAGCCAAAGTGGAGGATAGATTTATAAATTTTAATGTAACAGAACATAAAAAGTTCACTGATATGGTATTTAGGTTGCACCTAATCTTTAAGAAATTACCGTTTTGTTTTGTTTTGTTTCACTTGGAGACAGGGTCTTGCTCTGTCCCCTGGCTTGGAGTGCAGTGGTGCAATCCTAGCTCTTAGTTCACTGCAACTTTGGACTCCTAGACTCAGTGCTGCTCCCATCTCAGCCACCTGCACACCAGATTAATTCTTTTAATTTGTTGTAAAGACTGGGTCTTGCTATGTTGCTCAGGGTGGTCTCGAACTCCTGACCCCAAGCAGTCCTCTTGCCTCGAGCTCCCAAAGTGCTGGGATTAGAGGCATGAGCCACCGTGCCAAGGCATCATTTGTTGAGTGCTGCTGTAGGATCAAAGAGTAATGCCCACTGTTATCTGGAAAAACTATTACAATACTCCTTTCTTTTACAATTACATATCTGTGTGAAGCAGGATTTTCTTTATGTATTTCACCCAAAACAATGTACTTCAACAGCTTAAATTCAGAAGCAGATATAGAAAACAAATGTTTTCTATGGTACTAGACATTGAAGAGATTTGCAAAAATGCAAACAGTACCACTCAGCTTACTACATTTTTTATTTTAGAAAATAGTTATTTTTCATAGAAAATGTTATTGTTAGTTTTAAATGAATTGTATTAGTTTTATTTTACTATGTAAAAATTACCACAAGATTTAGCAGCTTAAAACAGTTGATATTTATTATCTTATTGTTTCTGTGGGTCAGGAGTCCAGGTGCAGCTTAGTTGGGTATCTCTGGCTCAGGGTCTCTCACAAAGCTATAATTAAGTGTCAGTGGGGTGACAGTCATCTTAAGGCTTCACTGGGTGAGGATCTGTTTTTAAGCTCACTATATGGCTATTGACAGGACCCAGGTCTTCATTGCTGTTGGCCAGAGACATTGGTTCCTTGCCACATGGATCTTTCCATAGGACAGCTCTCAACATGGTAGCTGGTTTTCCTTAGAGAGAGATGGGGATTCAGAGAGAGAAAGAGCGAGCAAGACAGAAGCCACAGCCTTTTTGTAACCTAATATCTGAAGTAACATTCCATCATTTCTGCTGTATTCAAGGGAATTAATAAGTCCAGGCCACACTCAAGGGAAGTGGATTACACCAGGGCATGAAGACCAGGAGGCAGGGATCACTGGGCTATCTAAGAAGCTGCATATCATATGATTTAACAAATATTTCATATATTTCTCAGTGTTTGTTTCTAATAAGATAATTATAAATAGATATAACTCACATAAACAGAAGCTATTAGGGAGTTCTCAACAATATATAAGAGTGTAAATGTGTTTGTTTGTTTGTTTGTTTTTGAGTCAGGGTCTCACTCTATCGCCCAGGCTGGAGTGCAGTGGCGCAATCTCAGCTCACTGCAACCTCCACCTCCTGGGTCCAAGCGATTCTCCTGCCTCAACCTCCCAAGTAGCTGGGAGTGCAGGTGCGTGCCACCACGCCCAGCTAACTTTTGTATTTGTAGTAGAGATAGGGGTTCACCATGTTGGCCAGGCTGGTCTCAAACTCCCGACCTCAAGTGATCTGCCTGCCTCAGCCTCCCAAAGTGCTGGGATTACAGGCGTGAGCCACTGAGCCTGGCCAAACGTGTTTTTAAGACTAAAAAGTTTGAGAACTACTGCTCTAGAAATACAAATATTGACTTGACATGGTAAAGCTGCAGGACATTATTCAGGAGTTGATAATATGTGCCTTACTTTTATTATTATTCATAACCATAAACTCTTACCTACAAAATAGTATTTATAATAGCACTATGAGATACAGAAATTCATATTGAAATATAGTAGCCTTTGTCACATGCATGTATACAGTAGATGTGGTATAAAGACTTCATACTGTATGTACTGTATATTTTTTAACATCTGGAAACACATCACTTAAATTTTTTTAAATGATGCCTATTCCATATATTAAATACTTAGATTAGTAGCTTTCAATAATTAGTGATTTTATTATATTATGATTTTGTTGGATTGGTGTGTTATGTAGCTTCCTCTGGTGCCATCGCTGGACTAAATCTAGAGTTGTCTTGGACAAATAAGAATTATCCTGCCCTCCCTGGTAGAAAGGGGAGGGCAGAGAGCTGTTCTTGTGTCTGTTTCTTTTTAATTGACTTCAGTTCAAAATAATTCTTATGTCAAAGTGGCATATTTTGAAGTGGCATATTCTTCAATCCTTCACATGTAAGAATTATTTTTGTACAAAGTAATTGAGAAATCTCTAAGATGATTGGTTCATATTGGCTGAAAATAAATTTGGTTTCATGGAAAATTTAAATAAATTCACACATAGTGAATTATGTCATGTCTGGGCTCCCTCCTGAAGAGGTATCATCATCAACTTGCTGGCAATGTTGGGTTTAAAAGAAAGGGTGGGATGCATCCTTTAGCATTTTTATTTTTAGCACTGTTGAATGAACATGATACTTTTCTTTTTTATAGTTATGTAGATTTACATAAAATGACCAGTTTTCTTTTTCCTTATGTTTCAACATTGTTGGTTTGACCAAGGAAATTTGCTTAAGTAGCTAGGTAATTAAGTAATATACTCTATGACCATAGCTGAAGGGATTAAAATACAAAATCTGTACTTTTAAGTCATGCTCTGCAGAGGTTACCATCTAAGTAGATAAATCTAAGACTTCTAACTAAAGATCATAACAATATATGAAGCTTATATGTACTTACATATATATACTTAAAATGTATGTAATACTTATTTATTTGCCTTTTTTTTGAGACTAGGTCTTGCTCTCTTTCCCAGGCTGGAGTGTAGTGGTGTGAGCATGGGTCACTGCAGCCTTGACCTCCTGGGCTCAAGTGTTCCTCCCACCTCAGCCTCCAGAGTAGCTAGGACTACAGGTGTGTGACGCTATACCAGGCTACTTTTTTATGTTTTGAAGAGATGGGGTCTCGCTGTGTTACCCAGGCTGGTCTCAGAATCCTGGGCTCAAGCAATCCTCCTGCCTTGGCCTCCCAAAGTTCTGGAATTTACAGGTGTGAACCACCTGGTCTGGACTTTGCTTTTCTTGAAATGCTTCAATTATAGTTTGCCTATTTCCAACATGGAAGATTCTATCAGGAGATACTCAGCTAGACAGTGATGACTACAGATTGTTAAGATCCAAAAAAGAGAAAGATGTCAATTTAAAATATATTTATAACAAAAAATTTTCTAAGGCGAAAATAAGACCTATTTTTTAATCAGGGGAATATTTAATATTATATATAGTTAACTTTTTCAAGTGTTGCAGAATGCAGGTATCAAACATTCATCTCAAAATGTGAGCAAGTTACTAATGAAAGAAATGGTTTTTCAAGGTTTTCTTTGTAGTTTTACAACATATGTGTGTACTTCTAACATATTGTTTAGTTTTAAATGTTTTTGAGCTTCATATAAATAAAATCTTGTGCCTTTTTTCTGTACCTTGCTTTTTCTCATTCAAAATTATTACATCCCTGAAATTTATTCATTATGTTGCATATAATTATAATTCATTCATTTTTATTGCTGTACAGCAGCTATTATGGATATATTATGCTTTATTTATTAATTCTACAGTTGATGAATATTTGGGTTGCTTACAATTTCTTAATATTTCAATTGTAGCAGTGAACATTCTCATATCTAGGTCTCCTGGTGCTGGTGGGGATATTTCTAGGTTTGGAAGCAGTGATCACAGCTATGGGAATCTTCAGTTGTACTTGATGATACTAATTGTTTTTTAAAGTAAGCATGCCAGTTTACATTCTCGCTATCAGTGCGTGAGCATTCCTGAGCTCTACATTGTTGCTAGCCCTTGATATAATACAAAAACAATGAAGAAAATGAAGAATGCAAGGAAAACTTGATGAAAATACAATTTGTGGAAGACTTTAACATTTCTTTTTCAGTAATATATTTAACAGGCAAAAATTAGTGGGCTATAAAAGAATTGAATAATACAGTCAATAAATTCAATGTATCGTATTCTTGCATTATTTGACTAGAGTAATATGTCTCCTTTGTATGATTTAGAACATTTGTGAAAAAAATTGGTATGTAGTTGGCTACAAAGAAAACCTTGAAATCAGAAAAAGTGGAGATTTTATAGACCATATTCTCTGATCTAAAAGTCAATCAAGTAGAAAGAAATAATAATATAATATTAAACCTTAATTACTGGGAAGTTATAAAATGTAATTAAGATAGTCCTTGGAGCAAAAAGAAATCAAAGGAAGCATTGAAAAGAACTCTTCTTTCAAAAATAAATGGGATATAGTGAAAGGCATATTTAGAGTACTTTCATTATTAAAGAAGAAAAACTAAAAGTAAGGAAACTTTGTACTTAACCTTAAATTCTTCCTGAGCATAGATTAAAGAAAAAGGAAAAAATATACAAGATTAGAAATAATATAGATCCAGAAGACTAAAAATTAAATGCAGTTCTGTGGCAACATATTTGAAATTTTTGCATGAGTATTTCTTAGTAAGACATAAATCACCAAAACCGGTCCCCAAATAAGAAAATTTTAATGTACAAATTGCCACATGTGAAAATTTGAAACTTGGTGATACTAGCTTCTAAAAAGATATCAGGACCAAATATTTCTACAGCTGAGTTCTAACTAGCTTTTTAAAAAAATATGTAAATTATGCCTCGTTTTTAAGAAAGAAAAAGAAATTTGAAATATTCTGATGTTATTATTTCAGGCACCACTGAAAGATGCAAACCTTTTCAATTCATATTCACAAAAATTTAATACCAATCTGTTAAGTACAAAAAAAAGCCATAGACCAATCTCACTTATGAATATAGTGGCAAAAATTATAAATGAAATCTAGCAAGATATCAAATACAAATGTAATCAAATACAAATTCTTTTTTCCAAAAATGTAAAGACAGTTTAAATATCAGGAAAGCCAATACATACTTTGCTATGTCAACAAATTGAGGGGCAAAAGCGATCATATTCATAGATTATGAAATGGAAGTTGATAAAATTCGATAATCAATCCCAGCAGAAACAAACAAAACCAAAATTGGCATAGAAAGAAACTAAATATGATAAAGATTATTTAGAATAATGTTTGGTGTTGGCTTCAGTAAACAGTATAATATTGAAGCCATTTTAATTGAAAACAGGAACAACATAGGTGATCCTGCTGTAATAATTATTCAGAACTGTTTTAGAAGTTCTAGCAAACACAATAAAATAGGAGAATAAAATAATTGGCATTAACATGGAAAAAGAAGAGATAAAAATATCTTTTGTAACTCCTTGAAGATACTGAATTTGTAGAAAATCTGAGAAATTAGCAGAAAAACTGAGATTAGCATAAGGAAAAAAACACTACTACAAAGAATGAAAGAGTGAGAATCTTGCCTTAACAGAACGTAAAACATACTATTAAGCCACGGTAGTCAAATCAGTATTTTAATGACATAGAAGGAGACAAATAGATCCGTGAGACAGCATAGAAATCCTAGAAATAGTTCCCAACATATATGTGTGTATGTGTTTATATATAAACATATATGACAAAAGTGGTATTTCGTATCAATGAGAAAACAACAGTTTATTTAATCTGTGGTACTAAAACAATTGGATATTCAGATGGATGAAAGTAACAGCCTATTAAAAATAAAGTGTTAATGGAAGGAAATGTTGAAATAATAAATGAATTTTTTTTTTTTTTTGAGACGGAGTCTTGCTCTGTCGCCCAGGCTGGAGTGCAGTGGCACGATCTCGGCTCACTGCAAGCTCCCCCTCCCGGGTTCACGCCGTTCTCCTGCCTCAGCCTCCCAAGTAGCTGGTACTACAGGCGCCCGCCACCAGGCCCAGCTAATTTTTTGTATTTTTAGTAGAGATGGGGTTTCACCAATAAATGAATTTTTAAAGAAAAGAAACAGAAGAAAATTAGAGAGACTACATGTATAACTGAGGGCCTAGAAAAAAACTCCTTGAAAGGAAAATCAGAAGCTTTAAAAAGAAAAGACAGTTTTATTTGACTATATATAGATTAAAAAATAAACCAGAAATATTGTTTGTCTTTTAAAAATGTGTTTTTTAAAAGGTAATTTGCTTTTAATCTATAAAAGTATTGGCTTCACTATAGTTTGAGAAGCTCTTATTTAGGCTGTTCATCTATCTCCTATATTTCTGGGAAACTGGAAGATAAATCTAAAAGTTAGATCATACTGGAATTTTTTGGCTGGAATATATCATAGATGGTACATACTTCATATTGCATTACATTAGGAAACCCATAATATCTGTTTGTCCCATATTAGTGATGTCAATATTGACCACTAGATTAGCATGGTGATGGCCTGATTCTTCCATTGCAAAGCCCAAATCATCACAACTAAGACCAGTAGGAACCAGCTCAAGCTGGCCTGAGTTTCCTTTTAAAAGGACTCCATTAACCTTCAAAATTATTCTAACTTTTTGGCATAAGATCTCCCTGGCTCACCTTGTGCTTATCCTGCCCCAGACTTGGTATCACATATTTCTTTAGGAGTCCTGGTTCATTGTACTAACAAATGGTATTAAAGCCCAGAATTTAGATACCAGGGTGCTCTTTTCTACTGGGTTGGCCATGATTCTAGCCGTTTCAGCCTGTACATCTAGGAAAAATATATTCTTAAAAATCTTGAGTTTACGATGATATTTCCAATTCTGTTTAACATTACAGCATTTTACATTGTTCTTTGATCTTCTTTTTTTTAACTTTTATTTTAGCAGTTCATGTGTAGGTTTGCTATATAGGTAAACCCTTGTCATGGGGGTTTGGTGTACAGATTATTTCATTACCCAGGTATTAAGCATAGTACCCAATATTTTTTCTCATCCTCTCCCTCCTTCCAACTTTCACCCTCAAGAAAGCCCCAGTCTCGTTGTTCCCCTCTATGTGTCTATGTATTCTTGTTGCTTAGTGCCAACTTATAAGTGAGAACATGTAAAATTTGGTTTACTGTTCCTGCATTATTTTGCTTAGGATAATGGCCTTCAGCTCTATCCATGCTGCTGCAAAAAAACATTATCTCATTCTTTTTTATGGCTGCATAGTATTCCATGGTGGGTATATACCACATTTTCTTTATCTGGTACCTCATTGTGTTTTTGATTTGCATTTCTCTAGTTATTAGTGATGTTGAACATACTTTCATATGCTTGGTGGCTGCAAAAGTATGTCTTCTAATTGGGTCTTCTCTTACACTGAAATTTTTTATTCCTAACATTATTAACCCAATAATGTGTTTGTCCTGCACTATAAGAAAAATAATTTCAAATAACAAAACCAATATTAATACTAACAAGAAAATGACTGAATGAGACTTAGCATGTCTTTTTGGTTTATTGTCCTTGCAATGTCTTGTACTGTGTTTTAAATTCACTCCAAATAAATCCTTTCTAGGTGTTATTATATAACCAATTTGATATACAGCTTTAAAAAAATTTTAGGGATTCCTTTTTAAAAATAAGTATTTTGAAATTGTTTACATGTATATTCTTTTGATCTCTACTGCATTACATATCTACATTTACCTTACTCATGTATTTATCAATACTACCCTCATAAACCTGCTACACATTTATTTTCTAGTCTCAGAGATGTACAATAATAGACTGTCTGCAATTAATTATATACAATAATGGACTGTTTCCAATTAATATAGTCGGTATTATTTACCAGGAAACAGCAGAAAGGGAAATGTTCTTATTGTGTCTGTTTTCTGGTCTTATGGATCTCATATCGTGTTGTTGGGATGTGTCACATGAGCCAGTATTCACTATAACGGGTTACAGTTTTTAAAATGCAGTGTTTTGTGGAGAAAAAGTTTTCTTTCTATAATGTTTGATAAAACATGTGTGTCTATGTGTATTTATATGTGTGTCTTATGTGTCTTCGGTGCTTGCATTTACATATATGTTAGTTGACTCCATAATGAATTTTTTAATGATAAAATTTTTCAGCTTGGCTGAGATGTAACTAATAGATTTTATTATATTCATTCAGGAAGGTTTTTAAAATTATTATTTTTATATATTTAGGGAGTACTAGAGCAGTTTTGTTATATGGATATGTTGTGAAGTGGTGAAGGTTAAGCTATGAGTGCAATCATTACCCAAATATTGTACATTGTACCCATTAGGTAATTTCTCATCCCTCACCCCCTTCTACCTTCTCACCTTTCTGAGTCTCCAGTGTCTATTATTCCACTCTATATGTCCATGTTTATGCATTATTTAGCTCCCACTTATAAGTGAGAACATGCAGTAATTTACTTTCTGCTTCTGAGTTATTTCACTTAACATAATGGCCTCCAGTTCCATCTACATTGCGTAAAATGCATGATTTCTGGCCAGGTGTGGTCATACCTGTAATCCAAGCATATTAGGAGACCAAGGTGGGAGGACTGCTTGAGGTCAGGAGTTCAACACCAGCCTGGGCAACATAGCCAGACCCCATCTCTATAAAAATTTTAGAAAATTAGCCAGGCATGATGGCACATGCCTGTAGTTAGCTACTTAGGAGGCTAAGGTGGGAAGATCATTTGAAACCAGGAGTTTGGGGCTGCAGTGAGTTTTGATCACACCACTGCACCACTGCACCTCTTGCACTTTGTGAGAGAGAGATGCTGTCTCACAAAAAAGAGACAAGATTTCATTCTTTTTTATGGCTGAATAGTATTCTATGGTATATACACACCATATTTTCTTTATTCAATTACACATTCATGCACACTTAGGATGATGTTTTGCTATTGTAAAAAGTGCTGCAATGAATGTAAGAATGCAGGTATCTTTCTGATATAATAATTTCTTTTTCTTTGGGTGGACACATGGTAGTGGGATTGCCAGATCGAGTAGTAGTTCTATTTTTAGTTCTTTGCAAAATCTCCATACTGTTGTCCATAGAAGTTGTACTAATTTACATTACCACCAACCATATATAAATGTTCCATTTTCTCTGCATTCTCACCAACATCTGGAAAGATTTATTGAGTGCCTATCATGTAAAAGCACTGTCTAGGTATTGGGAATACACCCTCGAACAAAACAAAGATCCAGAACTCAGGGAACTTATAATCTGATAGGGGAAACAGACAACAAATAAATCTGGCCATTTTTGCTTCCTACCATCTAACCAACTCTCAGCAACTCCCAAACCTGGGTAACAATGCTAATGTTGCCGATTCTCTCCTCTATATAGCCTGTTACTTTACCATAACTATTTGAAGACATCCATTAGTCTTTCCCATTGCCTGCTCCTTATTAATGGTACCCAACTGGAATTGTAAAATATGGTAATTAAAGAATTTTTAAGAAGAATCAAAATGTTATCAATATATCTGTTTTGAAACATATTTGTGAGCTATGTAGCAGGCATTTATTTTTGCTATTAAAATGATTATTTGCCTTACAGGAGAATTTTATTTAGGGCTATTTTTAAAGAATACACTCCCCTAATACATTTTAAATGATTCAACTTACAAATTTCCTATTTACACACAAAAGGCTTCAAATTCTTATTAGAATGAGAAGGTCTAAACATTTTCTCTTGTGACCCAGGATTTCCCAAGCTTGGCCAACCTATGATTGAAAGTGGGATCACAAGAATAATGATAACCTGGATTTCACTGGTTTTGCCCCATCTGCAAAACTTCAAGTCTCTACAAAGGCCTGAATCTGCTGTCTCCTAAGTATTTTTGGGAATTCCCATGGGGTGTCTAATTATCAGGAACAAATCTGGTAAGCAGCCTGGCAAGTGGCATCTGCTTGGCCCTTTTAATTATTTCTATGAATACCTTCATGTTTCCTTTGGGATCTGCTTTGGTTTTGGCTATTTTCTGGACACAATAGGTACCACTACTGATGTAGCAACACTTTCAAAGAGCCAGAGATCTTTGGCAAAGTCCGAGAGAATGCCTCTTTTCCCTTTTTTGTTTTGCTGTCCGTGAAAGGAATACCCTAGCTGTATAGCTAACTTGTGTCCACTGCCTTAGAAAGTTTAGGAAGACTACTTAAGGCTTATCTTTTCCTCCCATCTACTCCTAATCCCTGTGGAATGTGAGATCAAGGATAGCTCTGAGGGACATACCCCAGGCTGTGCTCAGAATCACATCTCTCCTCTGATTATTAAGGCATTGCTACCAGATTGGATTTTTCAGAGTGGGATGCCTCACTGAATCTGAGTTACCCCCCCAGGAGGGTCCTGCAGTCTCATGCATGTAGGATTTCATCAGGTTGCCCCATCAGTTCTCCAACATCAGGACCTGTTTGAGTCTTCAATAGTAGATGTTGAGACTTCTTCTGCACGCTCGATTGATTTATATAAAACTTTTCACTAGTCTCTAAGCAAGGTGATACACAATCATACTTTCAATTCATGTCATAAACTTGTTATTTAATTAATTAGACGTAAGTGAACAATCCTATGGAAATAATATTTCCTAGTTTTTTTTTTAACTTGGAGGTTTTGGGGGCTTTTTACTACTAGATTCCTTTCTAAGTCTCATTTGTGTACATATAATTTTGGATGGTTATAAACTATATTGTTTTACATAATTTTTTGTAAATTAGTTTTACCTACATAGTTAAATATAGAATCCACATCTTACAAACGTAATGAACAGAAACTTTTCCATAGTCTTGAGGTAGCAACCATTTAATGAATGTTGGGTATCTGAATTATTTCCATTCTATACTATTCAGAATAGCCCTGCATATATCATATAATGACACAACTATCATTATAAAAACTACTATTGACTGGGCACGGTGGCTCACGTCTGTAATACCAGCACTTTGGGAGGCTGAAGTGGGTGGATCACCTGAGAGAGATCAGGAGTTCAAGAACAGCCTGGCCAACATGGTTACCTGCCTCTACTAAAAATACAAAAATTAGCCGGGCGTGGTCGCGGGTGCCTGTAGTCCCAGCTACTCAGCAGGCTGAGGCAGGAGAATCGCTTGAACCCGGGAGGCAAAGGTTGCAGTGAGCCGAGATCGCGCCACTGCATTTCAGCTTGGGTGAGAGAGTGAGACTCCATCTCAAAAGAAACAAACAAACAAACGAAAAAACTATCATTGAGGATTGACAATTGATATTGGTAATACCAATGTATTTGTATTGATACTTTTAGATTGTGTTCAAAACATTCCTAATTCATAGGATTGTTAAGTGAATTAAAAAAGATAAATGATGTTAACTTAGCCCCTAGCACAGTTACTAGTACTTAGTTGGACTTTAATCTATATCAGTTCTCTTCCTCCAGATAATAAGTTTTAAAATTACTTTGACGTTTTTAAACATTTGCCACTCATTTAGATGTGCATAGTCACAAAGCACACTGTGAGCTGGAGGACATAGTACTGGGACCAACAGAACTGATCTGTTTATTGGGTTGACATCCAAAGGAGGTTACTTCGAGTCCAAATCCTTGATCTAAGGCCAACAACAATTCTTAAAGAAGTCTCACATGGCAGATAGGTTTTGAGGATTGGTAGGTAATACATGAAGTGAGGAGTATGACTTCATCTCTGTTGAATTTGAAGTAGGTTTGAGGGAAGGATCCAATTAGGAAGGTTGTTAGGGTTCTAGCCAGTTTGGTGCAAATCAAAATGCTGAAGCCCAGGTGAATCGGGCAAGCCCAGCATTGAGTTTTACCCAAGTTTTGCAAAATTTCCAAAACCAAAAGGTCAGTGCATATTTAATGAAACCTGCCACTTATTGGGTATTTAATGTTCATCAAGTATTGTTTCCTTTTTAAAAGGTAAGAGGCTTATAGAACTTATGTAATTTGCCCACGGCAAAGCCTGGTAAGTGATAGAATTGAAACTCAAACCCAGGTCTGACTGACCCCCAGATTTCTATATTTCTATCACTAAGTTTATACTGTCTATATGTGATTATGTAAAATGTTCATTTTCTTCAAAGCTGTGTGCAAAACAAAAGTTCTGTTCTTCTGTATTAAAGCCTTTTAAGTACAGATAAATCTGTACAGCTGTCATAAAAATTATTTGGAGATATTTTTAATTGTTTCCTAGTTTATTTTATAATTATGGGGTACTCTATTATGAACTCTAAAGAATAACATAATGAAGAATTAACAAGAAAAAAACAGACATTGTGGGTTCTTTTGTCTAAGTTTATTATCTGAAATAACATAAGATGCATAAGATTATTGGCATAAGAAGATAATTAAACACAAACCAAAATATTATAAGGTCATAATGTAAGTGCTGCAGGGTGAGATTTTCTTACTCCATCACCGTCTGTCATTTTTCACCACTCTACTTCTGGGGAGAGGGCTCTTAAGTAAGAAAAGACAAAAAGGACGTTGTTAGCAAACACAAAGAGTTGCTTATGCTTTAAGTGCAGTAAACATTAGCCTGAGAAATGCTTTTCCTCTAGATTTGTTAATTTTATAGGATGCCTAGGAGGGAGAGGACTGATGAAAAGAGAAGAAAATTGGGTAAAACCAGTTGGGCAATGACATTGGAATCAGTGGATAAAAAGAACTAGGGGATGGTGGAAGGGAGGAGAATGGAGAACAGGGAGGAAGACCAGAAAGAGAAGGATCTGCCAGGTGTTCATCTGCAGTGGACGCTGATGACCAACTATCTTGCTAGGACAGATAAAGTATTTCATTATCTCATAGACTCCCAGCGTGTGTATTCATCATTGTCTAGTATGATTTTCTTTGTACCGATGGATTGCACTTTCCAAATGTTAAGGGCATAGTTATCTTAACCATGAGAGTCATGAGAGGCAAGCAGGTTCTATTTTGGTTAGGAGAGGTGAATGTGGTATGGCGGAGGGTGTTCTAAGGCAGATTGTGGACTAAGAACACCATGAGAGCTGGGGATTTTCAGGCTTCCCATGCTAGAGGAATCCTGGGATGAAGATTTCTCTTTCCCAAACTGTTCCCATGAAGACACTTTCAGCAGCCGTGGCTTTATGCTTGCTGAAGAAAGTGGTCTAGCTGCAATTAAATATGAGGGCTTCAAATTAGAATGGGATTCAGGTTAACCAACTATTTCATTCACACTAAAATATAACTAGGCTGTCGGCCGGGCGTGGTGGCTCACATCTGTAATCCCAGCACTTTGGGAGGCCGAGGCAGGCGGATCATGAGGTCAGGAGATGGAGACCATCCTAGCTAACACGGTGAAACCCCGTCTCTACTAAAAATGCAAAAAGTTAGCCAGGCGTGGTGGTGGGTGTCTGTAGTCCCAGCTACTCGGGAGGCTGAGACAGGAGAATGGTGTGAACCCGGGAGGCTGAGGTTGCAGTGAGCCAAGATCGCGCCACTGCACTCCAGCCTGGGCAACAGGGCAAGACTCCATCTCAAAAAACAAACAAACAAACAAACTATATATATATAAAACTAGGCAGTCAATCAAGTCTGCATGGTATCAAGTTCTTCCCATATTTGATCGGGGGAACTAATGGTCATCTGACATGTGAGGGTACTAGGAGGGTAAAAGATGAAGAAAAGAGATTGAGATTATAAAGCAGAGAAACCAAAGACTTTACAGTTTTGCCCGAGTTTGACCTAGTGATCCTCATTGGTGAAGCAAAAACAATCTATTCAGAAGTCTTTCTGAATTCACTGCTGGTGTTTCTTTTCTATTTGGCATCATATATAAAGCATTTCTTTTAAAGCACATGCCATTTTTTTTCAAAGGGACCTTTTGTTCTCAGATGATCCATTATTTGTGGTATCACTGCAGAATTTGGGACAAATTTCAACTTATATCATAGAACTCCTTAGTGTACTTTATTATTCAATCCCCTCACTCCTTCCCTTATGCCTCCAAACACACTCCTCTTCCTCTCACTGCCAGAGTGATGTCAGAAGATTCTGTAGCAGGTTCTCGGAAGCCTATTGTACAGTAACAAAGAATTCCAGCAGTGAGCTGTGAGTTCTGTCCTTGCTGGCTTTCCCAAGTGGAAGGCTACCCTCATCTTTCACTAATGGCAGACTAGGACAAGCATTACCCAGGCCTGCAAGCTTGTTAAGGACTAGGAACCCAAGCAAGAACTCACCATGCCAATCAAACCTGTTGGGTGGATATGTGGGCAGGTGTTGAAGAACTTTTCTGGAAGAAGTATACACAATCTTGTTGTAAAGGGCGTATGGGTGTGGGAACAATTGGGAATAAGATCCCCTAGAGTTCCTTTACTTTCCGAGTCATCTAGGAATTTGATCAAGTGTTTCATGTTCTTTTGAAACATTTAGGGGATGTTTTCAAAGTTTTCTTTTTCCTAACCTCTTTTTGTCTTAGTCGAGGGGATCCAGAAAGCAATCATGGACCTTGTAGATGAGTTTAAAGATGAATTTCCCACCATCCTAAGATTATCACAGTCTAATCAGGTAATGTGATTTTATAACCTTTAAAAGGAATAGAAAAAATATATTCTATTTTTAGTATCATACCCATTATTTAATGCTTGATTTTGAGATCAGTGATCAAAACTTTAGAAAACACTAATTTTGCCTCAGAAAAACAAATTTCAAATATTACTCATTAAGAGGGGTCTTTGGGAAGCAGAGAGATTGTGGACCAAGAAGTGAGGTAGATTGAGAATTAAGTTTAAAGACATTAACTATGTCATTAGGGTAAACACCTGGCAGTCTCTCAACACTACAATTGCAATGTAAAATCAGAAAAATACCTAGATACACTTTAGCAAAAATCTATGTCAAATCAGTGCAAAACCTTGAGATAAATTGTAACAATGGAAAGATAAATACAACATGGATGTGTGTTTAATAAGGAAAGAAAACAGTAGTATCAATTTAAATAAGGTATACATGTATATTTTTTAAACCTCTGTTCCAAAAAGGATTTGAAACAGATAAAATATTGGGAGTGAAAGAGGAGGGAGGTATATATTTTGAAGAGACATAAAGTCAGGAAAAAGTAACAACTTGTTTAGGGAACACATGTAACCTAATTTACTCAAAGGCACACAGCTCTTAATGGAAAAATGTGGTTCGGTCATTTTGATCATAGTTGGAATAGAATATGCTGTGAAGGTACATGGTACAGGAACAATCCACTTATCCAGAAGTCAGACTCTTGACAATGTCAAACATGAGGTATATAACCAAAACCTGGCAGTTAACAAAAAGCACTCTGATTAACACAGTAATCACAAAGTATACATATTTCATTCCAAAGGAGGGATATTAGAGCTAACTTTAACCACGCCTGCAGACAACCAGCCATCAGACATTTAGTAAACACCTCACTATTGCTTGGGACTGGAGAGAGGAAATACAGAGATAAACACGACGTGATCCTTTCCGCTAATGAGCTTAATCTAATGGAGATAGAGTTGTAAAGGAGTAATTGCATTAGAATATGGTCAGTGTTACATCTCTGTATGTAATTTAGAGGAGTGAATGACTCTACTGAGGAAGGTCAAAGAAGGCTTCATGGAGGAAGCATGCTTTTAAGTTGGGTCCCAATGGATGAATAGTAGTTTTCAAGGTAAAGAAAAGGGTGGGATCAGTGGGTAGGGGCAGGGAAGCATATTCCACTGGCAGTGGGGGTTAGGCCAAAAAGTAGGAAACAGCATAGCATGTTTCCAAAATGTCAAATAAATATAAATTACAGGCATGTAGGATAGAAGGGTTGAGATAGGAAATAGTAGAAAACGGGGTGGAGGTCTTTGTATGCCATGTGAAAAAGACTGGACTTTCCCTTATAGGTAACACAGATATCAGCCACAGAAAGGTTTTGGGCTTGGAAATGACATTCAGTTTGCACAACAAAAATACTTTTTTAGTGGTAATGAGATCCGAATGGAGGCAGAGCTTCTAGGAAGATTTTGTTGCAAATGACAGCTAAGAACAAGGACATTAACATTGGAAATAGAATGGGTTGAGCACAAGAGATATTTAGCATACTTTGAAACTGACAGTGTGGGATGAGAGATAATGTGTAAAGGTTGAGGAAGATTCTGGATTTCGTGGGTGGCTAGAAGAATAGTGATCCCGTTAACTAGGACCAAAGACAAGATGAGGAAGAGCAGCTTTGGAGATAATGAGTTTGATTGGATCACAGTTTAAGGGGTCATGCCACATCCTGTCCAAGCCTTGGAGTTGAGTTATAAATTGCATATGTAGGTTGGAAGCTCAAGAGAAGCCCGGCTGAAGATGTATATTTGGGAATCATCAGTGTATAGTGTGTTGTTATAGTGTATAGTTAAACCATGTCTTTAACTAACTGTAGTGTACATTTAAACCAAAATGGCAATCATCACTGCTCAAGAAGATTGTGTAGTAATATTAGGGCATAGGATAGAACCCCCGACAATGCCATTGTTTAAAGGGTTAGCAGGGCATCAGAGAAAAGAAGAGAATGAAGAGAATGAAATTCTATGAAAGCCATTGAAGTGGAGAGAAAAAGGAGAGAGGAATTAGCAGCAGTCAGAATCCTCAAAGATGTCAAGTATGGGATACATTTTTTAAAGTTATTTTGCATGTCAGTAAAAATTTAGCCAACACTAAGTGGAAAAAATTTTAGTTACCCAGAAAATTTACTTACGTGGAACCCCTCATTCACCAATAATGGTTGCTGTGACTTAAACTCTTATTTAGCAAAAATAATGTTCTGTTCTGAATAGAAGGTAATTGTTATATATGCAGTTGATTCAAATTACTGAGCCTATACATTTCTAAAAATACGTTAACTGGGCCAGGCGCGGTGGCTCAGGCCTGTAATCCCAGCACTTTGGGAGGCCGAGGCAGGCGGATCACAAGGTCAGGAGATGGAGACCATCCTGGCTAACACGGTGAAACCCCGTCTCTACTAAAAATACAAAAAAATTAGCCAGGCAATGTGGCGGGCGCCTGTAGTCCCAGCTCCTCGGGAGGCTGAGGCAGGAGAATGGCGTGAACCTGGTAGGCGGAGGTTGCAGTGAGCCGAGATCGCGCCACTGCACGCCAGCCTGGGCGACAGAGCGAGATTCCGTCTCAAAAAAACAAACAAACAAAAAGTTAACTGATATGCATTCTTGTTTACCATTGAATCGGATGAGTTTTAACTGTCAGGACCTACTGAACTCCCTTAGCTATAGTAGAGTTCTGGGACTTGTAGAATGGACTCCTAGATGGTATAATAGAAGACAATACTGATTTAGCCTGTAAGATAATAGCCCTGGGGGAAGTGGACATTCCCAGTATCAGTCATCATAGGAAGAGGCGGTCATATTGGATACAGGACACCAGAACTTGGAAGGTTGGCCTTAGTGTCAGGGGAAGCAACTGCTTTCTGCCTTTGGCCGGCCCTCTCTTGGGTCTAGTGTTTGAGGAGGGGTGATACTAAAGTGTAGGAATCTGCAGGCACAGTAGTAACATGGCATCCAAGTGCTGGTCAGATCAGCTAAGCATGAGAGGTAAGGCTTAAGAGTTTCTGAGGGCAAACTGGGTTTTCTAATGCTGTATCTTAGCCTTGGCATCCAGTTGCTCCCCCTTTTTGCATTCCCCTAGCCTTGGTATAAAGTCTTTTGAAACACTGGAAACTATTTTGGCTATGCTCTGGAGTAGGAAGGAAAGAGATGGGCAGATGTACATGCCTGGTCAATGTCAAATAGCTCAGGCCAGCACAGTAGTAATTGTTTAGAAGGCTCAGGGTGAATCCTAGGAAGCCAGAGACAGGCATGGAAAACCTTGTTATCGTTTTCAAGTTTTGATTCTCCCACCATTGCTGAAATCAGAGAAACTGGGGTTTTATTTAATAAAAGAAATGGCAACTTCATTCATTCATTTCTACCTTCTGAATAGCCTCATTATCATTAGAACCATAAGCATGGTTTATGGTGACATCAGTTGAATATTGTGATCCCCAAAGATAAAGCTGTGAGTTCCTATTTCCAACTAATTGAAGTAATTTCCTGATAGAACTTTACCCAACTCAAATAGGAACATAATTAGTTACTTTATTTCTCATTTTCAAAACACTTAATATTGCTGTTTTCCCACTATTTCCTTTGAAGAATGTGTTGCTGAGATTGGCAAGAAACTTGAGTAGTTAGGGGATATTATCACATGTTTGAAGTTATTTACCCTTCAAATATAAATTATGTGGAAAACATTACTAATACTCCGTTGTTAAGCAGATTATTTTTAAAAGGTTAGATTGTAAGTGCGGCAAATTTTTTTTATTTCCAGGATGATCCATACTTCCCAAACAGTGAAAGGAATGGTCTTAAAAATTCTTAGAGGGCTTTATTAATTGGGTTGTATCTTAAAATTCTAAATTTTGTGATTAGTATTTAAATCTTCCTCCCCTCCCCCGCGCCACCCAGGCATGTATTTATTTACGAAAAGGCCATCTTGCTGGCCTAGAACAAAAAAAGATTTGATGGGAGTGACAATGGAATTTTTATAGAGGAATATACCTAGAATACAACCAGAATAATGATTACTAAATCGTTCTTCCTGGATAGATTTTGAAGGAAATCTTCTTTTTGAGGCTAGGAAAGTTACTTTTATTTTATTTTACTTATTTTTTTGAGATGGAGTCTCGCTCTGTCGCCCAGGATGAAGGACAATAGCGCAATCTCCACTCACTGCGACCTCTGCCTCCTGGGTTCAAGCTATTCTCCTGCCTGAGCCTCCCAAATAGCTGGGATTACAGGTGCCTGCCACCATGCTGGATTAATTTTTGTATTTTTAGTAGAGATGGGGTTTCACCAGGTTGGCCAGGCTGGTCTCAAACTCCTGACCCCAAGTGATCTGCCCGCCTTGGCCTCCCAAAGTGCTGGGATTACAGGTGTGAGCCATGGTGCCTGGCCAGAAAGTTAATTTTAGAATCTTGGCTTGAGATGATGGCTTCTGGGGTTCAGTTCTTTCCAACCCTTCTGTCCCAACCAGCCCAGATAATAGCCTTAGTATCTACTTCCTTAGTAAAGAGTAATTTTTAAAGGTTTACACTTGCAAATTTCAAAAGATTTCCATATGATGAATTTAAAGTAGTAAACCTTTAAATTATGTACTACAATTGGGTATCTAAAAAATTTTAATTTAGATGCTCATTCTTGGAATAAGAGAAAAATATTTTAGGATAAATACAGTCAATTTTTGTGAGTTTTTAAATATGAAAGATGAATATATCTTTTTTCTGTTATCTTGTACTTAACCATATATACTACAAAATAGAAGTTGTAGACAGGACATATGAGAATCCATGCCAAAAATTTTGGAGTTTTATGCCCTTAGATGTACTTTTCTGAATTCTCTATGCTTTTTTGTTGTTGTTGGTTATTGTTAATGTGTGAAAAAAAACTGCTAAGAAGGCACCAATGATGTTTGGAAATTACCTGTAATGGCATTTAGGTTTCTGAAAGTAATGAGACTATGACTGTCACTAGAATGCTAATTCAATTATATTTTTGTCTTTGGTGAGTTGTTTCTTGTGGAGAATTATCATTATTGTGAAAGTTATAGAACTGTGCACTGAAAACTTTCTGTGTGGTTTCTAATGTAATATTTGGTATTTTTTTGATGTTTCTCAAGATTAATTTGTTTTATTTTCTGATACTCTTCAATCATTCATTCTGACAAAGATAGAGTGCGTATTACATGCCAGACACTACTTTGGCTCTGGAGAAAAAGAAGCAAGCTAAATGGATATAAAACACTTACAATTTATACTCCAGTCAAGTAAAAAACAATGAACAAGGAAAATAAACAATATAGTACATTAGTGTAAGTGTTAAGGAGAAGAAAAACTATAGCAGAGAAGGGATGCAAAATCGAGGTGCAGAGATAGAGAGCACAACTGATGATTTTGGTAGAGTGACCAAGAAGGTCTTAGTGAGAAAGTGATTCTTGAATGAAGATGTGAAGGAAGTGAGGGAGTGAACTTTGGGATGCTTGAGGAATCAAATGGCATAGCTAGTGCAAAATCCCAGACACCTAAAAACTTCGACAAGTTTTTAGGGAAGGGAAGGAAAGAGAAAAAGATGAGGCTGAACAGGTGAAGAAAAGACAACCTTTGTAGGGCCTTGTGGACCACAGTATGTACTTTGGCTTTTACACTGAGAGCAACTGGAAGCCACTGAAGCAGTTGAATAGAAGGAAAATATGATCTGACATAAGTTTTGATTAGATCTCTCTGGCTGGTGTATTGATGAACAGAATGAAAATAGGCAAAGGTGGAAGCAGAGAAACCACTTAGGAGGCAAATTCACTAATCTGGAAAATAGATGATGGTAGAATTCAAATATAATAGACTGGGTGCTGTACTGGGGGTAATGAGAAGTGGTCAAATTCTGGGACAAGGTAGAGAAAGAATTTAGTAAGATTTTCTGACAGGCTAGTTTGACAGATATAGAAGAGTAAAGTTCAGCATTATAATTGCCTATGACAAAGAAATGGGCATGGCTGTAGCAAGAAGAAAATAAAAAAAGAAAAGCAAGATATATATTTAAAGAGTAGAGCTCAAATGGAGAAATCAGTTAAGAAGAATTCTTGTTTACTTAATAGCTCTTTAAAAATTCAGTGTGCATTTGGTACAGTGTACACTGCTCGGGTGATGGGTGCAGCAAAATCTAAGAAATTACCACAAAAGGACGTATTCATGTAATCAAATACCAGCTGTTCCCCAAAAACCTATTTAAATTAAAAAATAATTTTTTAAGTAAAAATTCAGTACACAAAATATGTAAATCTAGGAGGAAAATGAAACATTTGTATCTTTTGGCTGGTTACTTCAATTCTTGATATTTATCCCAGGGAAAAAAATATACATATATAAAGATTTAAAGTCCGGGTGTGGTGGCTCACACCTGTAATCCCAGTACTTTGGGAGGCTGAGGCAGGCAGATCACCTGAGATCAGGAGTTTGAGACCAGCCTGACCAGCATGGTGAAACTCGGTCTATACTAAAACTATAAAAATTAGATGGGCATGGTGGTGCTTGCGTGTATGCCCAGTTACTCGGGAGGCTGAGTCAGGAAAATTGCTTGAACCTGGGAGGCAGAGGTTGCAGTGAGCTGAGATCGTGCCATTGCACTCCAGCCTGGGCCACAAGAATGAAATTCCATAAAAAAAAAAAAAAAAAAAAAAGGTTTAAGTACATGGCAGGGAATTCAAGGGGTTTCATGGGGGGACAGAAATATTGGATGTTGAATATATGCATGACACCATGCACAATGTAGTTATATAGTAGTCAGTCTCTGCCGGAAGTAGTTTTAATAATGCACTGGAGATTACACATCAGTTACTTTTCAAAGGCCTATTTTTCAGAAAAGAGAACCTGCGCAGAAAACATCCAAAATCAGGATGGCTATTGCTTTAGCTAAGATTAATCGAGCAACATTAATTCGTGGATTAAACAGCATATCCAGATCCTCCAAATCAGTGGCCAAACTTCTGCATCCTCAGCTTGCATGCAGACTTTTAGAGCTAAGGGACATATCTGGTCGTCTGCTGAGGGAAGTTAATGCGCCGAGGCAACCCCTATATAACATTCAGGTAAGGGAATACTGCATATGCACAATTCCCCTTTTTTAAGAAACTTTTAAATTTGCAAAACTTGAAAAATAAAATGTGGTGAACTTGATTGTCCAGTGTAAAACAGATATACTTGGATAAGAGAAATGAATGGTTGGGGCTTTTTAAAATATAGTGCAACGTGGACTTTTTTCTACCTTATTGTTTAATTGAACTATATGAAACTGTCCATTTCAAATGGTGCAACTTAAATATATGCATGTAAATTACCATTTATGTTAAATCTAACAGAAATCTTACAACTAGCCTTAAAAATTATTGTGTTTTGTTCCTTTTTCCTCATAACTTTGTTATGTTTCCAAGGCAACCTTTGTTTGACATAATATATTGAGTATATTTACCTATAAATTCAAATTACGTTTTCTACATTCTTATTGAGGCTGTGTTATATTTTGTTGAGGACAACAACTCTTAAAACTTTTTTGGAATCAATTTCTTGCTTTCTAAACTTCGTGGCACAGAACTCAGAGTTTTTCAATTTGGGCATTATACAAAGCATCCTAAATGTCACTACAAAAGATTCAGAATTTTGCAATTCTGGCATCTAAACTGCAGGACAAATTAATTTGAACTCTTTGTTGAAGGAGAAGAAAATGGGGCTCCAATTGAGTTAAACCAAAAAAGAAGATGTATTAGCTCCCATAAACAACCCAGAGCTGTTGAGATTCCCGACATGGCTGGATACAGGTATTCAAACGATACCTTCCGGATCCTTTCTCGCTTTTGCTCAGTGTCTTGGTTCTGCTTTCTGTCTTGACTCCATTATTAGGCTGACTTTCCCCTCATAGTTGCAAGATAATTTGCAGCTGTTCCTTGGCTATAATCTTCCAGGTTCAATTCCAGCAGAAAAAAAAGAGGGAGAAAACCCCTGACCCCAACGGGAATGTCTCCAGGTTCATTCCAAGAGCATGGCTTGTGTTCTCAGTGCTTACCTCTAAACCAAGGACATGAGATGCACTGATTGGCCTAGAACTTGATTACCTGCTTATCCCTAGAGCTGGGGTTGGAGCTCTGTCCAGACCACATGACCTGAGAGTGGTGTGGAATGAGGGAATCCTCAAAAATCTGGGTTGCTTCAAGAAGGTAAGAAATGGATCCTGGATAGCTGAAATCAACAAATACCCTTTATGTTGGAGTCTCTCTTTAATGAAAGATTTTGACATTTCTAGAAATCATCATATATTTCAGCTACAAATTGCCTGAGAGCAGCATTCATAAAAGGCTCTTTTATAATTTCTGATGTCTGAGAAAGTAAAAAATGGTTTGTGTTTGCCAACCACTGGATTCTTTATGAACTACAAGCCTTAATCCTGTATCTTTAGATCACTGAAAATAAACATAGCTGTGGCTCATGCCTGTAATCCCAGCACTTTGGGAGGCTGAGGCGGGCGGATCCTTTGAGCTCAGGAGTTTGAGACCAGCCTGGCCAACATGGCGAAACCCTGTCTCCACTAAAAATACAATATTAGCCAGCATGGTGGTGTGCCTGTAATCCCAGCTACTCAGGAGGCTGAGGCAGGAGAATCACTTGAACTGGGAGGCAGAGGTTGTAGTGAGTCAAGATTGCACCACTGCACTTCAGCCTGGGCAACAGAGCAAGACTCTGTCTAAAAAAAAAAAGAAAAAAAGAAAAAGAAAAAAAAGGAAAATAAAAAGCAAAAAAGAAACAAAGCTAAACCATATTATCTTAAATCCCCACTGAAATATCTTTCTAAACCTAATGTTTTGACTTCATGTTTCTTTCCTTGCATTGTCAAACCTATAGTTTTTTATAGAGGGTTGGCAGAAGAAATGTCTTTTGAAGAATACTTCTGTATTTAATATGAAATAATCTTTAAAGACACAGGTCATTATGCTATTCAGGGTCTTCCTTTTTGCTTCTCTACTAAGTCAGAACTGTGAAGGATCTGAGATCTTACACTACCCACAAGCTAACAAATTAGCCTGCCACAATTGTACACATACATATGCACATGCACACACACACACACACACAAACACACACACAACGAGCCTTGGGTCACGAACACATGGTTTATTATTCACAGCAAAAGCATCAGCCAGAGCAGTATCTTGTGCTGGTTCCCTAAGCTTGAATTCCTTAGGGCAATGTGATGTGGGCCAAATGTTGCCTGTGCACACAGTACGTTGCATCACAGGAGAGAGGAACCTTGAAATCAGGAGACCCTGGGGACTTTTTATAGGGACACTGGCACATCTCCCTAGCCTCCTCTCCAAAAAGATATACAGATGGAGAGACAGAGAGAGGGAGAAAGAGAGAGAGATTAATTATTCATTACCCTGGAATATAAGTACATGTTTCAGGGAAAAAGGAGAGGGCTTTATTTTTAATGGCCTATGACATGTTCAGGGAGGTACATGTCTCTCTAGAAGGATATACTTTTTCTACTTTGCAAGGCTGTTTGCTATTCAAACATGTCCTTTGCTCAGAAGGGCCAATCTGCACAGGAATGAGAGAAATCCATGGAGACTTATCTCCCAACACTCATGAAAATTCAGTGGCAAGAAAAAAATCTGTCTTTCCAGTTGAATTTGTGTGTTTTTATCCAGTAATGAGAACTAAGAGACATAATCTGTTTGCCTTTTTACTTTGACTGATAATGAGTTTCTGAGGTAAATTTAGAGATCAAGTGTGATAACTTATTCCAGGAACCTAAGAAAAACAGGCTTAGGGACTAAGTGACTTGTGTAAGGTCAGGATGTTAACTGTGACTATCTTTTCTGACATTAATTTAAAATCCATGACTATGAAATCTCTTCTTCTTTGCCCTTATTCTAATTATCTTATGTGATCTATATTGCATCTCACTTATAATTTTCTTATGTTATAATTTTAACTGAAACTTGAAAAGAAAAGAACTTCAGAGTTTTGTTTATTTAAAAAAAAAAAAAAAAACCTCTTTTGGCCTTGGTGGTGAAACTGTCCCTCTAGAGAAATTGTGCTTGTTGCTCCAGGGGTTCCAGCAACCTGAGACCAATCTTTATGTTTTTTTCAGCTTAGGATTTCCTGCATCACACTGATAGGGTAAATTCAGATCCCTTTATAAGGGGAAAGCCTGGAATTCTAATCTCTCATGGGAGTCCCACATGGAGACCAGCTTCCTTTTTTCCTGTTCTGGTGGATGCAATTGTTTGAGTCCCAGTTTCACTGAAATTGCAGTTCTGCAAAGGCTTGATCCCCACCTCACATCTACCCAAGTCTCATATCCAGTCTCTGTATTAATACTCAAGCACCCAACCATTATTTTAGGGTCCAGTAACATCTCCAGAGTTCCTGGGATATAAGCTCACACACTTGCTGCTCTGGCTTTTAGTTCCCTTTTTGTTCGTGGCATTGGGGGTGGGGGGAAGGTCCCTTTCCTTTTTGTAAGCTCAATTTTGTATTACATCTTTTGAACTTCATTTTTATAGCATTTCTGGTTTTTTTTTACTTTTTTTAATTATACTTTAAGTTTTAGGGTACATGTACCCTAAAACATTTCTAGGTGTTTTTGTGTGAGATGCTCCACATTAGCTCAGTCTGCCATGTGTATGGAACCAGATGTTTTTCAGCTTTACTTCTTAATATCTTCCAAGTTTTAAGATGATTAAATTTATTGGAAGTGAAATATACTTCTACATTTTTATTTATTCAACAAATAGCGGCCAGGCGTGGTGGCTCATGCCTGTAATCCCAGCACTTTGGGAGGCTGAGGTGGTGGATCACCTGAGGTCAGAAGTTCAAGACCAGCCTGGCTAACATGGTGAAACCCTGTCTCTACTAAAAATACAAACATTAGCTGGGCGTGATGGCAGGCACCTGTAATCCCAGCTACTCAGGAGGCTGAGGCAGGAGAATCGCTTGAACCCTGGAGGCGAGGTTGCAGTGAGCCAAGATCGTGCCACTGCACTCCAGTCTGGGCAACAAGAGCGAAACTCCATCTCAAAAACAAAAAAAAAGTTATTGAAAACCTGATATGCAAAATCACTAGATTAGGTACCAGGGACTCAGAGATGTCTCACCCTTGCCCTATGGACTGTGGGGCTCACAGGCAAATAAGCAGTGTCAGTAGGATGTAGCAAGTGGATGATCAAAGTATGCAAAGTGCACTACAGAAACATCAAGAAGAGACATAGCATTCCAAAGAGTGGTCCATGTAGACATTCTAGAGATAGGATACTGTATCTGAGTCTTGGAGTAGGAATTAGCTAGATGAGAAGTAGGAGAATCATTCCAAGAAAAGAACAGTATATATGAAGATACTGAGGTGAGCGAGAACATGACTTATTTGGAGAACATAAGTAGTTCTGTATGGCTGGAGTGAGACAAGTGAGAACAGTCCCAGGTCAGAGGTTCCAGGGTCCTTGGGGGCTGGGGTTAGGAAGAAGCTTTACGTGGGGAGTATACAGTAGCTAGGGTTGATAATCAGAATTGCCAGTGAGGGAAAACTAAGTTGTAGTAAACAACGTCTCTCAAATCTCAAAGGCTCAGTGAGGACAGAAACAGAACTGACTATGAGGACAATGGCCTGGAGAGTCAAAGGTGCAACCGGAATGTATGAGATGTGGCAGAGGTCAATGGATTGGTCTGTAAATGGAGTGCATCCATGGTACCAGAGTGTGCTGAGAGCAAAGTACAGTAGTATGAGAAGCCGCATCAGACAGAGTTCAGCTTACCCAGAGTGGATTCCAGCATGAATTCCTTTAAGAATTGTCAAACTGCCTGTCTCAGATGGAGCTTTGTGTGGGGAAGTAAAAGGGGTGAAAGCTGGAAGGACCATGCAAGGGGATATGCTTTGTGGATGCATGAAAGATATCACTCTAGGAAAACTTAGCTGTAAGAAGGTAAGTGGCCTGGTTAACTTACCTGAAGGTGTCTTTCAAATATCTTCTGGATGTGTTCTGTCTGGTCACTGTTTTGTGGATGACAAATGATGAAAAAATGCATTTGTAGCTGGAGCACCTTAAATAGCTCTACCAAAACTCTCTATTATATGGCTGAGAATACCAGTGAGGCAGGTGACTTCCTTTGGAAACAAAGAAATAGAGGAACATTTTCATTAGGACACAAACAATAACTAGAATAGTGTTTCAGCTCTTCGACATGGGGAGCTCTGAAATGCAGCATCCATTAATGTTCTTCTCAAGGTGAAGAATGGACACTGGCTCAGGAGCTCCCTCTGCCATCCACCCGGGCCTTTCTGATTGGATGTTCAGCTCTAGAGCATGCTTAATATGTCATAGCGTATTGAAATGTTGTGCCAAATAGAAGCCTCCCAAAGACCCAACCGGCAGGAATGGCCTAAAGCGATTCTAATGGCCTGAGACATGTGCACAGATGGTTGGGGTCAAGCCTTTCCAGCTTGCCACCTTGTTAGAAGAGGGTTCTTTTGTACTTGGCTCTATGGATGCTGAATAAAATTATTCCTCAAACCCCTCCAGGTTCTGCAGGAATGAGACTGCAGTGATAGAATTGTGGCTAGTTCTATAAAAAGCCTCAGGAATGGAAAACTCTTAGTAGAGAATTTCCTGGTAGTTTTCAACATCTCCAGTGCCAGTATTTACAGAATGGTGCATCTGCTTAGCCTTGTGAGTTGCCTGCCTGAGTTGAGTCCGCAGCTGCTCTAGGCTGCAGTGACCTAGATAATCGCCTTGAATGCTGACTTCAGCCAAGACACGTCAGCTCCCAGACATCATTGTTGATTCTGGCAGGCCAATGCAGAGCCACAGGACCAAGAGCTCTTCCTGTGATAGACTCATCCCTATAATGGCATTAGAGTTGACTGTTTTTACTTTGTATGCATACTGCGGCATGGTATAGAATAAGATAGGGACCAAAGTGAAGAAAATCCTCAGCGTTTACAATGCCTGGGCTGTAAGGTGGATCCCAGTGAACTCGTGTTCTTTTTTCAGGATAAGGATCAGAAACTTACCTATGTAAAGTTTCTTCCTTACCCCACCCTCTAAGTTAGACTCCAATTTGGGGTTTAAACTATAAACCTCATAAATATCAGGAAGTTCTGTAGGTCCCACATGGGCCTGCCATGAGGCTAACTTGGCTGGTATAATCTAGACCCGGGGAAAGAGGATATTTCCTAGATAGAACTCCTGGGCTCTTGAAGACATACAGTACTCCTCCACGTTGGCAAAGGGATTAGGACATTTGAGCCTTTACAGGACCACCGGATTAAAAGCTTGTTTAAGAACAATGTTCTACAGAATGTTAACACTGGGGTTAATAAAGTCAGGTAGCTTTCTTTAAAGTCAGGAGTCTTTCCTGTATTCAAAGGTGTTGTGAGTTGCTAAGTAAAGACACATTTGTGCAGCTTTTCCAAACTTAACAGGAATACTTTATTTCCTGGACCTCTCTATAAGTAGCAGTCAGTGTTTCCTGCAACATTTGTCTGAGAGTTAGAACTTCCCCTATGACTCCCCTTGTAACTCTCGTCAGGGTGGTTTTGGACAATGTAAACTACATGGGGCCTGGTAATTCTCCAACCTTCAGGTCATGTATAAGTGAATCTTTACTGCTCACTGTTGGGTTTTTTGTGTGATTTATCTCAATAGTGAAAATAAGATGAACACACATACTTCTTTTATGAGATAAGGCAGTCAAAATTCTGTGGAAAAAGTTGAATTAAAGGTTCAAAATGTTTTTACTGCTCAAATATCCATATATTTTACATGTTTTACATAACCAAATTTAAAAAGAAATATATGAACATAACATTGATACCAAGACATTTTTTAACTCAAATATGCACATAAAGTGAAATTAATATAACAAGGTTGAGATAAAAATTTTGAAATAGGCCAAGATCATCTAAAGACTGCCACTTACCAAATTTCTCCTGTTTTTTCTCTTAGCTTTTACCATACACTATTTCTGCTCAAAGCAAGACAAAAATGAAACAGCATGGTTTATAATATGAAAAACATGTTTTTTAAGTGAATCATAAAGTTGAAAAATGGCTACTTGCCAGGAGCCACATATATTTTGGAGGAAATATATTTTCTTGTTACAGGAATAAAAAGTAATTATTAAAAGCATTAAAATATTTAAATATGACCCTTAAACAATATAAAGATTAATTATTCAGAAGCATACCATATATCAAGTACATAATTTATTTTGAAACTAATCAGCTTTAATTACTTTTAGGTGAAGGACAAAACCTGAGAAAGAAAGATGTAATAAAACAGAAAGAGTAATTTCTCATGTAGACACCCGTACTAGTCCATTCTTGCACTTCTATAAAGAAATACCTGAGTCTGGGTAATTTATAAAGAAAAGAGGTTTAATTGGCTCATGGTTCTGTAGGCTGTATAGGAAGCATGGCAGCATCAGCTTCTGGGGAGGCCTCAGGGAACTTACAATCAAGGTGGAAGGCAAAGGGGAAACCAGCACTTCACATGGCTGGAACAGGAGGAAGAGAGAGAGGTGGGAGAGGCCATACACTTTTATACAACTAGATATCATGAGAATTCACTATCCTGAAGACAGCACCAAGGGGGGATGGTGTTAAACCATGAGAAACTGCCCCCATGATCCAATGACCTCCCACCAGACCCACCTCCAGTATTTGGGATTACCTTTCAACATGAGATTTGGTGGGGACACAGATCCAACCCATACAACACAACTTTTATTTTTATTGTATATGGCCTACCAATGATTGAACATGGACCTCCCACTGTGAATTCATATATTCACAAGCTTAAGAACCTTTTCACTCTGCTAGGAGGTATATCTGCTTTTCTTCCTCCTAGAGAGTCTGCTCTCTACTTGTATATTTGTCTCCGTGTAGCCTAAAAGTGGGATTCAAAGGCATGCTATCAATTTGATTCTTTCTAGAGAGAAAAAGCAGCAGCTGCTTCATTTCCTGGAAACTCTTTCCAGAAGCCAGGAATTCTGGGAAATGCTGCAGGTGACCTATGGAGGGAGTGGGCAGAAACTTTCCCTACCTATCCCTACATCTAGGAGTTAGTACGGCCCGAAGAGAAAGGAGGAAGAAAGAAAACAGCCTTTCCCCAACCCCCAGCACCCCCACCCCCCCACTCTTAGCTACTAGGCTAGATCCTATTCTTGGTTTCCTTGTTCTGTAAATCACTTAAGAGGGAAGAAGGAAATTGCAGTGGGCATTTTTGTTCTGCATTCAGTAGTGGCAGCACTAAGCGAACACTGAGCATACTAGAACAGGATGTACACATATTTTAATAATTTCATTTACAAAATACCATATGTACTTTCAACCTAACATAGAAAATATAGAAAACAAGAAAGAATTTAATTTCTCTGAACCTGTGTTCTTATTTCATAGGTTTGTTAGAGGATAAAATGAGAGAATGCAAGGAAAGCCAGTAGAATAGAACCTAGCATGTAATGAGTGTTCTACAAATGTTAACTATACAAAGCCACATAACTAAATCATAACAGCAATTAAACTTTTGGTGCATTTCTGTCCAAACTTCTTTCTATGCAATGTTAATTGTGTTTAATCATAAAAACATGGGATGTAGAATTTTTAAGCTTTATACTGAAGTATACAGAATAGTGCACAAATTAAGTGTATAGCTCCATAAATTTTCATAGATTGAACACATCTTGGTAAGCAGCACTCAAGAAATCTCATGATGCTGCTGCCTTACAGTCACTAATTCTCACCCTTGCTAGGATAATTGTTTCCTTTTCTTCCAACAGCATAGTTTGGCTTGTTTTTGTATGTTATATAAATGGAATCAATCATACTTGTTATGCTTACTATTTTGAACCTTGATCTTTCTCTATTATTATTACTATTATTAATATTCCCTCTCTAATAAGGGACTATTAATGTCCCTTAATACTACCCATGCACAGACATTTTACTAAAAATTTTACAAGCATTTTCTTATTTTTACAGCAAATCTATGAGATAAACATTAGCTATTATTCTCAATTTGGAGATGAGGGAAACAAAGCTTAGAGGAAAGAATTAATTTGTCCAAGATTTCATTACTCAAGAACTCTGGGGCTAGAAATTAACTACATCTATTTACTCCAGAGTCCATCCCTGTAATGCAGTCCTTTACCACTCTTCATGAGCAGTAGTGTATCCCAAGGCAGCGTAGCTTAATGATCAGGTTAACAACTTGGGCCCTGGAGTACTATTTCCAGTTTAAACCTCACTTTGCTACTTATCAGCTATATTACCAGGGGCAAGTTGCCTACTTTTCTTTTTTCTGCTTTCCAGTTGTGGAATGAGGATAATAATAATACCAACTTCATAGGATTGTTTTAAGAATTAAATGTGAATACTTATAAAGTACATTGAACAGGACCTGGTAGACAGTGCCATGTAAGTGTTCGTTCAACAAAAAGTTATCACGTGTTCTTCAGAAGTACCTTTTATTTATTTATTTTGAGATGGAGTTTTGCTCTTGTTGCCCAGGCTGGAGTGCAATGGCATGATTTCAGCTCACTGCAACCTCTGCCTCCCAGATTCAAGCGATTGTCCTGCCTCAGCCTCCCAAGTAGCTGGGATTACAGGCATGCGCCACCAGGCCTGGCTAATTTTTGTATTTTTAGTAGAGATGGGGTTTCACCATGTTGATCAGGCTGGTCTCCTGACCTCAGGTGATCCACCTGCCTTGGTCTCCCAAAGGGCTGGGATTACAGGTGTGAGCCACTGTGTCCGGCCCAGAAATACCTTTTAAAAGGCTGCATACTATTCACAATAGCCTGGATATAGAATCAACCTACGTGTCCAACCACAGGTGAATGGATAAAGAAAATGTGGTTTATATACACAATTGAATACTATTTAACCATTAAAAAGAATTCTGTCATTTGTGATGGCAAGGATGAATCTGGAGATCACATTAAATGAAATAAGCCAGGCACAGAAAGACAAGTACCACATGATCTCACCCACACGTGAAATTTTAACAACTACAACAACAAAAAGTTGGTACATAGAAGCAGAGAGGAGAACAGTGGTTACCAGAGACTAGGTAGGGAAAGGGGAAAAGGGAAGGATGGTGAGAGGTTGTTAAATGGGTACAAAATTACAATTAGATAGGCAGAATAAATTCTGGTGTTCTACTGCGCAGTAGGGTGACTACGGTTAACAGTAAAATATTATGTATTACAAAATAGCTAGAAGAGAGGATCTTTTAATGTTCTCACCACAAAGAAATGATAAATGCACAATGTGATACAGATGCTAACTACCCTGATTGGATCATTATATAACATAGACTTCTATGGGAACATCAAATTGTACTCCTTAAATATGTACCATTACAATGTGTCAATTAAAAATACATAAAAGGTTTGAAAAAATAAAAAGATTGCATAATATACCACTGAGTGGATATAACATAATTTTCCTAACTATTCTGGAATCATTGTTTTAGTTTTTTCAATGTTATAACTCTTTAATCAACGATCATTGTTTTAGTTTTTTCAATGTTATAACTCTTTAATGAACGTTGTCTAATGAACATTATGTGCATGTTTTTACCATGCATTTATATGATTTTATCAGCTACAGCCTGTACCTTTTGGAAGTTCATCGAAGCCATTAAGTTGCTTGGCTCTTACTTCAGAGGAGCCTGGCTAACTGTCACTTCACTGCTGAATGGAAAGGGAATGTATTTCCTAAAGTCCTCATTTCATACCCTGCTCAAGGCAACAAAGGTGGCCCATGAGACAGTATAACTAAGTATGTTAAGCTGATATGTTTCAGGCCGGTACACCTACTGCCAGAAACTAGAAACACAGGAGAGGCAACTTCATTATTGGTGTTAAACTTCTCTGTGTTTCATAAGAGCCTGTTGCATATGAGCACAGAACATTTTCTGAAGCTTAATGATCATCTAAGGTTAATGCTCGCCTTCAGCAGTCTCATGATTAACATTTCCAAGCAGGTCATTAATCTCTAGGAAAAGCTTATTATTTTGATTGCTGTTTACTTAATTGAGGTTGTGAATAATTAGTAAAGAATGATTACATGAATTTTAACAAAGGAAAGACTGTTTTTCTAATATGCACAGCAGCACCTCCTAGTGTGCACAGTTGGTAATTGGCAAAAATTAGTCATTTAGATCGCAGAAATGCAAGATTTTTATAGATTTGTCACAGGTTTTGATTAGCACAAGAAACTGTCTTCTTGTTAAAAAAGGAAAAATAATTTTCACAATGTGAAAAAGCCCAGATAGCTCTAAAGTAGATGACTTTCTTTAGAAAAAAATAAATTCTCATTTTACAGTAACATTGTACAATATGACATTGAAACACTGAAAATGTTTGTTTATTAAGAAAATCTTTTCTGTTTTTGCAGGTCAGAAAGGGTTCTTTGTTTGAAATCATCTCCTTTCCAGCAAAGACTGCTTTAACTAGCATAATATATGCTTCATATGCAGCACTAATTTATTTGGTAAGTTAAGAAAATTATTAGAATCTAGAAATAAATCTACTTATTTTGTGTAATGTTAATAATACTGTGCAATAGTATACTGTACAATATTTAATGTTACCATTCACAGTCTCGTTACACAAAACAATTTTATATTAAAAATTTCCTTTTCTGATGAGCCAGGTCAATCCACCAAAACCCAGTTTGCTTAAATAACTAAAATTTTATTTTCATAAAGTTTATTACCACTTGAATATTTTTGGTCAAGAATTTTTAGTTTTACTGTTATTTAGCTACAGTTGTTTTTTTCAGCCATTGTACCATGGTTGGCTAAAGTTCAGTATTCTAACATTTGGGGTTTCTCACTTTGGGGAACGCAGGTATTAGTGTATTTTGGATTACAAGTGCTGTGCATGAGAAAAATATAAAAGATTTTTTAATTATAAGGGTTTTATTTTCTATTAATAGCCACTTAAAAAAACTGTAACACACAAAAAGGAAAGTGTACAGCTTAATGAATTATCACAAAATCTATTAAGCTCTATACTACCCAGGTCAAGAAACAAAACATTACCATAATTCCAGAAGCCTCTTTCTTGCCCCTCACAATCACTACCCTTTCCTATACAGGATATCACTATTTTGACTTGTAATACTACTGATAGTTTGACTGCTTGAATTCTATATAAATAAAGTCATATAGTATGTATTCTTTTGTGTTTGTCTTTTGCCCAACACTGTTTTAAGATCATTCACTGCCTGTAGCAGTAGTTTGTTCATTTTCACTGCTGTGTAGTATTCAACTGATTGACTGTATCAACATTTATTTATCCATTCTACTGCTGATGGACATTTGGATTATTTCATTTTGGCTACTATGAATAAGGTTGCTATAAATATTCCTGTACATATCTTTTGGTGAAACTGCTAGGCCATAAGGTATGCATGTGCTGATACCTAGTAGATATTGCCAAAGAGTTTTCTAAAATGGTTTTTTAACAATTAACACAAATCTCAGTTTTAAGTCCAAGTTGCTCCACATCATTACTGACAGTATTGTCAATCTTTTCCATTTTAGCCATTTTTGTGGGCATGTAGTATAATCACATTGTGGTTTTAATTTGCATCACATTGTGGTTTTAATTTGCATCTCCTTGGCTATTAATGAGATTGAGTACCTCTGCATATATTAGTTGGACATTTGGATATCCTCTTTGTTAATTTCTGTTAAAATCTCTTCTTGCTTTTCTATTGAGAGATGTCTTTCTTAAAACAATTTTTGATTTTTACTTTAAAAAACATATTCTAGGAGCCTGTCCTTTTTTGATTATATATGGACAAATTTCTTCTCTTACTCCGTGACTTGCCTTTTCATTCTTTTAATAATGTCTTTTAAGGAAGAAATTCTTAGCCAGGCATGGTGGTGTGTGCCTATAATCCCTGCTACTCAGGAGGCTGACGGGGGAGGCTGAAGCAGGAGGATACCTTGAGCCCAGGAGTTTGAGACCAGCTTGGGCAAAATAGTGAGATCCAGTCTTAAAATAAATAAAAGCATATCATAATTTTAATGTCATCCAATTTATTAATCTTTTCCTTTATCTTACGTGCTTTCTGTGTCAAAGAGAATCTTGACTTACACCTAAGGTCATGAAAATATTCTCCTGTTGTATTCTAGAAGCTTTGTTAGTTTACCTTTCACGTTTAGATTTATAATCCATCTGGAACTAATATGAGGTAAGAGTCAAATTTTTCCCCATGAGTATCCAATTAATCTATTTTTTCTTTAAAAAAAGCCCTTTTTCTATTGTCCTAGAATACTCTTTTTTGCATAAATCAAGTGTCCTTTATGTGTAGGTCTGTTTATGGATTCTCTGTTCTATTCAGTTGGTCTATTTGTCTATTCTTGTACCAATTGAGCACTGTATTAATTACAGGAGCTTTATATCTTAATAACTGGGAGAATAAGTCCTCTTTCCGGTTCATGAATATAATATATCCTTCTACTTATTTTGATATTCTTTAATTTCTTTTAATCATTTTTATGTTTTTTTGTTAGCATTCTTACACATTTGTTAATATATCAAAACATACAAGAAGTCCCAATTAAGAGCCAAGCAGGTGTGTGCATGTGTGTGTGTATGTGTGTGTATGTAAGTTGACTAGATAGTTCTAAAATATATAGGGAAGTGCATAGGGTCAAGAATAGCTAAATATCCTTGAAAAAAGGTAGAACTTACTTTTAAACATATTAATTCAGTTTTTTAAAAACTAAATTTATCAACTATTTTGCCACTGTTTTAAATTTTCAAGAAGTGCTCAATATTTTAAATGTGAATCTTATACAAAATTGGCATTCAACTAAGCTAGGATGTAAATACATTGCACAAAATGAACAGGATGACATGTCTATGGGGAAATAAAAACTAGACTAACACAAAAATTAGATTTCAATTTCTCAAAGGCTGTTGAAATCATCTCACACAATTTATCACGCCATGAACTTTATAAGCAGGTAATAGAAACAAATTTTTGGTGATCTGATAATTGGTCATATATGTATCTAAGGCCTGGGAGAGGTCAGGTTACAATTTTGGTTTTGAAAGCAATATATATGTTAGATGTTAATGTCCTACGAGTGGAACCATATCAAGAGAAAAGACAGGTAAGTCAACAGAAATATGAAGAACAGCAATATTTAAGTGAGCTAAAAAAGAATCCATTTGGGAGACAAGAAGCAACAATCAGAAAGGCAGAAAGAAAATCAGGAGAAATAGTGCCAAGGAAATAGACTCAGGATGTTGTGAGTAGTTAAGTGTCAAATACAAGCAGAAAAAGTCAAGTAAAATGAAGATTTGAAGTGTCCATTAGATATAGTAGTAAAGATGTCAAGGTTAACCATCTCAAAAATGATTTCAGCGGCATAACTGGATAAGGAAGACAGAAATAAGCAGGTTTCAGAGTGAACAGAAGGTAATAACGTGGAAACAGACTCTGGTTTGACTAAGAAGACAGAGTGTGTAGCAGTCAATAGAGAAGCAGATTCCCAGAGATTTTTAATTTTTAAATATTAGGATGGAAGATACTCAAGTATGTTATAAATTGCAGGGGAAGATCCAGTCAAGAGTAAAGAGGCTGAAGAGACAAGGAATAATTGATAGAGAAGATGGTAGGATGTAGGTTAAAAACAAAGATAGAAGGATACTGACCTTGATCAAGACCGTTCATTCCTGAGACTGGGAAAAAGGTGGTTAGAATGTGCACAAATATAATTTTTTGTTGGTGAGGGAGGAGAGAATGTTTCAAATAGGATAGAACTTTCCAACCTTTTTTGCAACATGAATTCACAGAGAATGATCATATTTTGGATAAATGGATGAGGCTGTTTACAGCTAAAGGTCATGACTTTAAAGGTTTCTAGTGCTGGGTCTGGATACATAAAAGTGCAAGTAACAAAGGATATCTGAATGACAGTATCTTAATCGATAAAGATACTTAAATATCTTAATTATAAGTTGGGAGTTAGGCAATTCCCAGGTTTGTACAATTAGGTCCAACATGTTATCAAAGCCCAGGTCTGAATGTCCGTGCTTCCCCCAAATTCTTATGTTAAAATCTAATCCCAAGGTGGTGGTATTAGCAAGTGGGGCCTTTGGGAAGTGATTAGGTAATGAGAGCAGAGTCCTCATGAATGGGATTAGTGCCCTTAGAAATGAGGCCTGAGACAGCTGCCTTGTTTCTTCCACCATATGAGGACATAGATAGAAGGTACCATCTATGAAACAGAAAACCAGCCCTCACCAGACCCTGAATCTGCCAGTGCCTTGATCTCGGATTTCCCACTCTCCAGAACTGTGAGAAATAAATTTCTATTGTTTGTAAGCTACTCAGTTCATGGTATTTTGTTACAGCAGCCCTAAAAGCCTAAGACAACAGGGTCTTTCCCTCTTTTTCTTCTAAAAACTTTTTAGTCCTTAGGTTTGTTGCCTCATGATCAAGCATCACAATACTATCAGTGTTCAAAGAAGGAAGAGGGAGATAGGTAGAGGGAAAAGACAGTCTATATAGGAGGAAAAACTTTTCCAAAAATCCTTTCTGAGTTCCATCCCAGCAGACATATCATTTTATTTCATTAGTTACAGGGTAGCTAATGAACTAACTGCAGGGAAGTGAGGGAAAGTGTCTTGTGTTCCTCAATTCTATAGCAAGAGGCAGGCAAGAAGGAGGCAGGAGGCAGGAGGGCAAGAGGAAGTTGAGGCTGTTCAAGCCTGAGGACCTCAATCCTTTTGCTGTTACCTCTTTCGGAAAACCTTCTAAGTGTTTATAATCTTTTATATTACCTTGAGGCATTTCTTCGGTGAAATAAACTGGTTTAAGTCTTCTCATATTTCATGAATTTTCCGTTCTCACCGCGTGCCTTGAATACTCAGCATCATCATCATCTTCATCATTAGTAAACTTACAGAGTAAGTTTAATTAATGCAGTCCTTAGTGGTTCTGAATTTCTGAAGTTATTTTTCTCTGTTTTATTTTTGACACTCCTCTCCTTAAAGTACTGAGTGGCATATTTGGAGGGGACAGTGGATCACATATTTGCTCAGAAACCACTGATAGTAGCTTACTAAATTCTTACTGATATGTTGATGTCCTTTCATTGCACATGTAAGTATAAGCAAAGTCTAGGGGGAAGAAAATTAAAACAAAAAAACTACTTTGAGAAAAACCATGTTTGAGGACAAATTCCATCTCTCAGAAAATGTTTCATTTAATTACATCAAGAGAATAAAGATGTAAAACAGCTAATGAATTGGGGGGAAAAGATGTAAAACATATATTTATTGAAGCATACTAGGTTTTAAATTGCTCTCTAGATTGTAATGTATTATTTAGAACAATCTCCCAATGCTTATTATATTATGTACCTGAAGGTCCTGAAAAGAAGTGTTTTTTATTAGATTATGTAGATTAAATGACTTTATGTGGAACACTATATTGTATGTTTTTAATCTGTGGTTAGTAGCTTAAAAAGAAACTTCACTTTACAAACTCTTTTTATTGTATAGGCAGTCTGTGTTAATGCTGTGCTGAAGAAGGTAAAGAACATCTTCCAGGAAGAAGAATCCATAAGGCAAAACAGAGAGGAGAGTGAAAATTGTAGAAAAGCCTTTTCTGAGCCTGTGCTTTCGGAGCCTATGTTTGCTGAAGGTGAAATCAAAGCAAAACCTTATAGGTCATTGCCGGAGAAGCCAGACATTTCAGATTACCCCAAGCTTCTTGCTAATAAGCAGAGTAATAACATCCAAGTTTTACATTCTGTGTTTGACCAATCAGCTGAAATGAATGAGCAAATCTGAATACAGGTATCACTGAACAGAACTTAAGAGTTATCTATTTAATGGCACATTTCATCTGACAAAACTCAGAGTCTAGTTTACATATTCTGAATTGCTCTGCTTTCTTAAAAAAAAGAGAAGGGGGCTACTATTAAAATGTCATTTTCTAGTATTTACATGATAGAGTAAATAAAATGAATATTGATGTGGAATATATGTACTGACTACATACTTTTAATGAACAAGAAAATCCATCCTCTGGTAGGTTAGACTTTACACTGTGGTTTATAATATAAGCATATTTATAATACATTAATGTTTTTATTAAAGACTTGTTTTGAGTGTCTAATTCTTTACTTGGGAGGAAAAAAAGCCCCATCAAGATGGTGCATATCAAAATAAAAGAATATTTATTTTTTATATGCAGACTGGAGAGTTTGAGTCTGCCTATTATTATTTTGTAAATCACTTGCAAAGTTATGAAGGATTTGCAATTCACAGATGTCATAAATTTATAAAACAAAATATTACTTACCAATGTGATGAGAAGATTTCTGTATATGAAGACAGTACATGATATGATTTTTATTTCTAGATTTAGAGATACAAATTTAGAATGAAAAATCAAGTGCACACTACTCATTATTGCCAGTGGCTCCTATGAGAAAATATTTCTGTAATTATTCCTGCAAACCAGGGCTAGTTTTTGCCTGAAGAAAGTACTTTGATTTCTTCTGTACACTTTATATTCTGGACATGTGTTAAGACCTGACTGGGCATTGAAGGATTATCACATGATAGAATAGACTGGGATGTACCTTCCTGAGAGATAGTACATTTTCTGTACTTAGTAAGTAGCTGCTACCACAAACAGTATCTATAAAAAGCCCAAGTCTGGTTCGTTGGTTGTCTGAGAAATGAGGACCAAGTGCTACTCATGCTATCCAAACTCCAACAGAAAAGGAAGTGTAATAATATGTAGTAAAGGTAAGTAAGCAGAGTCTTTACTATACGGACCTTACTCATTTACTATTTTTATAATAACCAAGAGAAAGAGTCCAGGTCGGCTCCTTAGAATGTTAAGTATTAGATTTAGATTCTTAATTCTATTCCTTTAAAAATACTACTGTGCTTTGAGACTAGGTTCCAATCTTGACAGTTCTTCTCACTCTGAATTCATCATCTACTCATTTTAGCTATTTCTGGTCCCACATAGTGGTGATTTTTGCATGAGCACTGACCATGCAAAAATCACCACTATGTGCTGCTGATTTTTGCATGGTGGGTGCTTGGGGTGTTATTTTAAATACATTACAACTGGTACGGTATGACCATCATTGCAACTGAATGGTACTGACCATAAATAACTGACATGATAAAACCAGGGTGAACCAACTGAACATCAACCTTGCTCGGGAACTCCAAGGAACAAAACCCTAGATCTCCTCTCTATAATATTTATAGGAGACACTTAGTTGTGCCTACATTCACAAAGTTCTAAAACGTTTTTAAAAATCTTTATTTGAAAATTTCATATAGGCATTCAAAGAACATTGGCTCACTGAATAGGAGACTTTACATCTCTCATGGCTGGGCAGCAGCTGTGTCTGGCTTCCTTACTTCAAGATCTGCCTTGATCACAGATCACTTAACAGTGGTTAAGTTTCTTATTTTCAAGTTCAGCAGGTAAACCTATCTCATTTTTGGAGGCATTTTTTAAGTATAAAAAGTCTGTTATTTAGGAAGGTTGCACAGTTCAGAGGTGAACATTTCAATGTATTTAAACTTTCCTAAAAATGTAAAAATAACAATCAAATAGGAGAGGTAGCAAATCCACAGAGGTATAAATAAAAC
Source organism: Homo sapiens (assembly GCF_000001405.40). Lineage (NCBI taxonomy): Eukaryota > Metazoa > Chordata > Mammalia > Primates > Hominidae > Homo > Homo sapiens. Next base: position 95,656,789 of record NC_000005.10, on the reverse strand, counting down.
AAGAATGGAAGAATGCTGATAACTGTTAAAGCTGAGTGATGGAAGTTCATTATATAGTCTGTTTACTTTGTATATACTAAAACTTTTCCAGAATTAAGTCTGCTACATCAAACAGGGATTTTTTCCTATTTTAAAAATTAAATTTTTTAAATTAAAAAATTTTTTCTTACTAATCCTTAATTTTTACCTATTATTTGTTTACTCCAAATTTATTTTTATCCTTCTTAAACAGAACATCCCAAACCTATAACCTTCAGGTTTCTAATTAATCCAGAAGATTCGATAAAATGTATTCTATTGATCCTGATGATAATCCTTACATCATACTAAGTATGTGTGCTCTTAAACCTCTCAAATGTATGTGAATTTTAAACAGTTGTGCCTATGTTGAAAAATTTCATCACCTTTAAAACTGAAGCAGAGTTATTCTAAAAATGTTTTCAAGCATACACAACATTTTTCATTTCTATATATTTTTTATCAGGAAGAACTCTTAATTACTTTGAAGTCTCCAGTGGCATAAAAATCAGAGTCACACTTAAAAGGTTCATTAGAAAGAGTCACATAAATATTTCCGTTGTCTACTGTCACTGTGTGAATCCTTTGCTTTATTCCTTTGGAGCACCACTTGGGTTTTGCTGATGGATCTTTAGGGTTTATAGACTGGTACAGACCTTCTCCTGTTGCCAAAGTAATTTTGTATTTATGCCAGGGGCAAACTATACACGGTCGTCCATCAAAATCCTGGGGAAGAGAATAACTCATTTAATATTCTGACATGTCAAATGTTCTTGATAGACTCTGAAGAGTCTGCTGCAGAAGAACCAGGTTAAAAAAACAGGTTAGCTTTTCTTTTTTTCCTCCTATGTACAAATTATTCAGCATAAAGCAGATCCTAATCTGAGAAGAGTCATCAAGCTCTTTTACAGTTGATTAGAAAGCCAGTTAGAGCTCTATCAGAAGACTGACATGCTCAGGCAACTAAACCATGTGACTGCAGCTGTGCTGTTATCTATTAGATGTTAATGTCGCCTCCTTGACAGAAATGGGGCAAGGACTTCAAGTGCTTCTATAGGAATTTTCACTAGCTTCTAGAAGAACTGTAAGGTTCAGATATAAATTCAAAAGGAGTTACTAAAGGCATGAGTGCATATGATAATAGAAGAGCAATTTGTGATCCAAAGTAGTTAATTCTCAACTTTTTAACTGTCTTGGTGAAGTGCTTCTCAAACTTTAAAAAACATAGGAAGCACCTGGATCTTGTTTCAATGCATGTCTCTCTGTTTAAATGTAGTAGGTCTAAGGGGTTGGGGTGACAAGATTCTGCATGTCTAAGAAGCTCCCATGTGACACCAAAGTTGCTGGTCTATGGACAACAGTTTGAGGAGCAAGGTCTTCAAGCTCTCATTATGGACTGAAACTGGAGAAAATTCTATGGAACTATTATCAGCTCACACATGTAAGTGGGTGCTTTCATTTTCCCCTCTATATCCAAAAGTGCAGGAATACTGATTTGTACTTTCATAAAACTGTCAGCAAAGATTCACATTTTCATAATTTACATTACATAAAACTGTCAGCAAAGATTCACATATGTGGGTTTGGACAATGGGAAAAAATAGAAAAAATAAACACACATACGTTCTTTAACATGAGGACAGGTGTGTACACTCATCAAGTGTAGAGAGAGTGGAATGCTAAGTTCAAGCTTGTACTTTGCATCGGTTAGAGAGAGAGAGACCAATTTCATGAAGAAACAAGAAATTAGGTGACTAGTTTTGGAATCCAAGGAAGCAAAGACAACTTCCCCCGTTCCTCCTCAGTTAAGACTACAGTGTGGTTTATTTCTTTAAAAATATATTTATACTGTATATTTTTGTTATATTATAAAAATAATATATACTCATTTTAAAAATTCAAATTATGCACAGTGTATACAGTAAAAAGTGAATATTCTTTTTGATGAAAAAAGAGATCTCATAAGACTATTATCATCCTATGACGTGCTTTTTTCAGTCACAAATACATTGTTCACATCTCTCCATACCCATATAGATCTGCCTTATTAATTTAATGATTGCATGGTACAGTTATTCCACAGCATGGCTGTATCATAATTTATTTAACCAGTTTCCGATTGTTAAAACATTTAGGTTGCCTTCAATTATTCATTATAATAAATAATGCTACAATGAATCATTCCTATACAAATACTTAAACATCCGTGCAATTATGGCCATAGAATAGATATAGAGTATAATTGCTAGGTCAAAAGATAAGCATATTTCTCATTTATCTTATGAATTCCCAGAATACTTGGAATTATATTCAAAGCATTAAAATATAGTTCAAACCAATTATAAATTATTTTTGAATATATTTATTTGCTGAATTTGCTGAAAATAAATTTAATTTTACATACCTCTATATCTCCCAAATGTAAAGGTCCTCCTGAGTCTGAAAAGGAATTGAATATTACCTGCAGTCACTAAAAAACTGAAATTTTGATAGTTTCATGGTTTAAAGTTTTACAAATGAAAAATAAAATCTTACGGTAACAGCGAATATCCATAGCATGATATTCTCCCTTGTGGTAGAAAATGACCACTTCTCTATCATGGACAACAGCTGTCATTCTTTCAGATTTTTTAATGTCATCTTCTCTGCCCACACACACAGAAGAATATTCCCTCTTTTCAGGATCTTGTGCAGAGCCATCAAGATTCATGCTAGTTGAACATAAAGAAGGAAAGTTACAAGAAGTATTCACTAATTTGGTTCCAGCTTAATGGAGATAACCCTAAGAATGAATAGTTCGGACTTTTCAAGATTAATGGAGGCACTTTCTGTAGCTATATAAAACATTTATAAATACTAGATTATTATTATTTTGAGACAGAGTCTCACTCTGTCACCCAGGCTGGAGTGCAGTAGCACGATCTCAGCTCACTGCAACCTCCGCCTCCCAGGTTCAAGGGATTCTCCTGCCTTGGCCTCCCGAGTAGCTGCGATTACAGGAGCCCACCACCACACCTGGCTAATTTTTGTATTTTTAGTAGAGACAGGTTTCTCTGTGTTGGCCAGGCTGGTCTCAAACTCCTGACCTCAAGTAATCCACCCACCTCAGTCTCCCAAAGTGCTGGGATTACAGGCGTGAGCCACTGCGCCCGGCCATAAATACTGGATTATATTAAGTAGGTAGTCATTACTTTGCGTTAGAGACTCTTAAAGACTGCCAAAATTAGGGAGGATTCCTCAATCTGAGGCTAGAGTTGTATTAGATTCATTTCAAGGTCAAGAAGGAAATTTCAGAACTTGTAAAACATAGAGATTTAAGTTTCACTATCCCTTTATTTCCTATCAAATTCAACACTAAACAACATTCAGTTATCTGCATTGTTTTCAGCCTTCTGCTGAAAGCAGGATTCTTTGATTGTCTGAATAGTCTTCAGCCTCTTGGCTAAGGTGGTCCACTTGGTTTTGCCTGGAGTACACAGTTGGCTCTTACAGGCACAACCAGATAGCTATTACAGCAAGAGAAGGTGGGTATGAATGAAAACCTTTCATTTTCTTACCTCAGATAAAAACTGGTCACTGAGATGACAGCTGAGCTGAAATGCCCAAAATGCAAATGAACTAGACATGCCAACAGCTTGGGGAAGAGAATTCCATACTGAAAGAAGAGCAAATACAAAAGCCTGAAGGAAAGAAAAGTCTTGGTGAATGTGTTCCAGAAGACTGGAACATAATATGCAAGATTGGTAAACAGGCAGGAGCCAGGTTGTGCAGTGCTGTGTATGGATTTTACTCTAAGAGCAAAGGAAAGCCACTGAAGAGTATAAAGCAGGAAAGTGTGAATTGATTTCTTTTTGAAAGAATGCTCCCGGCTCTGTGGAGAATGGATTATAGCAAAACAACAATGGATGCCCAGAAATCAGAAAGCTAGGGGTCCATGAAAAAGGTGGTGGCTTGCCGCAGGGGGTTGATGCTGTAGGGGATAAAAAGTAATAACAACAGTAGCAGTAGTAGCTACAATTATATTGTGTTAACTATGTGCCAGGCACTATTCAAAGGCTACATTTATTTATTAACTCCTTTAATCCTCCATGTTACTAAAAAGGTATTATTTTAATTTTATAGTACAGAGAAGTTGGGTTGATGAACTTGAATGAAGATGCTACAGAAAAATAAATAAAGATGACTCCCAAGTTTTAGGTTTGTGCAGCTAGGTGAACTGTAGTGCCAAAGACTGTGAGGAGAAAGGCCAAGAAATGAATGGTATTTTTGCAGAATGGAAAATCAAGAGCTATATATATTTTACACATATTGAGTTTAAGGTATCTCAGAGACATCCAAGTAGAGATGTCAAGTCAACAACCAGATATATGAGACTAAAGTCGAGAATTTCTAGAGAGAAAAACTGGGGAGTTTCCAGGTCATAGAATTCTATGGACTCACTTGGAGAGGAAGTGTAGATAAGGAAGAAGGTCTAAGACAATTCCTGAAACACTTCAACATTTAGAGGTCAGGTGGAAGAGAGGTTGTAGAGAGGCAAGATCAGTAGAGTGTCCAATCTATTGCTAATCAAATGAAATTCATTCACAGCTTTCTTCTCTGTCTTATATTCTCCTTGAATTGCAAATAGGTGGTAACCTGGAAAAAAAAAGGCAGGCAATGAGGCCACATAAATTCCAATGCTGGTCACGTCTGTGTACTAAACAATAAATAATACATGAAGAAAACTCGAGGTTCTTAGGAAACTGTCCTGAAACTTTGGTTGTTCTATAAAGAGTTGTGCCTACCCTGTACCCTTTTCTCTTTGTAAGTTCACTTACTCCCTATACATCCACCCTCCTAGAAATCAAATACTGATTAGTATCCAAGTAAGAGCTTATATTCAGAATATAACCATTACTACTCTCTTTTCCCTGTATTTCTAAAGTTTGTCTCCTATTCCACTCTTTAATATCCTTTTGGCCAAATATAGAAATTAAAAGGTGGGAAAAAAATCAAGACTAAGAAATATCTCAATATTATTTTTAGGAACAGGCTTAAGGATTATAGGTTTGATCCTGCCCTTGAATCAAAATAATGACTCAGGCCAGTGGCTCACACCTGTAATCCCAGCACTTTGGGAGGCCTGGGTGGGAAAATCAATTGCCAAGAATTCAAGACCAGCCTAGGCAACATACTGAGACCCAGCTCTACATAAAAATGTTTTTAAAAAATTACCCAGGTGGGTTGGTACTTGCCTGTAGGGTTGGCTGCCTGGGAGGCTGAGGGAGGAGGATCACTTGAGCCCAGGAGTTTGAGGCTTCAGTGAGCTATGATCATACCACTGTACTCCAGCCTGGGCAACAGAGTGAGACCCTGTCTCTAAAAATATTTTTTTAAAAAAAGTTTGCTGTGGAATGCTCAAGATATTAAACACACACTTGTCTACAAATATTTAACAAAATTACAAATCAGTTGTCAACTTCAAATAAATATTCTAACTTTAGGAAGATATTTCATCATCCACACCTTCTTCAAATATAGTAATACTGTAGCATTTCACAGGAGTTAAGCAACATGATAATGTACCTTTCCTTGATCAAAAGGAATCTGCATTGTAATTCCACTCAAGTCTTAGGTTACCATTTTACATAAAAACACATATATCCCACTTCTTTTTTTTTTTTTTTTTTTTTTTGAGACGGAGTCTCACTCTGTAGCCCAGGCTGGAGTGCAGTGGCTCCATCTGGGCTCACTGCAAGCTCCACCTCCTGGGTTCATGTCATTCTCCTGCCTCAGCTTCCCAAGTAGCTGGGACTACAGGCGCCCGCCACCACACCCGGATAATTTTTTGTATTTTTAGTAGAGATGGGGTTTCACCATGTTAGCCAGAATGGTCTCGATCTCCTGACCTCATGATCCGCCCGCCTCGGCCTCCCAATGTGCTGGGATTACAGGCGTGAGCCACCATGCCCGGCCCTATCCAACTTCTTTAAAGAAGGCATTTGTACCTCGGTGTACCTAGCTTAGAATGGTTACACACTATGGGCCAGTCGCTTCCCCAAAAAAGGGAAATTGTTTTCATGGAAGTGCCAAGTGACTTTAGGACTTCTGCAGATAATTTTCCTGATGGCTTCTCTAAATATTTATTTAATCCCATATAACTGATTGGAAGTTTTAAAATGTTAGCAGAAAAAGAGCATGGTTCATTTAAAAAGTAAGTTTATAAAACAAAAATTATTAAGAGTAAAATCTCTGTTAGTGTGTTAGGAGTGAGCTTTAGAAAAAGAGAATTTATAGGTCACTATTTTGAGATAAATAGTTCTGAGCCATGTGGAAGACAGATATCAGATATCATTGTAAGGCTGGGCTCCAAAATTGAGGTGTAGGTAGAGAGATATGTGTGTTCATGTTTGTGCATGTGTGCATGTGTGTTGATGGGGAGAGACAGGGGCTTTGAATTCAATGTATAAAAGAAGGCATTACACACATCAAACTTAGAAAATTATAGGGATGTCAAATTTGTACTCTGAAGTTTGCATTTTTAATTCTGCTCTAATTTTTTTTTAAAGGGGGGGATAGAAAAGTAATACATATGCTGTTTTTAAAAATTATCTCACAATAAAAAAGCAAAAGTTTATTATTTTAAAGCAAAGGCAAAGAGGACCATGGCCATGATTTTCTGGGTTAGCTATGGCTGATAGGAGGCAAGAATACTATCTCTGAATGGTCATCTGGTTTTATTTGATTTTGGCAGGTACTCAAAGAACACAAATTGATCAGGTGGTAGTATTTGCCTTCAGAGTTGGGCATGCAGCCTTCATCACATTTTGTGACAGAACAGAGGGGTAATAAGAAAAATGGGAACAGACAAAGGAATGAACTGAAATAAGGGGAAATAGGCTAAAGAAAAAGAAAAGAAAGAAATGTGGAATTTGCAATACATATAACTGACAAACTCTTGAGATTCAGAATATGTGAAGAACTCCTATAGGCCAGTAAAAAAAGAACAAATAATCATAGAAAAATGGGCAAGACATGAACAAACATTTCACAAATAAAGAAATCTGAATGGCCAGTATATGTAAAGACACTCAATCTCATTAGTAGGAAAACGCAAAGGAAATGCAAAGCAAGGCCATTAATGTGATACTATTTTCTATCCACCAGGCTGACAAAAAATTATACCAAGTATTAGTGAAAATATGGAACTGCTAGTGATAACATAAATTAGTGCTACCACAATTTGGCATTACCTAGTAAAGTTAAACATAATAATAATCCCACTTTGGGTATATGCCACAGAAATGCACACAGGTACACCAGGAAACATACACAAGAATAGTTATAACAGCAAAAAACAAAAACAACACAAAACCCATCAACAGTAGAATGGAAAATGTGTATGTTCATTCAATGGAATGCTGTACAGCAGTGAAAAATGTATCTCTACATCAAGTTGGCTTAATTTCAAAAAACATAATTGCAAGTGAAAAATTTAAAAAGGAATTCAGAGTATGTTTCCGTTTTTATCACAAAAGTGGCAAAACCAAACAGTATATTATTCATGGATATATGTACTATAGGGTAAATATATCAAGAAAAGCAAGGGGATAATAAACATTTCTTAAATGTCTAAAAGTATTTACTTTTTTCTTATAATTAAAATTATTCTTTTCAAGATTTAAGTTGTATCCTAATGTATATTTATGTAGCAAATGACCCCAAACCCAAGAAAAATGGAACAAAATTGCCCTTTCTATCCTCAGAGAATGTGCCTGTGCATAGGTCATGAATTAACTATTTGAGAATTTTGTACAGCTAATTTCAAAACTTGGCACCAAAGGAGGAAATAAATGAATAGTTGTTTTCCTCCAGGCCAAAAAAAAAAAAAAAAAAAAAAGCACTACTATCAAAAAGTAACGAAATACAAGAGATGTAGTATAATATCAAAAGTTAATTATGTTTTCCCAACTCCCAAATAAATGAGAACCAAATACAGGTCTTTCTCAAATTTGAGTCACTACAAACTTACAGTTTTTGCAAGGTTTGCCTCCAACCCGACAAACTGGTGAACTTTTACGGGACTGATAAAAAAGGAGCAGAGAAGACTGGGGCTAAATGATAAAGGTTTCAGAGAACTATGATTATGGCTGTGCATTTTGCTTAGAAAAGTATAATTTTATATGTCAAATAATAGTTTCCTCTATGTATCTTAAATGGTACTATTTATACTATTTGAGGACTTTTTACATTTAACACCCATATTATTCTTACTATTGTGAATATCATGATCCATTCACACAATAGGGAAAGCCCACGTGTTCACCTTAATTATCGTTATTTTGATGAACTATTCATAAACTCCCAATATGTTTCGATTTTAAGTCTACTTTAAGATAATAGAATCTTAACTGAATGAAACAGAAAATTAAACAACTCATACAGTTTGACGGCTAGTTGAAAACATCCCCCTGAAAAACTTAGTCGTTGTGTTTCATGTTCTCTTCGAGAAAAATTTTTGGCCTGTCCCTAAAATTGGTTTCTAAAGGTGCTAACTCCATATAAAATTACAAATTAGCTAAATGGATACTCGGTCACTATTAGATTCCTTTCCAACAAAGGAAATAAATTCAAGTGGAATTTAAAAAAATATTTAGTGTAACTCAAATTTCCACAAGACACGGGAGATAAAAGAAACATGAAGTGAAACGTACTTACTTGTCACTCGTCTTGAACCATGACTAAGATGCTTTTACCAAGTGTGGAAACTTTGCCTACACATTATCAGAATGCTTATCTCAAGTATGACACCCTTGCTTTTACATGCAGGGAAGAGAAATGCCTTAGAGAGTAGTTTTGGTATCTCTCTGAATGGCAGAATAATAACAGATAAAACTAGCTGTCCTTTAGTAAATGCCTACTGCTTGGACCCTTTGAATATAATAGTTCATTAGTCTTCACAAAACCGCCAACGGGTAGGCATTAGTTTTATTCAGGTAGCACCCACGTTTTTATAAAAACATGAGGCTTGCAAGTAAACTATCCTGAAGACACAGAAACCTTTTAGCAAAGCAAATATGTATATTGGTGATATATATAGTATTGATATTTATATTTGTCACCAAAGATGGTCCTGAATTAAAAAAAAAAAGGAACGCTAATGTGCAACAGCTATGTTCACGAATGTTTACAATTGAACGCTTGCCCAATAATTTTATATAAAGTCACAGAGCTGCTCTGGAAATCAGCACCATCGTATGATGTTGAATTGTGATCACGAGTGAGCTAGACCTGGGTTTGCATCCCAGTTCTGCGTGATTTGGGGCAAGTTGCTTAACTTCGCTGTGCTGCAGTTTCTTTTACTTTAAGAAGGGCCCGCCACATAGGGGTGTGGGTAAAGCACATAAATGCTTTAACACATGTCAAATGTTTAGAGCAGGCCTAACCGCAGAAAACGCTCACAGCGCGTTAGCTGGCACCTCTAAGGTCCATCCAGCTCTGGCAGTTATCCTGCCTAACTTCAAGTTGTGTTTAACATTTCGGTAAAGACCGCCTGCAGTTCTGAGACTGCACGTGGCTGTCCAGGTGCTGCAAATTCTCGACACAGACTCCAGGAGGCGAGTATCTCCAGGACGGCCGGGGCTGCGGAAGCCCTGGAGCAGCTTCTATACTTTAGAGCTTTCATGGCACAAATGCCATGAAAGCTTGTTAAAAACGACCCGCGTACCCCCCTTAGGTGGCAGGTCTCAGGTGTGGCCCAAGTTTCAAGGTGAACAAGCTCGGTGAGTCTCCTGTGCCTGGGCGGAAGCCCGCCTTGGCGGGTTAACCGTTAACTAACGCTGAACCAAAACCCAAGAGGGCCTCAGGCCCCGCAGCGGCGCGGCCACAGCCGGAATGAGGAGTCCACGCCCGCAGCCCAGCCGGAAGCAGCTGGTCCCGCCAGCCCGCCCCCTGCGCGGCGAGAACAGAACTTACTGTCCCCGAGTCCTCGCTCCGCCTCCGCGTGACGCTACTGCACGAGCCAGAGCTCCAGACGTGCGCGGCGCCTCGACGGGGGCGGGGCGAGGCCGTCCACGTGACCCAAGAAGGCCCGCCCCCGGGACCGCCTCTATGGCATTGCCGGCAGATGACCCTGGTTGATAGAGATCTCTGGCCAACAGCGCCGCGCCAGCACCTTCAAACTGGCAGGCATACTCGTGTACTTGACAAATGTGGATAGCATCAGTTTACTTTTTAGTTGTTTGTTGATCTCATTACATTTATTCAAATTTTAGATGCGCCCAGCGACTTCATTCAGTTATTTACCCTATAAAAATATTTGCAGAAGGTCGTCGCGATGCTGGTAACCCATGTATAAGGATGTTAAGGCCGGGCGCGGTGGTTCACGCCTGTAATCCCAGTACTTTGGGAGGCCGAGGCGGGCGAATCACCTGAGGTCGGGAGTTTGAGACCAGCCTGACCAACATGGAGAAACCCCATCTCTACTAAAAATACAAAATTAGCCGGGCGTGGTGGCCCAGGCCTGTAATCGCAGGTACTCAGGAGGCTGAGGCAGGAGAATCGCTTTGAATCCAGGAGGCAGAGGTTGCGGTGAGCCGAGATCGCGCCGTTGCACTCCAGCCTGGACAACACGAGCGAAACTCCATCTCAAAAAAAAAAAAAATGTTTATTGCTGTGAAGTAGTGAAAATAGCTGAAGTGATAACACGGAGGAATGGTTCAATAAAACACAGCACAACAGTACAGACATGTGAATTACTTCGTAGCTGTGTACTGTATACTCAAAGGACAGGCCCATCATGTAATGAATATTAAAGGCAAAGCGTAGAATACTATATATGGTGTCCTCTCTTTAATGTAAACAATTATTTTTTGAAATACAAACATGCAGGTATGTACATAAACTTTTTCTCGAAAAATCAAAAGAAACAATAGTGGTTGCTTTGGGAGGAGATGGAGAGTTTTCACTTTCATATTATGAACTTTGCAATTTTGCTTTTTTCTCATTGTACTTCCCTGAATTGACAACAACAACAACAAAGAAAACCACCAAAACCCTCATATTTGTGTTCCGAGCTGGGAAACTAGATGAGCCTAAGTTTTTAATTTCCTTGACTACTTTCCAGTGCAGTGATTCTTAACCCTGGCTATGCCTTAGAGTCGCTTGGGAGTTTTGAAAAGTCGTAATGCCCAGTCTGTATGCCAGACCAACAAAATAAAACACAGATTATTTGGGGTGGGAAGGGAGTGGGCAGATTCAATGTATGTTTTTAACTTCCTGAGTGATTCCAGTGTGAACCCAAGGTTGAACACTACAACTTGTATTTAGTATGGTGACATAGTGATCTCAGGCTCTAGGGTGGCCCAATGAACTGGGGCAGCCGAAACCCAGGAACTTTGTCCATTTACCTCAGTGTGCTATATAAATGCCATTTTTTAAATGAGCCTCAACATGTAAGAAGTTGAATAGCTCAGAATAATTTGTTTCCAGTGCTAGTTTCTTCTGTTTTTTTTCTCTTCAATACAGTTTTATGGTGATCAATAATATTTTATTGGGTCATTTCCCTTTTGGCCATTTTTTTCACTGACCCAAACACAAATTAACTATCTAGTTTTGATGTATCAGTTATCAAAGATATAAAATATATTTTGATTTATTGTAATTTCCATTATCTGTTAGTCATCCCAAATGATTTTATTGGCACATGGAAGGTGTTAGTAGTCCCCAGCTTGTCATCGAAGGATTAAATAAGGTTTGCCATTTTAGAAATCCTTTTTTGCTTTGTCATATTCTGGGCATTAAAAAAGGACACATCTTAGATCCATCGACCTTAAATTTGATATTGAATAAACTGAAGACCTCAGTAGTTATACATGCATATACACACAAGTAGGATGAAAGAAGAGAAACTTTCTTTTATCTCTACCAAAAGTATTCATATGGTTAGTCATGTGATGTTTGGAAAGCTATAATGGAGGTCAGAATAAACTACCCTTCTCCACTTCCCAAGTGCACACACACACAAATGCACAAAACCATTCACACACAGGCATGCACATTAGGTAACAGCAAGAACCCATCCAGTCTATTTGGAAGTCATTATTGTTCAGAATAAAGTTCATAATTTCTACTGTTATTTTGCCTTTTTTTTTTCTTTAATAGAACAATGTTAGCAATGCTACCACTAAGTTTCACCTGTGGCCATCTTAGGGCAGGTACTACCTTTTCTTTCCTTCCTTCATTTGTTCTTTTAGCCTTTCCTTTTCCGCGCTTCTAACTTTGGCCTATTAGTGACACCTAGTGGTTCCTGTGGCCAGCTTTCCCCCTGATTTTGGCTCTCAATATCTTCATGTGTGGTTTCAACTGAAAGTTGTGAGCCTAGTCCCTCTGCCGTGAGCATCAGGCTGTTTCTAGGCAGACTTTTCAGGCACCAAGACTCCCCTCTTAGAGAAGTTAAAAACTTGCCTTCAATCCTAAGCCACAATCTGTCTTGACTGCTAGTGAAGGCACCTGTGTGCTGCTAGTTTCACTACAGGGAAGTTTGAAGGGTGTCCACCAATCTGGATTTCCTACTCCTTCACACCAGAAAAGGGTGATAATACTGCCCTTACTAGGCCCTGGAACTCAGATTACATGACAGTGAGTGTGGCTCTAAATACCACCTATGTGCTTATGACTCCTAAATGAATGTCTCCAGACATACGTTTGTTGGGGATGCCTACTTGACATTTCTATGGGGCTATTGTGGCAGAAACAGTGGTGTTCACCAGATATCCCATCAACTACCCCACATTTTCCAGCTCCACTTACAGTTTTTTGCGGCCACATGGCCAGTTTTGAACAATGGGCTGTAGACTGAAGCATAGAAAAGCTGAGATGAGACTTCTCCAGTTGCCTCTTTCTCTGTCATAAGAATTAACAACATTCTGGATGGTGGAGCCTCCACCAGCCTGGGTCCCTGAGTGACTATGCAGAACAGAGACTACATCTCCCCACCAATTTCCTAACTTCCACTAGGCCGTGAAAGTCACATAACTTAAGTGAGAAATAAATTTTTATTATGTTAAGGCCCCTGGAATTTTAAGGTTGTTTTTTATTATAACATACAATAGTTTAACCTGATAATTCATAGCTATCTCTAATTTCATTGTGTTCAAAATCGAAATACTAGTTCTCTCCCATAAATCTGCATTTCTTTGTCTTCTCCATCTCTATAAGTGACAACACTGTCCATCTTCAGGCTTAAGGGAGAAATCTGCATGTCTTCCTTGACTCTTCCCTTTTCCTTGTCGCACCCCTTCCTGCCCGTCTGTAGAGAAAGGAGTTCGCATAGCTGACCTGAGACTGCTATCCTTAAAAAGGTCTGCTTGTAAGGTTGGCCCTTCGCTGACATGTGAGAACTTGGCAGGTAAACAGTCCCTTACTGTCGTGCCAAAGCCCTATTAACCTCAGTAGGAAAGGAACCAGGTTCAAGAGGCCGAAGAAGAGACCTAGAGCCAGCAAACAAAACATGGTGTTTTATTAGGTGCTTACAGAGTCCAGTGGTGGTGGGATGGGCAGGAAAACTGCAACCGCCTGCAACCATCATGCAGTTTATATGGTATTTTCACTTTATACCCTCCCCCTAACAATCTCCACCTGGCAACCTTCATGTATCCCAAAATTCAGGGCCTCAGTCCCCTATATTAGATGTTTCTCATAGATAAAGAATGACTCTTCAGGTTAGCTACTCCCAGATTCCCTAGCTCAGAACATACATTCAGGTGCATCTGCCATATGGGGTCATTCTGAGGGTATGCATAAATTATTACTATCAGGTGAGTTTATCCGACACCTACACCTACACATACAAAGCTTTCCCTAAATAATAAAAGTGATTCCCTGTGCGTAAGCTATTTGTACAAACAATGCACTTGCTTTTCCTTCTGAGATTCTAGAACTTGGTACCTGCTAGGCAGAGGTGCCTGTGACCAATGTCCAGTAAAAACTCTGGCTGCTGAGGCTCAGTCTTTCCCTGGCAAAAACATTGCAGGCATGTTTCTACATTTTCATTTCTGGAGGAAGAATGCAGTCTGTGTGACCCCTCGCGAAAGGGAGAACACTTAGGAATCCTGCACACGAAGTCTTCCATGCTCTGCCTGAGTCTTTTTCTTTACAATCCAGCTGTGTATCCTTACTACGTTTCTGTAATAGCGTAACTGTAATGAGTCCCAGAATCTAGTGAATCTCCAAATGTGAAGGGGGTCTTAGGGACCCTTGATATCCCCCCATATCTAATCCAGCACTGAGTCCTGCCAATTCTTCCTAAAATTTATCTGAAATCACACCGCTTCTTACCTTATCTGCTATCACCACCCTGAAGGTACCATCATCTTTTATTTGTGTTGGACTTTGAGAGGGCCCAATAACACCTTTCTTTTATTTTCTGCCTGAGTTTGGAACCAGTTGAGAGACACAGAAAGAGATCAAGGTGTGAGCTTTATTTAATTATGAACGTCTCAATTGGGGTGGCTTAAACATGCAGCCAAAGGGACTAACAGCCTCCTGAATTAAACTTATGTATCAAAACTCTCTTAAAACTGTCCTCTCTAGCGGACAGACTAGATTGTACCCTCTCTACAGGTACACAAATCTGTAGAAAGAAGAAAGGAGCTAAGCTGAGCATACCAGGAGAAGTGAGTGAAGGTTGGAGATTTGACTAGCTGAAACACTTCTTGTTCACTGCTGATTTTTATCTTCCTGGTGGGACTCCAAGTCCTGAGCATTAAGCAAATGATACACAGCTGACGTAAGTGGGGGTGTGGAGAAGAGAGTCTGATCAGCAAATACCACCGAACCTACATTGAGCCTGAAGCAAAACACTGGCCATTTGTACCAAGCCAGGCTTAGCAAATACACACAACAGAGCTATGTGGGCCCAGCAAAGGCAAACCCCAGAGAGCTTTAGGTGACGTGGGCCTCGGGTGCAAGCTGCTGCTCCTTGACCTTCAACAACATTCAGAACATATTCATTCTGCTACACTGAGTGTTAGCAGAGATAGGGAGGCCACAAAGACCTAAGAAAGCAGGTATAACTAAGACAAGGTCTAAATTATGTCTTTAAGGACTTTGGCCTTTCAGACAGTAGTGGGTAGAGTCAGGTTTGCTGCAGTTAGAGGTAGTGATATTGATGAAACTGAAGCTTCAGGTTCCCATATTTGCATGGGGCCTTCCAAGATCCTGAGGTCCTGAGGGACACTAGTAATGTGTTCACATGGTCATATGCTCTCGCCCTCTCACCCCTACCCCTCACATATATAATTATATATAATTTGGTAACAAACACAAAAATACAGAAAAATACAGGGAAACTCTATTCCCAAACGCCCATTTGAGAGTATAGTACCAATCTGATGCCCCGTCAGTCCCTAATGCTTTAGTATGTATTTTCTCCAAATCTGGACATTCTTCTACATAACCACAATACAACCATCCAAATCAGGAAGTTAACACTGACACACTACCATCTAATCCTCAAATTCAGTTCAGAATCAAGATTGTATGTTTAGTTTTCATGTCTCTAGCTTTCTTCAGTCTGAGATATCTCCTTAGTCTTTCTTTAACATTTATGATATTTGCATTTTTGAAGATTACAGGCCATTCATTTTGTAGAATATCCCTCAGTTTGAGTTCATCTGATGTTTCCTCCTGATTAGATTCAGGTAATGAAGGCACATCACAGAGACTGGACTTTGAGCCTCTGTAGGCTGCCCCTTGATTCCCTTCCCACTGGGCTTGAGCTGGCCGTGCTATGTCACTACACCATGTTGCCATCTATCCCACTAGGGCTCTGACACTCCTCTGTGAGCCACCTTGGTCACTCCTCCTTCTCATCCCCCTAGCCAGCATGTGTGTCTTCCCCGCTCTGTCCCACCTACTGGCTTTAGGACTGAATTGTTCAGAAAGGAGAAAGAAGACAGGGAGGAATAATGATAATAATGTTTTTGTAAAATGTGTAAAAGCAAAGTAATTTAACTTCTGTGGATCAAGGCCATTGTTTTTCTTCTGTCACTCAGACATTTTGGGGACCTGGCTAAGGGGCGTCTGAGTTGGAAATACATTTAGTTTGGTTTTAGTGGGATATAGTTGTATGGTTTATAGCTTCCAAGAATTCTCCAGTTGCCCACTGTGGTGACTCTCCCTGTATACCCAAATGAGGGTGAGGGCGAGGGTTCTCTCAAAATGTGAAGGTGGGACAGTGCCCGACATGGAAGTATGTGAGTCCTAGAGCAGAAGCCAGATTTGAAATGGATGGAGCCAGAAATTAGGCTGTAGAAAATTCTATCATCAGATGTTCGGTAATGTTGTAAGTATGGGATTCTGTTCTCATTGACAGTACACATGAAATGTGCTTAATAATGACATCATGTAAACTATAAATCCACCACGTCTTTTTTGATGGGAATCACGTGAAATAGAATTTATCAGAACTCCTATGTCTAAAGTACACAAACCTGTACCGAGTCTACAAACTAAGTTTGTTTTATGCTTCCTATCAATTAAAAAAAGATTAATACTGTAGGAAAGATTGAATTATCTATCTGTTCCATTTATATAAAATATTATCATAAAATTATTGTGTGAAGGGATGACTAGAGAGTAAGTAGACAAGATTGTAGACAAAAAGTATTATAGAGGTATGCCTGGCAATTAATGTTTGCTGTTATGGCCATTTTAAAATATTTGTATTTTTTGTGATCATTCTTTCTAATTAAATATTCGCTTTTACATATATTTTTAAATGTATTGTTTTGTATCTTTTTCTTAAAGAGAACCCTTCCCCACTTCGTCACCTAAATCTATACCCAGCTGCATTTAAAATGTAAGGCGGCTGAGCTCCGCGTGTGCCTAACTGGAAATTGTCTCTGTGGGGTTGGGGAGGCAGCACTGCTTCAGATTTCATTCTGCCTTCTAGGCCAGAGAGGGAACTGTGGAAGGACAAACCTTGGATTCCTGTAGTACGTCCACATGCTCAAAGTCACTCCACATCATCCATGGAGTCAAGAGAGCTCTGGAGAAAGTGTAGCTCAAGGCAGATTGTTTAGCCTGCCACTGAAAACAGCCACTGAGGCACAGGATTGAAAGCATGCTCCCAAGAGAGCTCCATGTCACTAGATAGAGATCTTGCTCAATTAAGTACAAGGGCTCAGAATGGAAACGGCGATGAAGAGAATTTTAATTGGTAAGACGTGAACGACACTTGGAGACTGGGGCCTCCACCTTTGTAAATTTCTAAACTTGTTGGAAGGCAGAATGACTATTGCCCGTGTCTATGAATGGCTCTCCTTCTGCCCACCCGTCCCCCAGATTTGTTCAGCACAATGCCCAAATTAACCTCTTATGAAAAGATTTCTCCCAAATAGTTTACCTGCACAGAATATAGGTTTGGATTGCCTTCACTGACTGACTGACAGCCACCCTGAGGAAGTTGAGACACAGAGTCTCTCCTCTCAGATTCTAAGCCTATGCTAGAGTTTTTGGGTTCTAGAAGTACATCTTTATTTGGCAATTGCTCCAGGGACAGAGAATGGTTTGTTTCCTAACTTTGGTGGGTAGGTGAGAGGCTAGTGCTACAATAATGTTCTGGCTTCTGCTGAGACTTTTAACACTTTAAAAGAGTGAGGCTCCTCAGAAAATGGAAAATGAACAAATACAGCTTCAGAGATAGACTGTAGCTGCAGCTGCTTAAGGCTTTAGGAGCACCCCCAGCTGAGGCTATGCAGAATCAGAAACAGGAAAAGCTCTGATTTTTTTCGTAGAAGTGCAGAAAATTTTGATTTTCGAACTGTGACCCTTCAGATTTTGATAACTTTGGGCTTTACCTTGCAAGAGAATTTAATCTCTGAGCCTCAATTTCCCCCTAGACATTAGTTTAGAGCCCAGATGTGATGGTTTTGGTTTTTGTTTTTTAGTTGTTGTTGTTTCATTTTCAATGGGGCCCCTGTAGCCCCAACAGAGGAGAGCATCCAGGAGTGGGAGTCAAATTGAAGTCCTTTCACATGAAACTCAAGGGGTAAGGCATGCGTATTTCCATCTGATCCTCTGCTAGGGCTGGTGTTTCTGGCATGTGTGTGCTTCATTGAGTGTGGAAGGTTATTGTGAAGATAGCAGAGGCTGCTAGAAGGTGTCCATTTGCAGAGTAGTTTTGCCCATTGAACTTTAAAGGCTCTGAGAGTTTCTGCTGTAAAGAAACCTGGTTGAGAAGGGAAGAATAAATGAGAAGATGTCAAGGGAAGACATTCAGAAAAATCCAGAATGTGGAATATTCTATTAATACAAGACAACTGGCTTGGTCTCATAAAAAACACAGTACTCTTTTTAAAAAGTTCAGGAAGACTGTTTTAAAATAAAAGGCACTAAACAGACATAACAATCAAATGCAATGTGTGAACTCTAATTAGATTTTAGTTCAAAAGAAAAAGTTATCTATACAAGTAGTATTGAGAAAAAAAGGGAAAATTTGAACATGGACTGGGCATTACATGGTATTATCCCCTTATGGAAAATTATTGTTAGTTTTCTTAAGTGTTATAATGCTTCTATGGTTATGTAAGAATGTCTTAGGAGATGCATGCTCAAGTATTTGGAGGCGAAGTGTAATGTTATCATGAGTCTGCAACTGATTTTCAAGTTATTCACCAGCAACAACAACTATATACATATATATAAATGAAGATGGCAAAATGCTGAACTTTAGTGGTTAATGTGTGGGTGTTCTTTTGTGTTACTGTTAGCTTTTCTGTAACTGTATAATAAGAAGTTAAAGAAAAAGAAGCGTATTTAACCTAGTGTTCCAAACACTTGACTATGAAACTCTTTGTTCCCCTTATAATAACATTAATACATTAAGCATCTTCTGCTTCTTAGAGTACACTCTGTGGCTAGGGCAAGTTCTTAGTAGCTATATTTAAAAATATACAATAATGATAAAAGCTAAGTGAAAAATAAAAATCTTCTTGAAAATTCAAAATGCACACTAAAAGCCCATCTCAATAACTTAGAAAGAGCAGGTCTAATGCTCTTGACATAGTGGTGTGACTTCATTGACCAGACAGATGAAGGTCAAAGCTTGCACAATGATTCCTGAATGTCTAGTAGGCATTACCCAAAATGTTTCTCTTAGTATAACCTCAAGGATGACGATCCAGGCTAAAGGTTTGTTTGTTTGTTTGTTTGTTTTTGCTTTTGTTTTTGTTTTTGAGATGGAGTCTCGCTCTGTCACCCAGGCTGGAGTGCAATGGCATGATCTTGGCTCACTGCAAACTCCGCCTCCAGGTTCAAGCAATTCTCCTGCCTCAGCCTTCCAAGTAGCTGGGAGTACAGGTGCACACTACCACACCCGGCTAATTTTTATATTTTTAGTAGAGAATGGGTTTCTCCATGTTGGTCAGGCTGGTCTCAAACTCCTGACCTCAGGTGATCCACCCGCCTCAGCCTCCCAAAGTGCTGGGATTACAGGCGTGAGCCACCACTCCCGGCCCTAAAGTTTTAATCATCTGTATACTTCTGTGCTTAAAGAACTACATGAAATAATAGATCAGTTAGAACACTCTCAGGAAGAGATGTAAAGAAAAATTTGCAGGCATAATTGATGCAAAGTACACAGAATAAGATTAATAAAATTATTATTTATACTTTTAATCTGAATCCATAGCATTTATAAATGTGTATCATTTGATTTCCTTCAGTGGAGATTTGGGGATGTATAGTTGATTTGGATGTCATCTACTTTCTCTTTTTCTGGTAGAAGTTTCTTTTAGGGAATTCCTCTTGGGCAACACTTCTTCTACATGGTCTAGGTGGGCCACATACACACCCCTGCCCCCAACCTTTCATATACAAAGAGTGTACACATAACGCAGATCTGACCATGCACCCAATTCAGTGCAGTCAATTATAGATATTTTGCTTAAATTATGTGAAACAAGGCGCTTCCTTTCTACTGGCTTCATTAATCTGGCTGTATGTGTTGTTGGAAGCCCCTTCATCACTAGGGAGGTAGGCTGTCTAAGAATGAAGCCAACCCAGAGCAAAGGAGACCTGAGAGATGGGGAGAGACGGATTCCTGATAACATATTCTCTGCACCTGGATCCAGCTCTGCCTGAAGCAATTTTATGTTCTTGGACCTTTTGATTTCAAGAACCTATAAATTTCCTTTTGGTTTAAGTCAGGTTGACTGGATTTTCGTTCATGACAACTAAAAAGTCCTGAATTATATTAGGAAAAGATAGAAAACTCTCTTCTATTTTCCCCTTAAAGAGTCACTAAATTTGGGCCAGGTGTGGTGGCTCATGCCTGTAATCACAGCACTTTGGGAAGTTGAGGTGGTAAGATCATTTGAACCCAGTAGTTCAAGACCAGCTTATACAACATAGCAAGGCTCTGTCTCTATAAAACATTGGAAAATTAGTCAGGCATGATGGTGCATGCGTTGGTGACAAGCCAGGTGCGGTGGCTCATGCCTGTAATCCCAGCACTTTGGGAAGCTGAGGAAGGCGGATCCTTTGAGCTCAGGAGTCCCAGACTAGCCTGGGCAACATGCGAAACTCCATCTCTATTTCTTTATTTAGAAAAAAAGTCACTCAATTTGAAATTTTCAATTTCAAAACAAAATTTGAATGTATCAGTCAGTATTTTTTGTGACTTAAAAAAAAAAGGCACTGGTTCTTCAAATAGCCAAATAACAGTGATGGTAATAGTAAAAACATTTAAAAGAGCATTTTCCTCATCACTTTTATGAAATAATACAATTAAGAACTGTAATTAATATGACCACTGTGGGGGGAAAATAGTGTTCTTTCATTATTATTATAACTACCAACATAATCTTCATGGAATTTTGCAGCTGTTTATAGGATAAAGTATCCTGCTTTTTGTACTATACAATATAAATTTTAGCTGTAATCCGTGTTTCCTCAGCCCTGTAAGTCTAGCTGCAAAAAAATTATTTTATTAAAGCATCTACTTAGCCATTCCAGTCCAAATTCACCACTCAGAGAATACTAGCTTTCCTTTAAATTCCTCCAAAGATAGCTTGATAAACCCAGGTGGAGTCACGTATGTCTGTGGCTGACTTGTGTGTCTCTAATACTGTTGTCTTGGGGTTCTGTAGATATTTTACTAAAACACTCAAGGAAGATACCATGGTGGATCTGGATGGGCACAATTTGACCAACAGACATTGAACTGATTTAGACTCACTCACTCCCCTAACCTTCGGTCCTCGTATTACTGGTCTCTATTTTCTCTCCCCTTAGGATGAAATCTTGACCTGAAGGTCCCTTATGCAAATAAGCCCTGGAAGATGGCCCCTTGCCAGTCCCTCAGGCCTGTCTGCCATATTTGAAACCTGCAGTAAAAACTGCTTACAGTCTCAAGGTGAGAAGGGTTGGTCAGGAATTACTTTTTAAATAAGCATTTTAATTCTAAGGGTTGATGTGGTAGCGTTAACCTACGATGGCAAATTCTTTGACACTCCTTCTGTAAGAAGGTGGGGTGTATGTTCCCTGCCTTTGAGTCTGAGCTGGTTTGTGCCTGCTTCAACCAAGAGCACAAAGGAGGTAATGCCAGGTGACTTCTGAGTCAAGGTTATACGAAGCCAGGGGGCTTCTAACTTGTTCACTAGGACACTTGCTTTTGGGAACTTGAGCTGCCTTATAAGAAGCTTGACTCCTCCAAGGCTACCCTGCAGTGAGAAAACCAAAGCCACATGGAGGTCCACATGGAGGTGTTCTGGTCGATAGTTCCCAATAAGCCCAGCTTTTGAATACACCAGCCCAGGCACCAGACATACAAGTGAAGAAGCTCCTAGGTGATTCCAGCCCCAGCCATTTCAGTCTTCGCTGCCGAGGCCCCATGTATCATGGAACAGAAACAAGCCAGACTTCTGTACTCTGTCTAAACTTCTGCTCCACAGAATCCATGGACATAATAAAATGGTGGTTATTTTATACCACAAAGTTTGAGATATTATGCTACACAACAACAGATAACTGAACACGTTGATCCTGAATAAAATCAGGGTTTGTTAGCAGGGCAGGAGAGTAATGGCTGCTAACGTGGGCAATACAGAGCCTGCCACATTTCTGATGCCTGCTCCTGAACTGTTATCTGTGGACATGAGGTTTCTTTAACATTCCCAGCTTTTAGATGGAAAAAAAAAAAAAAAAGAAAAAAGAAAGAAAGAAAGGTGTCTCCTGAGGTTAAATAACTTCCTTAGGGGCAAATATAAGATATATCCCACAGGCATGATTTGGCTACAGCCACCTCTCACCTCTGAGAAGTTTCACATTGTAGACATGGGTTCGCCTGAATTCACACCAACCTGTCCTGGAACACACACAGGGTCCCTGGGACAAAACACTGAAGAAAAAACCCATACCCTCATTGAATTTAACAACTTAAAATATTATTTGAGATGAAGGCTAATCTGGGGCCTGGCATGATGGCTCTTGCCTGTAATCCTAGCACTTTGGAAGGTCGAGGAGGGAGGATTACTTGAGCCTACGGGCTTGAGACCAGCCTGGACAACAAGGCAAAACTCCCTCTCTACAAAAAAATACAAAAAAGTAGCTGCACCTAGTGGCACATGACTGTGGTTCCAACTACTTGGGAGGCTGAGGTGAGAGAATCACCTGAGCCTGGGAAGTTGAGACTGCAGTGAGCTGAGATGGCGCCACTGTACTCCACCCTAAGTGACACTGTCTCAAAAAAAAAAAAAAGTAAATCTGTTGTAACAAACAGACCCACAAAAGTCAGTGGCTTAAAGAAGATATGAAAGCATTTCTTTCTCATGTGATCTTCTTGCCTGTTTAGGCTATCTCCACTCCACAAAATCCTGGAGTAATCCAGACTCCTTTTATGTTGTTACTCTGCTAGCTCCCAGTGTTAGCAGTAGCAAATCTATATGCATCTGCACCAACTCAATTCTTGCCTCCTCAAAGGAAAGAATTTCGCCAAGGGGCATAAGGCAGAGTGAGAGGCTGAGACAAAGTTTAGAGCAGGAATGAAATTTTATTAAAAAGTTGCAGAGCAGGAACAAAAGGAAGCGAAGTACGCTTGGAAAAGGGCCCAGTGGGCAACTTGAGAGATCCAAGTGCCCCCATCAACAAGTGGGTGAAGGATATGAATAGACACTCCTCAAAATAAGACATTTATGCAGCCAACAGACACATGAAAAAATGCTCATCATCACTGGCCATCAGAGAAATGCAAATCAAAACCACAATGAGATACCATCTCACACCAGTTAGAATGGTGATCATTAAAAAGTCAGGAAACAACAGATGCTGGAGAGGATATGGAGAAATAGGAACACTTTTACACCGTTGGTGGGACTGTAAACTAGTTCAACCATTGTGGAAGACAGTGTGGCAATTCCTCAGGGATCTAGACCTAGAAATACCATTTGACCCAGCCATCCCATTACTGGGTATATACCCAGCGGATTATAAATCATGCTGCTATAAAGACACATGCACACGTATGTTTACTGTGGCACTATTCACAATAGCAAAGACTTGGAACCAACCCAAATGCCCATCAATGATAGACTGGATTAAGAAAATGTGGCACATATACACCATGGAATACTATGCAGCCATAAAAAATGTTGAGTTCATGTCCTTTGTAGGGACATGGATGAAACTGGAAACCATCATTCTGAGCAAACTATCATAAGGACAGAAAACCAAACACTGCATGTTCTCACTCATAGGTGGGAACTGAACAATGAGAACACTTGGACACAGGAAGGGGAACATCACACACTGGGGCCCCTTGTTGGGTGGGGGGAGTGGGGAGGGATAGCATTAGGAGATATACCTAATGCAAATGACGAGTTAATGGGTGCAGCACACCAACATGGCACATGTATACGTATGTAACAAACCTGCACATTGTGCACATGTACCCTAGAACTTAAAGTATAATAAAAAAAAAAAAAGAGAGAGAGAGAGAGAACCAAGCGCTCTGTTCGACACTTGACTTGGGGTTTCTATACATTGTCATGGTTCTGAGATTTGTGTTTCTTCTCCCTTGATTTTTCCTTGGAGCAGGCTCTCAGCATGTACAGTGTGTTTACTGAAGTTGTGCACATGCTCATTTGAGGCATTTTTCCCATACCAGTCAGGTGTTCCTAGAGGAAGGTCTTATATTAGTTCAACTCCCCCATTTTGCCTTAGTGAACATGCTTGAGCCCGCTTGCCCAACTTCTGAGATCTTTTTCAGGAAGCTGCTGATCACGAGTTCAGGTGTTTTCTATCTGCTAAGAGACCGCCTTTCCCTGGTGGTGGGTGTGCCCAATTATTATTTTAGTGAGACAACTTAACAAACACCTGACTATCATCTGATGATCACCTGACATTCCTGGCAGGGGGCCTCTCCTGCCCTGTTCTTGTCTGCCCAGCTACTACTCTAGCACTAGCATGCTGTCCTCATCTGCATGGTTGAACCTGAGTCACTGCCACAGTGTGTGACTGTCACATCATGTGTTCTGGCCAACAGGAAAGGGAAAGAGAACATGAAGGAGGCCAACCCCGGAAGACACACTGGTAACTTTTGCTCATATCCTGTTGCTGAGAACTGAGCCATGCAGCTATAGCTAAGTAAAAAGTAGGCTGGGAAATGTAGTCTCTGGCCAAGCAGTGCATAAGAAAGGGAGAATGGATTTTGGTGGACAGCTGACATTCTTCTCCATTTCCAGCAAATGAATCATTTACTTGGATTGTTTGGGGGTTGAAATGATGAAAATGCTTAACATAATTGTATACTGTTTTTCTAAAATGCATTTTGCTCTTCAGGTAGCCATGTTCTATCCAATACTCTCTCACTGTGTGTCCTGGCTGAGACTTTAACAGATACATAGGGTTATAAAGCAAGACCTGTAGCTTAAGATACGATTGACTTCTTGGCTATTATCTTTTCAGAGGAGGTGGGGAAGCACATGACACAGGCTGAGCAAGTTATCTTTAGCCCCAATTGTTTATCTGTATCCTTATGTGTAAACTGGAGATGATTATGATATATGCCTTTCAGGTTGCTATGAAGATTAAATTAGTTAATGGTTGTAAAGTGTCAAGCATATACCTGCTTCATAGAAATCATTTAACACATTTTAGCTATTAGGATTATGTTAAAAGATAAACTTTGGCACATTACAATTTTCGAGTTTATTTAGGCAGACAGTGATTCATGAGTCAGGCAGCTCCAAACTGACAGTGGCTTGGGCTCTTCTGAAAGGGTTCAAGGGGAAGCCCTTTATAGGGTGAATGCAGAAGCAGAGCAAAGAAATTATTTTATTGGTAAAAGTTTAAGCAGTTGCCTCATTTGGATTATCCCAGTGGGAAGTTCAAGACAATATGACTAATGCCCAGTTGGCCTCTTGTAATTGGCTGAGCTCCAGTTTCATTTTCTTTTAAATTCTAAGTTAGCTTTTGGTTTGCTTAAGTAGGAACCCAGGGCATCAGAGACACATCAATCTAATGGCTTCCTATTTAATTATTTTAACAATTATTATTATTCCTATTGAATATCTTGCTTAATACAACAATACTAGAACTGCTAAAGTATGTCAATAGCAGGAGCTTCATCACAAGAAAAAAAGGGGATTTGGTTAGGGCCTGACTCTATCCCTTGAATTTAACCTTCCCCTTGGAGCTCTCGCATTTCATTATTGGTGTGAAATCTCATCAAATTATATGATAAGCAGTTAAACATCCCAATTTGACATGTTATTGGAGACTAGAATCCAGGTCTTCTGAAATCTGGGTTTTCTGACTCCCTTTTTTAATGCATTCACCACCATTTTACCAGTCTATCGATTATTTAGTTACCTTTTGCTGTGAAACAAACCACCCTGAAACTTACCGGCTTAAAATGATTTATTATGTCTCACAGTTCTGTGTGTTAACTCAACAGTTCTTCTGTTGATCTCCCCTGGGCCCACTCACGCGGGTGCACTTATTAATAGCTGGAGAGTCAGTTGGAGGCTATGCCCAGCTGGGATGGCTGAGTGGTTAGGCCTCTGTTTCCACATGGTCTTCATAGCATGACAATGTCACATCAGCTTTTCTGAAAGGGCAAGCTGTCATGTATAAATGTTTATTGAGTTCCTACTTGTGAAACATCTGTACACAATGCCCCATTGGCCAAAGAAGGTCACATGACCAAATTCAGACTACGTGTGAGGAAAGATTACCCAAGAGTGGGTATTAGGAGGAGTTATTCATTGGGGGCCATTACTGTAATAATCTACCTAATATGGTTTGGATCTGTGCCCCCACCAAATCTCACATTGAATTATATTCCCCAGTGTTGAAGGTGGGGCCTTGTGGGAGGTGATCGGATCATGGAGGTGGAGTTCTTATGAATGGTTTAAAGCCATCCCCCTTGGTATTGTATAGTGTGTGATTTCTCACAAGATCTAGTTGTTTAAGTGTGCAGCACCTCCCCACTCTCTCTCTTGCTCCGGCTCCAGCCATGTAAAATGTGACTGCTTCTCCTTCACCTCCTGCCATGATTGTAAGTTTCCTGAGGCCTCCCCAGAAAAGAAGTCACTGTGCTCCCTGTACAGCCTGCAGAACCATAAGCCAATTAAACCTCTTTTCTTTATAAACTACCCAGTCTCAGGTATTTCTTTTCTTTTTTTTGAGACGGAGTTTTGCTCTTGTTGCCCAGGCTGGAGTGCAACGGCACAATCTCTGCTCACTGCAACCTCTGCCTTCTGGGTTCAAGCAATTCTTCTGCCTCAGCCTCCCAAGTAGCTGAGATTACAGGCATGTGCCACCACGCCCGGCTAATTTTGTATTTTAGTAGAGTTGGGGTTTCTCTATGTTGGTCAGGCTGGTCTCAAACTCCCGACCTCAGGTGATCCGCCCACCTCGGCTTCCCAAAGTGCTGGGATTATAGGTGTGAGCCACCATGCCCGGCCTCAGGTGTTTCTTTATAGCAGTGCAAGAATGGACTAGTACAGAAAATTGGTATCATGAGTCGGGGATTGCTATAAAGATACCTGAAAATGTGGAAACAGCTTTGGAACTGGGTAATGGGCAGAGATTGAAACAGTTTGGAGGGCTCAGAAGAAGACAGGAAGATGAAGGAAAATTTGGAACTTCCTAGTGACTTTTGTGACCAAAGTGCTGATAGTAATATGGACAATGAAGTCCAGGCTGAAGAGACCTCAGATGGAAATGAGGAACCTATTGGGAACTGGAGCAAAGGTTACTTTTGTTATGCTTTAGCAAAAAACTTGGAGGCATTGTGCCCCTTCCCGATGGAGCAGTGAAACTTCTAACTTGAGAGTAATGATTTAGGGTATCTAGTGGAAGAAATTTCTAAGCAGCTTAGAAATGTGACCTTGCTGCTTTTAACAACCTGTGCTTATATGTATGAGCAAATAAATGACCTGAAACTGGACCTTATATTCAAAAGGGAAGCAGAGTGTAAAAGTTTGGAGAATTTGTAGCCTGGCCATGTGATAGAAAAGAAAAGCCCATTTTCAGGGGAGGAATTCAAGCAGCCTGCAGAAATTTGCATAACTAAAAGGAAGGCAAGTGCTGATAGCCAAGACAATAGGGGAAAGGCCTCAAAGGCATTTCAGATCTTGTGGCAGCCCTTCCCATTACAGGCCCAGAGGCCGAGGAGGACTGAATGAATTCCTGGGCCAGGTTCAGGGTCCCCCTGCCCTGCACAGCCTAAGGACACTACTCCCTGCATCCCAGCTGCCCCAGCTCTAGTCATGGCTAAAAGGGGCCCAGACACAGCTCAGGCTGCTGCTTCAGAGGGTGCAAGCTGTAAGCCTTGGTGGCTTCCACATGGTATTAACCCTGTGAGTGCACAGAATGCAAGAGTTGAGGCTTGGGAGCCTCTGCCTAGATTTCAGACCGTGTATGGAGAAGCCTGGATGTCCAAGAAGAAACCTGCTGCAGGGGCAGAGCCCTTACTGAGAACCTCTACTAAGGAAGTACAGAGGGGAAATGTGGGGTTGGAGCCTCCACGCAGTCCCCAGTGGGGCACTGCTAATGGAGCTTTGAGAAGAGGGCCACCATCCTCCAGACCCCAGGATGGTAAAGCAACTGACTGCTTGTACTCTGTGCCCAGAGAAGCCACAGACACTCAATGCCAGCCCTTAAGAACAGCTGCAGGGGCTGAATCCTGAAAAGCCACAGAGGCAGAGCTGCCCAAGGCCTTGGGAGCCCATCCCTGGCATCAATGTGCTCTGGATGTGGGACATGGAGTCAGTCAAAGGAGATTATTTTGGAGCTTTAAGATGTAATGACAGCCCTGCTGGGTTTTGGACTTGCATGGGGCTTGTAGCCCCTTTCTTTTGGCTGATCTCTCCCTTTTGGAAGGGAAATATTTACCCAGTGCTTTTACCACTATTGTATCTTGCTAGTAATTAACTCGTTTTTGATTTTATAGGCTCATAGGAAGAAGGAACTTGCCTTATCTCAGATGAAACTTTGGACTTCTGAGTTAATGCTTGAATGAGTTAAAACTTTGGGGGACTGTTGGGAAGGCATGATTATATTTTGCAATGTGAGAATGACATAAGATTTGGAGGGGCGAGAGGTGGAATGATATGGTTTGGATCTGTGTTCCCACCAAATCTCATGTTGAATTGTATTTCCCAATGTTGAAGGTAGGGCCTGCTGCGAGGTTATTGGACCATGGGGGCAGAGTTCTCATGAATGGTTTAGTACCATCCCCCATTGGTACTGTGTAGTGAATGAGTTCTCATGAGATCTGGTTGTTTAAAAGTGTGCAGCACCTCCCCTACTCTCTCTCTTGCTCGTGCTCCAGTCATGTAAGATGTGCCTACTTCTCCTTTGCCTTCCTCCACGATTGTAAGTTTCATGAGGTCTCCCCAGGAGCAGATTGTAAGTTTCCTGTGGTCTCCCCACTGTGCTCCCTGTACAGCCTGTAGAACTGTGAGCCAATTAAACCTCTTTCTTTATAAATTACCAAGCTTCAGGTATTTCTTTACAGTGGTAAGAGAATGAACTAATACACTACCCCATCACATTTTATTATTGTCACTTTCCAATCTGGCCATGGAAAAGGGCAGCATAATAGCAATAGTTGGTCCTAAGTTTTCACTCAAAAGCTACTTTTAAATGAAACATGTATCTGTGATAAGTGATATATATCTATGTATGTAATAAAGGTCATATAGTGCTTTGCATAGAATGAATCTTTATAAGTATCAAATAATTGAATGAGTTAATTAATAAAATTAGCAATAGAAAGAGTTTGCAAATAATATTCTGTAACATTAATAATTGTAGGTTGAAGCCAGGCACAGTGGCTCACACTTGCAATCCCAGGTACTCAGGAGGCTGAGGTTGAAGCATTGCCTGAGCCCAGGAGTTCAAGACTGAAGTGTTATGTGATTGCCCCACCACACTCCAGCCTGAGTGACAGAGTGAGACCCTGTCTCTAAAAATAAAAATAATAATAACTGTAGGTTGAGGTTTCTCAACAAAATGCTTATCATAAAAATTATGGTTCTTTGTAGAATACATAGCTTTTAAAATGTGAGAGTTGTAACGGATTTTCTCGGATTTGTCCCATTGTGCCCAATGCAATGTCCAATGCAGTGCCTCAGTACATACTGGTTGATGGACTAAATAAAAGTATACTTGGAATATTCCTATTTTTTGATAAAGAACATAAGCCATTATGCAATAGGCTAAAATGGGACTCTCTTTTTCTTGCCAAACTTCTACTTCAGTTAGAGATTGCTTTGTGCTACAAATAACAAAAAATTCAACTCAACTGCTTTAAGCAATAAGAAATTGTATTGGCTTATTTCCTAGGACATCCAATAGCCAGGCCTCAGTAGCGTTTGGTCTTGTCAGCACAGTGAGTTCATTAAGGACCTAAGTTCTTTTCATCTCTCCACTTTGCCATATCCACAATGTTGACTTACTCTTGTGGCTGGCTTCCCTCTTGGTGAGAAGTGGCTGCCAGCAGCCATTAGGGTTACATGCTCCCTCATTTACCTTTAGTGTGAACAGACATTGAACATGCTAACTTCTATGGCTTTCCCAGAAGAGTTAAAAGATTCCTTCCTAGATTCCCTAAAAAACTTCCCTCACTCTCATTGCATCCCATGACCATTCCTGAGCGAGATATGGTGGCGAGAGGGATGAGAAATTACTCCAGTGGCATGGACTAATCAAGTCACAGTCTTGGAGTTGGAGAGCACCGAGGTTTCCTCAAAGTGCTGACTTTTTATAAAAGGTATAGACATTCTAATAAGAATCTGAGAACTGTCAGAAAAGGAGAAATAAATGCTAGGAAGGCAATGAACAATGCCCACTACTCCTTCTGTAAGGCCCAACTCCCTACTTTTAAGTACTACCATTGCTGCATTAATTTTCCATGACAATTCTCCAAGATCTATTGCTTTCCTTCATGTAATATTATTCAATTGGATTTTTATCCCTCATAGCCAGTATTAGAAAATAACATTAGCTATCATGTATTGAGGGAATCTGAAGAAACAAACCTAGATTCCCCTTACCTCCACCCAATCAAATATTTTGCGTACATTATCCTATGAAGGACATAGTATTAACTCCTATTTTCTTGATGAGAAAACCAAGACTCAAAAATATTCAGCAAACCGCCTGAAGTCACACAGCTACTAACTGTACAGATGAAAGTCAAGTTCAGGTCTTTAGACTCTGAATATTCTACTCTTTTCATAATATTATATTGCCTCCCAACTCAGCAAAATATATTTTAATTTAAGAAGAACAATTCATTTTTATTAGAATATTTTCCCTTTGATCAAGTCAGAACATTTTTAGGAATAGAAGGCAAACTCCTCAAATTTTCTAACATCTTCTGTGTTTCTTAGGACATACCTTAGAAAAAAATGCTTTAAATCTGTCTTCCACAAGATAAGCCAGACTATTCTATTTTTTGAATATTGTTTATAACTAATCACTAGTGTGGTTTATTACTCCTGGATGTTTTCTGCATTCTTTGCATTTCAAATTACAACATAAGTCACATTTACTTATTTTGGCCTTATGTTACTGAGGTTTTTCTTTAAGATGTAGAATTCTTTGCATTTAGTCTTTAAAGTTCTATAAAATCAGGACCACCACATTGCTCAGTTCTGCTGGTGATGTTCACATCTTCATCAATATGAAAAGTGCTCCCTGAAGTCCTGTGTGCAGTAGTTTGGTTAAAATCTAACTCCAAAAAATGTAGAGAATAGAGGAATGGTTTGTCTCTATTTTATAGGGCAACTTTGATTTCTTCCAAACTGCAAGTGTGTAGATCTGGTTTCTCTTCTAGTCGTTTCCTATTTGGGTGATAACCTAGAAAAGAGAGCAATTTCGGGGTCAACCTGTGTATTTGCCTTTGCTGTGTGATGTGAATATTATGTTCTACTCTAGCAAGAGTCTAAATCTGAATAACCTTCAGGGGCCTCCTTGACTAGGACACAGCTGAATCTCTGTGTTGCCTCTAGAAATGCAGATTAGGGTCAACACAAATAGGATGGCCATCCTGAGGAAATATCTCAAATTTCCTAACCTACAAATGCCTCCAGGGATGGGAACCAAGTCATCTAGTTATGTATTCAAGTTTCAGATATGGTTAAAATTAGAGGAAATTCCTTGCTTAAAGAAGAGAAGCATTTCCGTATAAATTGGGCTTAACTAAATCTACAAAATCTAGGAAAACATCAGTTTAATCGGATTTCAAATTAACTTCTTGAGTTGGTATTCTATATTTCCAACCCAGATGAAGAATTCTCAAAATTTCTAGGTAACAATGAGCTGAATACCCCTGTTGTATTGTAAAAACCAATCTAGATAACACTTTTGCAATAGTTTAAAAGTTTTATTCTTGCCTTTTTAACTAGCATTTCCTCTTCTTTCTTTACTGTAGAGCCTCAGTTTTTTCATCCCTCCCTCAATACAATTCATATGCTCAGTTCCATGTTCAAGCCAATCATGGTGGCCCCATTTCTCTTGCAATGATAGGTCTAAATATGGACATGTGATATAGTTCTGGCAAATGAGCCATTTAGGAGAGTCTACTGGGGACTTCTGAGACATGTTGTTTCATTTCTATAAAGGGTACAAAAAAGAGAAATCCTTCTTCTTCTGGACATTGTTACATTTGAATGTGATGCCTGGAATTGCAGCAGCCATTTTGTGACCTCAAGGGGAACTGGCCTGAGTGTCAAGTCCACCACTCAAGATGGCAGACTGGAAAGAGGAAAAGGATCTGAGCCCTTGTATGAGTGAGGCTGCTCCAGAAAAACAGAACCAATAGCATTTATATAGATATATAAGAGGAGATGTATTACGGGAATTGGCTCACGTGACCATGAAGGCCCAAAAGTCCTACCATATACTGTCTGCAAGCTGGAGAACCAGGAAAGCTGGTGGTAAAATTTAGTCTGAGTCTGAAGGCCTGAGAATGGGGGCTGTGGGGGTTTGTGCTGCTGGTATAAATCCTGGAGTTTGAAGGCCCAAGAACAGAAGTGAACTGTCCAAGGACAAGAGAAGATGGGTGTCGCAGCCCAAGAAGAGAGAGAGAGGATTCACATTTCCTTTGTCTTTTTGTTCTATTTGGGTGGGCCCTCAACAGATGGGATGATGCTTGCCACCTCTGGTGAGGATTGATCTTCTTCACTCAGTCTACGATTTGAATGTTAATTTCTTCTGGAAACACCCTCACAGGCACACCCAGAAATGATGTTTTACCAGCTATCTGAGCATCCCTTAACCCAGTCAAGTTGACACATAAAATTAACCGTCACAGCCCTTGATTATGAAGTTGAGCTACTTACTTAACCAACCCTGGCACAGCCCTACCACCAGACTTCTTGTCATGTGAAATAATAAGTTGAAGCCAGCTGAGTAAGCTTTTCTGTTAGGGTAGTCTTAACTGCAGAAAACAGAAAACCTGTCTCAGCTGCTTTAAATTTATTATCTCTCTTGAGCGCATTCGAAGTGGTCCAACATTAGGAATCGTATTCTGAAGACTCTCTGAGATTCTGCCTTGATTTCTCATCTAAGAATTCCCCCCTACCCTTCCATTTGGTGATCCTTCATGCCATCATTGAGATGACCTTTCTAAAATTGAAATTGGGTCAAATTATAACTGATTAAATTCTTCAAAGGCTACTTTTTGCTTTCTTGGCTTGGCACACAGACCTGTCTTCACTGGGGCCAGGCTGAATTTCTCTGACCACGTATCTCATTAGGTCAGGCCCCAAAGGCACCCTAAAGCTATTGTCATTACTTGACTATGCTATGTTCTGTCTCTTCTATGCTTTGCAGTGCTATTCCCGTTGCCTAGAACACCTTTCCTGACCTGAAGGGTCACCCCCAAACCAGCCTTCAAGAGCTTCTTTTGGTGAGTCTTTCCTAATGTCCCCTCATAGTCCCCCAAGATTGTCAGATTCTCCTCTTCAGTTCTTCTGGCACCCTGACTGAATTCCCCTGTTATAACACAGGTGACACTGCAGTGTAATTGTCAGATTGTTTCCTACATTTGACTATAACGTCTTTGAGGGAAAAATGTGACTTATTCATCTCAGCATCTCCAATGCCTAGCTTATTAACTGGCACAAAATAAGCAGGTAATAAATGTTTATTAATGAATAAATAATGGTATAATCTAGACTTGGGTTCATGAAGACAACTGTATCCTCTCTTTGGCTGATTTATTCCTGGTATTTTGCAGACCATTGCATCCTCAACAGGGTAAGGAGGAACAAAGAGAGGAAGGAAAAGCTACAACTCTGGAACATCTGCTGTCAAAATTTTGGAGGAAGGTAAAGAAAGCTTAGTAAAGATTTTCTTTCGTATATCTTTTATTTGTTCTATCTCTAACTCACATGATGAATTGTTCAACAAATATATATTGAGAGCCTACTACATGTCAAGCATTGTTTAAGCATTTGGAATATATTAGTGAACAAAACAGCCCTCAGCATTGGCTCTACAAAGAGCTTTAAACAATCATTTCCCCTTTCTGCATCTTAGGTCTGCATTTGTGCATGAACAAGAAACACTATAATGGAAAGCTTTAGATCCTCATACAAAAATCACTGATAAACCCATGGATATATTGTTCATAAGTGCTGCCACTTCTGTCTAGAACCAAGAACAGTTGAGAGGAAGAGGTTACTGATCAAATCCGCTCTTGACCTTGTTCTCAGCTATCCACACCAACAGGCATTGAATTCATTTTTTTAACAAGGGAGTTTTATATACACATGCAGCATTCTGAGGTTTTGACTTCCTTCCTAGCTGCAAATCTCTTTGAGGCTCCATCTGGGACACTGAGCCCCACCCATATGCACCACCTTGAAGCTTCCTTTCTCTGGTTTGCTGGGGACTTTGTACGGAGAGGCTCCATCTGGGCATAGCATTACACCTTTAGAGGCTGCTGGGGGCACAGGGACGATTTCCAACAGAAACCAAGTATATTTGAAAGACACCAAGTCAAGCTTTTGTTTCCTTCCTACAACCTCAGCTTCTGTTGAAGTGGAAACTAGACTGGAAATAAAGGCCACGCTGATTTTCTTCTGAGAAAATACATTACTATGTTAAAAAAAAAAAAGTCCCAATTGCTCCGTGGGAAAGGTTTTTATTTTATAAATACTCTGTGGCTCTGAAATGACAGCATGATTACATTTCTGACAGCACTGGTATAATTCTCAGACTCCCCAGGGAGAGCAACGTGGGGATTTTCCTCCTGG
This sequence comes from Homo sapiens, assembly GCF_000001405.40. Taxonomy (NCBI): domain Eukaryota; kingdom Metazoa; phylum Chordata; class Mammalia; order Primates; family Hominidae; genus Homo; species Homo sapiens. The sequence continues at coordinate 95,622,014 of NC_000005.10, read as the reverse complement.
AAAGAAAAGGCAAACTTGCAGGTGCTGAAGGTACATTTGATTTAAGCACGATTCAAAATAAGTAAATACAGATGATAACACAGCAAATACTGAAAGTTGGGTAATCAGCAAAAATAAATGGCATTATCCAGAGCACTATAAATGCGTGAAAGAAAACTGCAAAAATAACTGTTTTTGTTTTTACAACTTTCCAGTGGCTCACTGTCTCCAAATGGGGAGATATGAGAGGAACTGTAGGGAAGAAGAGAAACTGGAAGAGCATAGGGAAATGTAAACATGAGAAGGGAATAGGAGAGTGGAGGAAGGGGACAACTTCAGTGTCACTCTCTCACAGACTCTCCTGCCCCTTGTGATCTGGACAGACCCTGGCAGGCCTCGAGTTCCCTGGAGGTTGCGCCTTAGCGACAGATGACCCGTCTCTGACCACCAAGCACCTAGAAGGCACTTTCGCAGGAGCAAGGCAGGGGTCTGGGGCGCGGAGGGGGTGGGCGCAAGCCGCCCTCGTCCAGCGGTTCCCGCCGAGCATGGTGATAATGAGGGTGGGGCCAGCGTTGGCGGTAGAGCGCCTGGTGGCCCCGGGGCCCCTCCTCGTCCTCCGCGCCTCCCTGCGGCGCGCAGCACAGAGAGCCCAGCCGCTTCCGCAGCTGTCGCCGGAGCCGGCAGTCGCCCGCCTGGAAGAAGAGGTAGACGAAGGGATTGAGAGCGCTGTTGGCCATCGCCACCACGCGCAGCGCCGCCGACAGGCCCTCTCCCTCCCAGTCTCCCGCGGGCCCGGACGACCACGCGGCCGCCAGCCGGGCGGCAAAGTAGGGCAGCTCGCAGCCCACGAACAGCAGCGCCAGCAGCAGGCTCATCTTCAGGCTCTGCACCTTGGCGCGGGGCAGCGCGCTGGGCGCAGGGGCTCGACCTGGGCTCGCCGACCAGGGCGCTGCAGCCGCGGGGGCCTGCGGCCGGTGCCGCCACCAGACGGAGAGTAGGTGGCCGCAAGCGACGCCCAGGACCGTAACAGGCGCGACGAAGCCCGCGACGGCCTCGTAGAACGCGTAGACCTGCAGGTGCCAGCGCGGCAGGGGCGCGAAGATCCCGTGGCAGCGACGCTCCCCCGGCCAGGCGCGGGCGGCCGGGGGCGCGCCTGGCTGCAGGGACGTTGGCGGCGGCGGCGGCGGCAGCGGCGAGGGGGAGTCCCCGCGCACCACGAAGGCCGGGGGCAGCGCCAGCAGCAGTGCCAGCAGCCAGCCCAGGGCGGCGAGGGCACGCGCGGGCAGCGGCCGGCCGTGCGGAAGACGCACCGCGCGCCGGCGCTCGAGGGCGATGAGCACCACGAGGTGGGCCGAGGCGCCCCGCCCGGATGCCTGCAGCAGCTGCAGGAAGCGGCACGCCAGGTCCCCCGTGGCCGCGCGGGGCTCGCCCAGCAGTTCCCAGGCCAGCTGTGACAGCGCCGTGCCCCCGCACGCGTACAGGTCCGCCAGGGCCAGCTGCACCAGCAGGAAGTCCATCTTGCGACGCTTGGGGCCCGCCCAGGGCCCGCCGCCGCCGCACAGGCGGCACAGCACTGTGGTGTTGCCTGCCACCGCCACCACCAGGATGACCCCCAGGAACACCAGGCGGACGCGGCGGCTGGGCGGCCCAGAGGCAGGGGCTCCTTGCCCCAAGGTCAGGTTGAGACCCCAGCCCAGCAAGATGGGCACGGAAATGTTGGGCGCCGGCGGCAGAATTGAGGGGCTAAAGAGATCCTCCATCCTTGTCCCGGAGGAAGAGGAGGCACCGAAGAGGGCGGGCAGGACGCGGGAAACCAAAGTGGAGGCGAGGCGGCGCGGGGAGCGACGCTGGGTCTATACGAGTTCCCAAAGTTAGTTGAAAAGGCACACGCACAGAGAGGGAGATGGATTCGGGCGGCTTTGCGCTTAGTTGTTTTTGTCGATTGTCCTCGTGATTTGTCACTCAAATGTGGGTTGTACACTCGAGGAACACACATGATTCCTATTCTCCACCTTCCCCGCGTCTTCCCTCCCATTCCCGGCGGGTACTCTTCCAATCTCTGCAGCGGCCCCCGACGCTACCCTCGCGGAAGCCGCGGACCCCTGGGCGCTGAGAACCTCATCCATTCTCTATTTACGTGTAAAGCACAGCAGGACAGAATGTCGCTTTGCTTGGCCATTGTATACGGCCAGTGTTATGCCAGCACCCACACAAGAGAGGACCTCTTGACTGAGATTGTACCACACGCCCCCACCACCCCAATGTGATTGCCAGTAGGAAAAAAATAGAAAAGACATTAGTTTTTATTTTAAAGGTTTGAAATGCCATGGATCTGCACGAGCATGAGAAAAACAGGAACACAAGAAACCTAACAGCGTTTTGAGCAAAGAGGAGACCTATTAGCTGAATTTTGATCAAGATGTGTCTTCTCTGTCCAAGAATGAAAGTATTTTAATTAGAGGGTACTAAAGTCAATGATGTTGCTTTTAGGAGTGGCAGTGTTGCAGATCGTTCCAAATACTAGGAGCAGTGGGTCACAGCTGCTTTCTTGGTGATGTAAAATTCATTTCATTAGTCTGAAGAGGGCATTAATAGGTTTTATGCAAATGGTAGTGCATTTATTGCTTTTCTCCTAATATTTTCATCCAGTGAAGGATGCGTCATCACACTCCTCATTCTCTTGATTCTGTTTTCCAGCAGATGGGAAGTTGCTAGGAGGGGCTACGCCTCCAATAAGCCTAGAGAAAAGGTGACTAAGAAAGTGATAAGGCGGCCAATTTTTTTAAAAAAGAAATCCAAGTCACAGGAAATGGTTTAGATTAAATGTTGCTGCTTTCATTTTAGCCTTGTCTCCTCACAAACACATTTTAGTTTCCCTGTTGGAAGCATCCATTTGTCTTTTTATGCACCCTCCACGTTAATCATGGTGAAAGTAGAATTTCCTGTACTTCCTGGCCTGGGGGCCAGGGAGGTATGAGTGTTGTCTAGGGTTCACATTCCCAATCTGAGGAAACATTTGGAACTTTAAGATTCATGGCCTAGGAAGATTTGGTGGGTTCCATGATAGTCCTGCCAGCTGCTGTAGGAATCCCATTTCCCAAGCTGTTGTCCTTTGGCCAGAAACCTTGGTTATTTTCATCATCATCTCTGTGGTGCCTCGCTCTGGTCTGACAGGTTGTAGTTATCAGTGGGTATGTGTTGAGTTGATGAATTAGTGGATATACGATGCTTTTCAGATACCTTCGAGCATAAATGCCTGCCTTGACTATAAATCCATCACCTAAGAAAAAATTCCTTTTATACTATGCCAGTATTGTCCAGAGGAGCCCAAGGAAGCTCTGTGGAGACATAGGAATAAGTGTTCCTGGTGGGACATTTAAGAAAGCTAGAGTGATAGCCTTGGAAAATCTAAAATCCTGGTTTGATTTTCATACTCTCCCTTTAGAACTTTTTATCCAAGGCCTTTTTCTATGCACACACATCATCCCAGTTTATAATGCACTTCTTCCAGGGAGCCTTCTCTGAGCAATGTTCATCATTCAGTGATTTTCCTAGCCAGTATCATTTCAGTGTTTCTCAAGATAGTCTATCATTTGTCTCAAATTTGTTGAAATGCTCTTATATATTAGCATTTCAAAATGACTATAGTGAAATTTCACAGAACTTTAGTAAGATCTGATAAAACATTGATTTTCAACAAATTCTTTTTTTTTTTTTTTTTTCCCTTTTTGAGACAGGGTCTCACTCTGTTGCCCAGGCTGGAGTGAAGTGGCATGATCATAGCTCACTGCAGCCTCGACTTCCTGGGCTCAGGTGATTCTCTCACCTCAGCCTCCCAACTAGCTGGGACTGTAGGCAGACACCACCACACCCAGCTAAGTTTTGTATTTTTTGTAGAGGCTAAGTTTCGCCATGTTGCCCAGGCTAGTTTTAAACTCCTGGGCTCAAGAATCTGCCCACCTTGGCCTCCCAAAGTGTTGGGATTACAGGCATGAGCCACTGGGCCTGGCCTAAACTAATTCTTATTAAAATTATACAATGCACATAGTTTTGAAAGTCAAATGGAACTAGAAGGCTGATAACATAAAGAGTTCCCTGTCCTATACATCTCCACTTCTTTATCCCCTCTTTCTAGAGGGAACCAATTTAGACTCTATTTGCTCTTTCTTCTGGCATTGACTTAATTCATAATAGTAAATAATATATATGTAATGCTATTCATTGATTTAACAAATTGATATATTATCTGTTAACTTCTTATTAAAGACTTATCTCTCGCACCTCTGTCACTATTTCCATTTCCCATACCATTAGAACAATACTGTAATTTTGGGTTAGACTTATATTTGGTGTTTATATTATTATGAAACAAAAATATTCACAGTTGAGTTGTATATTGTGAATATTATTTTTTGTTATTTTTAAAGTTAATAATTGCCTTTTCTTACTTTTCATTGTTATCATAGCTAATTCTTCCTGTACCCTCAAATAGTCCCCCCAAGCAATTTCCACAAGGTCAGTTTCAAAACGTAATATAGCAGCTCCAATTTTTTTTCACGGAAACCTCTTTACCAGAGACTTTCATTTTTCTCTTATTTGGGCTAATTTCTCCCAAGGCCTACTGCATAACTACCATCTGCGGACCTCCATTTGTTGTCGTCATTGAAACTTTCTGCCTTTCTCTTGGGTTGCAGTTCCTGTTTCTTGGATCTCTGGTCTTTCTCCTTGATTTCTTCCTTTTTGGTAGAACACATCATCTAATATTTCATAAGGTTTACAAGGTTGTACAAAGCCTGAGAACTAAGTGGTAAGAGACCTCATTGTACTCCTTATTTGAGTCATGCAGATTCTGTCTGGACATGTTGCCCTCTGGGCCAGCGGTCATCCTGGCATCTCACGTCAGCATCGTCCTAGGGATTCCTTTCACTTATCTCATGCTGGTTCTCTTGTTTTCTGATTTAATGGATTTTTTTCTTTCCTGGTTTATTTTCTTGCTTGGGAAGAAAGCACCTTTCAGTGACTTCTTGAGAGAAGGTAACTATTTGGGATCCCACATGTCTGAAAATTTCTTTATTCTACCCTATTGCCTAACTGATTATTTGGCTGGGTTTGGAATCCTATTTTTGAAAATCTTTTCCTTCTGAATTTTGAAGGCATTACTCCATTCCCTTTCTGGCTTCTGAGTGTTTGTGTTGAGAAGACTGAAGCCATCTGATTCATGTTTTGCTTAGATATGATCATTGTTTTTTTCTTTCTAGAAGCTTGTTATTATTCTCTTTTTTCTAACCAATTTTACAAAAATGTTTTTCTATAGGTTTATTTTTATCTAATGTGCTGGGCATAATCAAAGATAATGAATTATATTTGATTGTAATACTTATTTAGTGGCCTTTACCTAAATAGCCTCCCAGCCTGTCTTTTTCTTTTTGGGATGCTGACATTTGAAGAGTCCATGACACATGTTTAGCGGAATATCCTTAAAATTGTATTTGTTTCCACATAATTAAATTTGGATTTGACTTTTCTGGCAGGAACATTACATAGGTAATACTGTCAAAAGTGTATCATTTCTGGGGTGCATAATGCCACTTTGTCTCAATATAAATGTTGTCTCAATATAGATGATATTAAGTTTGGCATATATGTTTTGAAAACTCAGTAGTTTTTAATTAAATAAGCAGTACATATTAATTGCAGAAAAATTAGACAATGCATATTCACATACAAAAAACACTTAACATACTGCTCAAAAAAACCTGTTGTTAATACTCAGTGATATATATTTCAGGCTATAATGACTAGATCTGTATATTACAGAAATAGATTACACTGCATACAACATTTTATATCCTGCTTTCATTTCACCTAAGATTGTATTTGGATCACTTCCCATGTCAGTGATAATATGATATAATTATCTGTTTAATGTTGAATGGATTACAATTATTTAAATAGCCCCCTATTTTTAGACAAAAGTTTTTCTCATTTTCACTTTATAAATAATTCTGTGAAGAACATCTCTTCACCTACATCCTAGCACATGCATTCAATTATTCCCTTATGATAAAATCCTGTCATTGGAATTGCTGAGGCTGAGCACGTGCATTTTTAATGCATTTTAACATATAGTACTGAGTTATTCTCAACAAGGGATGCAAGCAATGTATGTGTCTTTTTCCCCATAGCCCCAACAATATGAGCATCATCAGCGTTTGTCATTCTCATAGATGAAAACACTTCATTATTTCTTCATTTTAAAAATTGAGATATACTTTATATATCATAAAATCTAGAATTTTAAAGTATACAATTCAGTGCTTTTTAGTATATTTACAAGTTTGTGCAACCACTGCCACTATCTAATTCCAGAACTTTTAAATCATTCCCAAAATAAACCCGTACACATTATTTTCCTCTTCCAGCACCTAGAAACCACTAGTCTCCTTTGACTCTATGGATTTGGTTATTCTTGACATTTCATAGAAATGCAATCACATAATGTAGCCTTTTGTTTTTGGTTTCTTTTGCTTTGAATAATGTTTTTAAGTTTCATCCACATTGTAGTATGTAACAGTATTTCATTATTTATGGCTAAATAATATTTCATTATGTGGATACACCAAATTTTGTTTATCCATTCATCAGCTGATGGATATTTGGGTTGTTTCTATTTTAGGCTGTTTCCATTTTGGTTGTTTTCATTATAGTGAACAATTCTGTTATGAATATTTGTGTACAAGTTTTTCTGCGAATGCCTGTTTCAGTTCTCTAGAGTATATTCCTAGGTGTGAAATTGCTGAGTCATATGTGAATTTCATGTTTAACTTTTTGAGGAACTGCCAAGCTGTTTTCCATAGAGACTGGGCCCTTCCCACCATCATTGTATGAGTTTTCCAGTTTCTCCCTTTGCGTAGATGCAGTTTCTCATTTGAGATCATATTCCTTCTGCTTAAAGAATGTCCTTTAACATTTCTTATAGTTCAGATCTGCTGGCAACACATTCTCTTAGTTTTCTTTTTTTTTTTTTCTGTCTTATAAAGTTTTTATTTTACCTACATTTTTGAAAGATACTTTTGCTGGGCATATAGGATTCTATGATGAGTTTTTCTTTCAGTACTTGAAAGAAGTTGCACCATTGTCTTCTAGTTTGCATAGTGCTTGATACATTTTGCTCATCTTTGTAATGATGTAATTCTTATCTTTTTGTTTGTTTATTTGTTTGAGACAGAGTCTTGCTCTGTCGCCCAGGCTGGAGTGCAGTGGTGCAATCTTGGCTCGCTGCAACCTCTGCCTCCCGGGTTCAAATGATTCTCATGCCTCAGCCTCCCAAGTAGCTGGGATTACAGGTGAGTGCCACACGCGGCCAGGCTGGTCTCGAACTCCTGGCCTCAGGTGATCTGCCCAGCTATGCCTCCTAAAGTGCTGAGATTACAGGCATGAGCCACCGTGCCTGGCTGGTTTCTTTTTTTGGAGTGTTTCTTTTTTTCTGTGGTTGCATTCAAGATTTTCCCCTTATCTTGCCTCACTGCAACCTCTGCCACCTGGGTTCAAGTGATTCCCATGCCTCAGCCTCCCAAGTAGCTGGGACTACAGTCATGCACCACCATATCCATCTAATTTTTGTATTTTTATTAGAGATGGGGTTTCACCATGTTGGCCAGGCTGATCTCAAACTCTTGACCTCAGGTGATCCACCCGCCTTGGCCTCTCAAAATGTTGGGATTACAAGCATGAGCCACCGGGCCTAGCCCTTTGTATATATTCTGCTTGGGCTTCTCTAAACATTTAGGTTGGTGATTTGTTGTCTTTTATTAATTTTGGAAAATTCTCAGCAATTATCTTTTCAATTATTTCTTCCGACCTTTTATCTCTTTCTATTCTCCTTCTGTGACTTGAATTACATGTATATTATGCCATTTCATACTGTCCCACAGCTCTTGGATGCTCTATTTTTCTCCACTTTTTCTTTTTCTCTTTTTTCCCCTCTCTGTTCCAGCTCTCCTCAGAGGGGCTTGCCACCTTTTGAAATTCAGGATTTTATTTTGAAAATTTTCTATTCTAACCTGTAGTCAAGTTTACTAATTCTTTCTTCTATCTCTAGTCTGCTGATAAGGCAATTGAAGGAATTCCTCATCCATAATAACATGTTTTTCATGTCTAGTGTATCCAATTTATTCTTTTTTGAATCATTTCCATCTCTGCTGAAATTCTGTATATGTTCGTGCATGTGGTCCACATTTTCCACTAAATCCTTTAACATATTAATCATAGCATTTTTACAGTTACTTTGACAGTTTCAACCTCTGGGCCATCTCTCAGTCTGGTTCTGTTTACTGCTTTATCTCTTGAAAATTGGCTTCTTTTTTTTTTTTCTTTTTAACTCTTTTGCCTTGTAAGTTTTACTGAGTGCCAGACATTATATATAAAAGAATAAGAGTGACTGATGTAAATAGTGTTTACTTCTGAAAATGGCCATGCCTCTTCACTCATCAGGCTACTAGGGTGGTAAATCTAATCAGTAGTTGAGCTAGGTTTAGATTTTGTTGTTACTACAGTTATCATTATTATACTGTTGACTTCATATTCCTCCATACTGACATCTTGCGTTTCAACTATGAGGCCTGGAATGGTAGAAGGTTTTTCTCAGTGTTTCTGCTCCATCCCCAACTTTCAGCTGGCCCTTCACACTTGGCCACCAGAGTGGGGGAGGGGACGGGGATGTTTCTTTCCAGGCTTTGGCCCCTCTCCCAGAAGTTCTGTGCTGTTTGCTGCCCATGATGGGGGCAGGGTGGCTTTCTTGGCCTTCCTGTTCCAACCTTTGTCTTATTCAGGCCCTGGGGGCCTGAGCCTCAAGTGTGGGAGTTTCTCCATAATCCTGTCCCTTCCCTCTATGGCAGCTGAATTCTGTCTTGTAACTTCCAAGAGCAAATTTCTTGGTTCTGTCCCTTTTGTGAGAAACCTTTGCTTTGTAACAAAGATTCTGGGCATGAATAGGTTTCTCCATCTTGCTTAGCAGTGATAGCTTTCGCTGTAATCTACCCCTCCCCAGTGACAGCTGACCTTTTGCTGAGGACTGGGGGTGAGAGTGTTTTCTGATCCTGCCCCAGTGGCAGATGTGTTTTGCTTTGTATGACAAAAAGTCCTGGGTTTTATGCTTGTCCTCAAGAGGCAGCCACTCTCTGTCTGTACACCCATCCCACTAAGGGGGCTCCATCAGGTCTTCTGCTCTGCCCCTAGTCTTTCTCTTTAAGTACCATATTAAGTCCATGAAAGAAAGCTGGTTAGTCAGTGGGCACACCGTGTGTGGGGGGTTCCCAGAGTTTCTACTGTTATTTTCACATGCATTTGGCCTTTAAGTATATGTCAAAATATCAGTTGCTTCTTTACCCACTTTTTTGGCTGTGAGTTTTTCCTCCCGTGTTCTGTCAGAGGTCTCACCTGTCCTTGGAGGTGCTTGCCACCTTTTCGAATTTAGTTCACCTGTTGCCTGGCAATCTCCTTTCTCTGATAGGCTCAAGAAAAGTTTTGATTTTGTAGATTTTCTGCCTTTATTTTTTTCTTTTGGTTGTTGTTGTTAACATGGGAGCAGTATTCCCTTGCATCTTTGTCTATCCTAAGTGGAAATACAATTCTCAAACCATTATTTAAGGATATCAAAACTTCACCGTAAATATTGCAAAATTTATGCATATTTTTTCTAACTTTTAACATTGAAGAGTTTTTAAATTTCCTTTAATAATAAAAAGCTTAAGGCTAAGAATATTATTCTGAGTATAGTTTTGGTTGTATCATATATTTTTCTAAATGTTCTTATTTTTGTCTGTAGCCATGCCATCCTGAATGACTGATCTAAATTTTCTCATTTTTATTACTTTTAAAATAGCATATAATTATAATTTTTTGACTCAAGAATTTTTTAAGACTCAGCTTTTTAATGTTAAAATTAAAAATAATTGGGTTAGGCCAGGCTCTGTGCCTCACGCCTGTAGCCTGAGCACTTTGGGAGGCTGAGACAGGAGGATTGCTTGAGTCCTGGAGTTTGAGACAAGCTTGGGCAACATAGGGAGACCCTGTCTCTGAAAAATAAAAAAATTAGTCAGGCACGGTGGCGCACACCTATACTCCTGGCTACTTCGGAGACTAAGGTGGAAGGATTGCTTGAGCCTGGGAGATTGAAGGCTGCAATGGGCTATGATTGCACCACTGCACTCTAGCTGGGGTGACAGAGTGAGACGCTGCCTCCAAAAAAATTTTTTTGGCGGTAAAAATTCTACCTAATGAAAGTTTAATATACATAATTGTAAATAATACATACATAATTGTAAACAATATATATGTATACGCACACAAATGAGTATGGCCAGTGTAGAAGGGGGATAATAGTTCTAACATGGGTCTAGATGGTCTGCTTTCCACATGAGCTTCTTCTACCTAGTTTGTGTTGAGTCATCTCTTTTTTGCTTCATGGCCCCTCATTACCAAGTTCTTAGTTTAATTCAGTGGTTTATAGTATGTTTTAATAGCCAGTAATATTAATCCCACCTCGATATTATTTTCCCATAATTTTATTACTTATTTCAGACATTATTTTTTCCATAAAAACTATCAGACCATTTCATTCAATTTAAAAAATCAAATAAAAATATCTCTTTTCTGGAATAAAATCAGGATTGCACAAAATTTATACATTAATTTTGGGGAAGTGATATTTTGAGATTAGATCTTCCCATCCAAGAACATGCTGTCATTGCATATTCATATTTTGTTTATATACTTCAATAGAAGTTTATAGTTTTAAAAATCTAGGTTTGTATACCTCTCATTAAAATGTAAAGTATTTTCCAGCCTGACCAACATGGTGAGACCCTCATCTCTAGAAAAAACTTAAAAATTAGCCGGGCATGGTGATGCACACCTGTGGTCCCAGCTACTCAGGGGGCTGAGGCAGGAAGATCACTTGAGCCCAGGAGGTTGAGACTGCAGTGAGTGAGCCATGTTCGCACCACTGCACTCAAAACCTGGGTGACAAAGTAAGATCCTGTACCAAAAATAAATAAATAAGTAAACAAATAAATAAATATGTATAGGATAACATGAATGTAATATTTTCTCTAATTTCTGTTTTTACCTAGTGATTCCTCTTATAGATATATGTGAGTCAACATATCGCTCTTGTTGCTCAGGCTGGAGTGCAGTGGTGTAATCTCGGCTCACTGCAACCTCTGCCTCAAATGATTCTCTTGCCTCAGGCTCCCAAGTAGCTGGGAATACGGGCGCCCACCACCACACTCAGCTAATTGTTTGTATTTTTAGTAGAGATGGGGTTTCACAATGTTGGCCAGGCTGGTCTTGAAGTGTTGACCTCAGGTGATCCCCCCACCTCACCCTCCCAAAATGCTGGGATTATAGGCATGAGCCACCGCGCCTGACCTTTTATTTTTGTATATGCAGCCATTTAACAAATTCCATCCATTCTAGTAGTTTTTACGAGGATCTCCTGGGTCTAATAAATTGAAAAACCACAAACAGTAGAAAGAATACAAAATCCATTAAAAAACAAAAACCAAAACAAGATAAAGCTCCTAGTCGATATGGATGCTTCTTTCCTGAGGATGGTAGTTTGAATAACAAGGTTCCAGACTAGTGGTTCCCAGATTTTGCTGCACATTAGAATCACCTGGGAAGCTTTTTTTTTTTTTTTTTTTGAGCCTTTTTTTCTGTCACCCAGGCTGGAGTGCAGTGGCGTGATCTCAGCTCACTGCAACCTCTGCCTCCTAGTTCAAGGGATTCTTCTGCCTCAGTCTCCCGAGTAGCTGGGATTACAGGCACGCGCCACCACGCCCGGCTAATTTTTGTATTTTTAGTAGAGACGGGGTTTCACCATGTTGGCCAGGCTAGTCTTAAACTCCTGACCTCAGGTGATCTGCCTGCCTCAGCCTCCCAAAGTTCTGGGATTACAGGCTGGGAAGCTTTAAAACTCCTGCAGCCTGGGGTAGGAGCCAGGCAATAATAGTTTTTAAACATCCTCAGGTGATTCCAATTTGCGGCAAGGTTGCAAACTATTCTAGCCCAGCATTGAGCAAACTATGGCCCACAAGGCAAATCCTGCATTTTTGTAAACAAAGCTATATTGGAACATAGCCACGCTCATTTGTTTACATATTGTCTTGCTGCTTTCACACTTCAGCGGTAGAGATGAGTAGTTGTGAAAGAGACCATATGGCTCACAAAGCCTAAAATATTTAGTATCTAGCCTTTTTTTAATAGAAAAAGATAAAATCACAATGAGGTGTAATCTCACCCAGTTAGAATGGTTATTATCAAAAGGACAAAAAATAATAAATGCTAGCAGGATGAGGAGAAAGGGGAACTCTTACACTGTTGGTGGGAACGTCAATTAGTTCAGCCATTATGGAAAACAGTAAAATGGTTCCTCAAAAAACTAAAAATAGAACTATCATGATCCAGCAACGCCACTATTAGGTAAATATCTAAAGGAAAGGAAATCAGTACATTAAAGGGATACATGCACCCCATGTTTACTGCAGCACTATTCACAATAGCCAAGGTATGGAATCAACCTGTGTCCATCAACAGATGAATGGATAAAGCAAATGTGGTATATATACACAATGGAATACTATTTAGCTGTAAAAAGAATGAAATTCTATCATTTGCAGCGACATGGATGAAATTGAAGAACATTATGTTAAGTGAAATGAGCCAGGCACAGAAAGATAAATGCTGCATGTTCTTACTCACAAGCAGAAGCGTAAAAAAGCATTGATCTCATGGAGGTAGAGAGTAGAGCAGTGGTTACTAGAGGTGGGGACGGGTAAGGGGAGAGAGGAACAGCTAAAGATTGGTTAACGAATACAAAAGTACAGTAGGATAGGAGGAATACATTCTAGTGTTCTATAGTACTACGGAGTGACTGTAATTAACAATAATTTATTATATATTTTCAAATAGAACAGATTTTGAATGTACACAAAGAAATGATCAATGTTTGAGGTAATTGGTATGCTGATCACCCTGATTTGATCATTACACCTTGTATACATGTATAGAGGTATACTGTAGTCCATAAATAGGTATAATTATTTTATTTATTTATTTATTTATTTATTTATTTTGAGATGGATTTTTGCTCTTGTGCCCAGGCTAGAGTGCAATGGCGCAATCTCAGTTCATGGCAACCTCTGCCTCCCGGGTTCAAACGATTCTCCTGGCTCAGCCGCCCAAGTAGCTGGGACTATAGGCATGCGCCACCACACCTGGCTAATTTTTAGTAGAGACAGAGTATTTTTAGTAGAGACAGGGTTTCTCCATGTCTCTACTAAGACATGCAGAGGCTTGGTCAGGCTGATCTCGAACTACCAACCTCATGTGATCCACCAGCCTTGGCCTCTCAAAGTGCTGGGATTACAGGCGTGAGCCACCGCACGTGGCCAATAGGTAGAATTATTATGTGTCGATTTTAAAAAGATAAAACAAAGGGGGATAGTGTCTATTTGTTAGCTCTTTTGTGCAAGATTTTGCTACAATTTACTGTTTCTAGAAGGCTTTGCTTTATTAAGAAAACTACTCCCTTGGCCGGGCTCGGCGGCTCATGCCTGTAATCCTAGCACTTTGGGAGACCGAGGTTGGCAGATTGCCTGAGGTCAGGGGTTCAAGACCAGCCTGGCTAACATGGTGAAACCTCATCTCTACTAAAAATACAAAAATTAGCCGGATGTGGTGGCACATGCCTATAGTCCCAGCTATTTGGGAGGCTGAGGCAGGAGAATGGCTTGAACCCAGGAGGTGGAGGTTGCAGTGAGCTGAGATGGAGCCACTGCACTCCAGCCTGGGTGACACAGCAAGACTCCGTCTCAAAAAAAAAAAAAAAAAGCCTACTCCCTTTTACTCCCCACCCTGCTACAGCCCAAATTTGTTGGTTTTCTAAACTAATGTGATATTTGAAAAGCTGTAATTCCCAGTAAATTAATTCAACAAGTATTTACTAAGCTTCTACTATGTGTTAGGCATTTGAGATACTTTATGGAGAAAAGGGACAAAACGCCATGCCTGGTTGGAGCTTTTATTCTAGTACCGTCAGAAAGGGTAAAAGACAGCTCAAACACATTAATTATGTAAGACACACACTAAATTAAATGGTAATAATTTCTATGGAGAAAAATAAAGCAGGAAAGTCCTTGTGCGATGGTGACATTTGAGCCATGACCTCAAGGAAATAACAGTGAGCCATGAAAAAATCTGAAGGAAGAACTGCACTCTAGGCAGAAAAAATTGACAAGCGCAAAGAGGTCTTGGTGGTGCATGCCTGGTGTGTCTGTCTGGAAAGCAACAGGGATGCATGTGGCTGGAGCACAGTAAATCAGGTAGGAGTATAGGAGGAGAAGCGGTCTTAGAGAGAACATGCTACCAGATTATTTGGGGCCCACAGGCTATTGTAATGACTCTGGCTTTTACAGAAAAAGATGGGAAACCAGTGGGAGCTTTGAGTATCCAGGGGTGTGATCTGTATTTTGACAGGCTCACTCTGGCTGCTGTTGAGAACAGACTGAAGGAAGCCAAGGACAGATTCATGGAGACCTCTTAAGAGTCAACAGCAAAATTCCAAGCACAGATCATGGTGGATTAGAACAAGAAGTTAGTAGTGGAGGTAGTAAAAATGGAAGCCCAAAGGTTATTCTCATTCCAGCTTCTAATTAGTGTCAGTTCCTCTCAGATTCTGGCATTAGATAATTGTCTTGATTTTGTGCGTTTTTCTTAATTTTCGGTTTTCATGATTGTTAGATACCATTCTGAATTAGATATTGTCCTGAATATTCAACTGTACCTAATTATGATCCTGTACTTAATATGCTTAAAACATGGCAGATGCTTGGTAAATTCTTACAATGAATGTGTATCTTAAAGGGTTTGGGTAGAATGAAGTAGATTTATCTTCACAAGCCTATTTTCAGGACCACATTTCTATTGTTATTGCTTTTCTCTCTATGATTAGCATATATACCCATACTTTAGCTACTTGTGTTCTTTAGGCTTATTTAGGAGATGGATGGTGGATTTGTATAGTTTAATTTTAACCTTAATACTCAGTCTTTCTTTTTAAGGGTTTCACTTCAGAATATGTGTGTTTGTGTATGCATGTGTATATACATATGTAATAAAAATCAGATATATTCAAAAGTAAAATCATTTCTCAGAAATTCATAATTGCAAAGGTAAGCTCATATAAATTCACTGAAGAACGATAAACAAATAAATAAAGGAGATGAACTTACTCATGAAGAAAACTTCAAAGACAGTTTGAAGAAGTATTAAGTTGGGTAAAATTATTTGCAGGTAAGATTTTTACTTGGAAAATAATATATCACTTGAAAAACTATTACTCACTATGAAGTGATTCAGCATAAAATAAATATATGGAAATGGAGTGCACATATAAACAAGAAGATCTTCTCTTAGAGGATATAATGGAAGGAAGATTCACTTAAAATCACAATAACTGATAAAACAACTGGAAATAAACCCACCTCTGGCTACATATTAGAATCATGGCTGGAGGGATTGACCAGCAAGACAACAATAATAGCACAGCAGGCCCAGGCTGTCTCAGAAGCTCTAATCAAGTGGTGTAGTGTAGAGCCTAGGGGGGTATTTTTTAAAGTCTCTGCTTTTCAAAAATTTTTCCGGACAAATTGATCTATATGAAGAAAACTTAGACTACTACTGAGGGATATAAAAGAAGACTTGAATAAAGGGAAAAACATGCTAATTATTTAGAATAACTATCATAAAGAATTAAATTCTCTCTAAAGTAGGTTATACATTTAATGATTTCATTTAAAAGCCAACAGGACTTTTCATTTTTGTTACTACACAAACTTATTCTAAATTTGTATGGAAAAATCAAGAGTTGCTAGGAAGGACAATTCTGAAAAAAGAAAACTATTGCAAAGGGACTAGTCCTACCAGATACTGTCTACCAGACTAATAAAATAGACTGGTCTGGCTGGGTGTGGTGGCTCATGCCTGTAATCCCAGCACTTTGCGAGGCTGAGACAGTCAGGTTGCTTGAGTGCAGGACTTTAAGACCAGTCTGGGCAATGCAGTGAAACCCTGTCTCTATAAAAATTTAAAAAATTAGCTGAGTTTTGTGGCGCGTGCCTGCGGTCCCAGCTACTAGGGAGGCTGAGGTGCGAGGATCACCTGAGCCTATGAGATTGAGGCTGCAGTGAGCAGTGATTGTGCCACTGCACTCCAGCCTGAGTGACAAGGGAAGACCCTGTCTCAAAAAAACAAAAAACAAAACAGAAACAAAGAAAATAGAATGGTCCAGTGGAAAATAAAATGTTCAGAAATGGCATAAGTATAAATGGGACTTTGGTATAGATAAAAATGGCATCGCAAATCAATGGAGGAAAAGATAATGTACTCAACCAAAGGTATTATATGATGAAGTGACATTTTTACGAATGGGAGAAGAGACAGTTTACTCAATAAAAGATCAATGGGTAGGCATATTTAAAAAAACAACCAAAGTTAGATTTCTAATATGTTTAATACATTCCAGCTGGGTCAAAGATCCAAAGGTGAAAAATAAAATTATAAAAGAAGACAAGTGGAGGCCAGGCGCAGTGGCTCACGCCTGTAATCCCAGCACTTTGGGAGGCCTAGGTGGGCAGATCACCAGGTCAGGAGATCAAGACCATCCTGGCTAACACGGTGAAACCCCATCTCTACTAAAAATACAAAAAATTAGCTGGGTGTGGTGGCGGGTGCCTGTAATCCAGCTACTTGGGAGGCTGAGGCAGGAGAATCACTTGAAACCGGGATTGCACCATTGCACTCCAGTCTGGGTGACAGAGCGAGACTCCGTCTCAAAAAAAAAAATGACAAGTGGAGAAGGCCATTCTAAATATGATACAAAATCCCAAAAGCCACAAAAGCAAAGATCTGTAAATTTTGTACTAATATTTTTAATTGACAAATCATAATTGTATATACTTATGGTGTACAAAGATTCATAAATTTGCTTACATGAAAATAAAAATTTCTACATATCAAAAAATACCAGAACAAAGTCAAAAGACAAATGACAATGACAAACTGGAAAGAAGATATTTGCAGGATCTCTTACAAAAAGCTAATATCTAAAGCACACCTGTAATACAAAACAAAGACCAACAACCAACAGAAAAATAGGCAAAGAATAGAAATAGGAAAGGCCATGGTAAAGCAGATTCCAGTGGCTGTTAAATACATGAAAATATGCTCTACGTTACTCATAAAAAGAAAAATAAAAATAGAACATTTTTATCTGTTAGGTTGGCAAAGGATAAGAAGACATGCATTGATGGTGAGATTATCAGTTAGTATACCTTCTTTAGAGGTAATTTGTAGTATCTAGTGTAATTTTGCTAAATATAGTCTTGACTCAGTAATTTCACCTCTAGATATCTACTGTTAAGTGAAAAAAAAAAGGAAAAAGAAGCAACATGCAGAACAATGTGTGCAGTATGTTACCGTTTGTGTAGGGGGAAAGGAATATATACATTTGTTTATAAATTTGTGGCCAATCTCTAAAAATGCGTAAGCAGGTGGTTTCGGTACTTGCTTCTTGGAGGGGGAACTGGATGGCAGGGAAGAGGGAAAGGACAGAGACTTCACGATCACTGTTAACCCTTTTGTACCATTTGAAGCTTTTACCCTGTATATATATTACCTATTAAAATAAAACAGTAACAAAATCAGGTACATCCAGGGTTTACATCCCGTTAAATACTCCAAATACTCCCATTAAATACATCCAAACAATCCCATCAAATACAAGTAACTCATCGAGCACCATCAAATGCTCACATACAACTATTTTATGATACATATTATTACAATATTTTATATTCTCTATTATTTAAAGGAACATAACTGTTACAGTATTTGCTTCAATTCTTTTGATACTTCCACTAAATTGTTAGAAATTGTACAAAGGCCTAAATAATAACCATTTTTGAAAATATGTGATTTTATAATCATTGGCATTTTATCTTAAAATACACTACATTCTTACAAAATAATGAAAAATTGGTAATTATTATTATTTTATTTTTATTTTTTTGCGACACAGTCTCACTCTGTTGCCAGGCTGGAGTACAGTGGCGCAATCTCAGCTCACTGCAACTGCTGCCTCCCGGGTTCAAGCGATCCTCCTGCCTCAGCCTCTGAGTAGCTGAGACTATAGGTGTGCACCACCGCGCCCAGCTAATTTTTGTATTTTTAGTAGAGACAGGGTTTCACCATGTTGGCCAGGATGGTCTCAATCTCTTGACCTTGTGATCTGCTTTCCTCAGCCTCCCAAAGTCCTGGGATTACAGGTGTGAGCCACTGTGCCCGGCCAAAACTTGGTAATTATTAAAACTGTTTCATTTAAAATACATAATTATGATCTTGTAATATATTTATATGTATCTCTAGAACACTATTTTTAAA
Organism: Homo sapiens; assembly: GCF_000001405.40. Classification (NCBI taxonomy): domain Eukaryota; kingdom Metazoa; phylum Chordata; class Mammalia; order Primates; family Hominidae; genus Homo; species Homo sapiens. The sequence continues at coordinate 95,603,534 of NC_000005.10, read as the reverse complement.
CTTTTTGTTCAAACTGCTCTTGGATTCATATGGGTTTTAAGCCACTGATCAATTGCATTTTCATACTTCCTTGGTTCCTTCTGCCAGTCTTGGTGCCACCTAAGATTTGCTATAACGTTTGAATAATTCTGTCCTATACTTTGTTTCCACTTGATAAACTGCTCTTTATTATACTGGTGGACAGAAGCAGAAACTTTAGGGTAGTTTATAATGGAATGAAGCTTCTGATCCAAAGAATAAGTAATTTCTGGAAATTTTACAGCAACATTTGTTAATTCATCTGGATCCGAGGAAAGATCTGAAAGAAAAAAAATAAGTATCTGTCAAAATAGTGACCTGCTAAAAATTTTTTTAGAATGTCATTATGACAGGTAATGTATTAGATTTTTTTTTTAGATTTTCAGTTCCTGTTAGTGTAGTAAAATGAAGGACAGTATAAATGGTAAAATAACATACCAGGAGTTAAACACCCTATGTTGCATGCCCAAATTCCCTCCTTCCTACCATTGTCCAGCTATCCCACTTTTTTTTTCTTTTCTTAAATGCCAGAAAAAGTCAAACTTTTATCATTAGTAAGCTGGTTTAGAACAAGTTCTTCCTGTTTTTGATGTCCTGCCTACTTTGACAGGCAGAAATGAATACAGTAATGCTTATACTGTACCATTTTAACAGCCTCAAACTTTCTACAAATTCTTTATATAGACAAGTCATGTTCCTGCAACTTTACTTAGTCCTAGTTTTCTTTATATATTAGTATCTTATGCTTGGAGTTTTGAAAGTTACATTCATCAGTACTGTCCATTTGAACAAACAGCCATGGAAATACAAACTTCTCAATCACTGCCAGCAAGAAAATAATGATAAATATTTCAGATCCATAAAGATACTTTTTAGATATGGTATGGGAAGACAGGGATATAACTAGTATACCAATCTAACTGGAAGAACAGCAAGTCAGAGATCTTATGACAATTAACTTCAGATAGTAAATGAACACTGTATGTTGAGGGAAAAACCTCTATGGGCCTACTTAAGTGCAGTAGCCAAGAGGCCCCTGAAGAGATATGTGACTTTGCTAGGTAATTTCCAGATGGTACATCTTTAGGAAAGGGAAATCAATAAGCCCTAAAAAGTACAGAAAAGGCTGATTCCCCACTTCTGACATTTTGATAGTCACATCAGTTTTTTGGTAGAACATGGTATAAAAAACAAAATTTCAACAAATTTAAAGAACAAATTGGCTTTTATTTAGTGATTCCTGAATTGGGCAGCAACCCCTCTAAAGATTTAGAAAAGGCATTCTGATGAGCTGAGCAGGGGAGGTGGGCTTTATAGGCAGAAAAAGGCTGATGAAAAAGTCCCAGAAACATGGAACAAAAAGCAGATTCGTCATTATAGTGTTACTTTCTTTGTCCAGTAAAAACAGAGGAGACTTCCTTATGCTGGTTCAGGTAAAATGAGCCCCTTCGGATTGGTTATTGTGATTCTCTTTTTTTTTTCTTCTAAAGTTCAGTTTGATTATGGGGCACCTACTGCCAGTGACCCCATTCTGGTTTGATGTGGTCTGTTGAGCCTGGTGTAGGAACTCAGTTCAAAACAATGGCCTCCCATAAATTTCATTTGACAATGGCCAATGAACAAGCAAGAGATGCCCATTACTCATCAGGATGAAAATGTAAAGACTTCCTTTTTCAGCCAAGAATCCTCCACTCTTCAAGTGAAGGGGGTTGGCCAGTTTGGCCCCCAAAGTATTATTTTGATAATAATTTTGCTATTTGTAACTGGGAAGGAGCCTTAGGGAGAAATAAATATTACTTATGGCTTTAGCACATATTTTATGTACTAAATGGGGACAAAGGATGAGTAAAACCCTGAATCTAAAAATGCTGCTTAAAAATTAATTCATAGAGTAGTGAAGCTGGCAGACATTTTTTAGAAGCTGTAAGAAGCATCAATTTTACAGTCACAGCTTCGTTGAAATCTCAGTTCTGCTACTTCTTAGCTGTGAGACCTCACACAGGTATCCAAATTTCTCTCATAGACTCCTCTGTAAAATGAGGATAATGGTACTATCTTGTGGGGTTGTGGTGAACATTAAATAATACATGTAAAATGTCAGGCTTCATAAGATAGGTGTTAATCCTTCAGAACAATGAGGTACAATGAGGTGTTGACTTCAAATTGGGAAAGATAACCATGAGTACTGAAAGATGCCCTGATCAGAGAAAACTGGTTTCAGTCATGAGACCCAGATCAAAAGCCTTAGGACACTTTCTCTGAAATTCAGCTGCTGATCTGCAAAGAGGCTGTTCCTCACATGGGCAACCTTTTGTAGATCGTCCTAGCATGAGAAGCAGCAGATATTCATTTATTTAACAAGGATTATTGGATATCTTGAGCAATGCTACATAGGGCAGTTCATTACACATAATATTACACTTAAAAATATATTAACAAACTTACCAAAGAGTTGAGGCAATATTGATGCACCATCCGAATAGGCTATATATTTCCAGTGGTTAGTTCGAAGCATGTAGGTGGAGGCATTCACATTACATCCATGGAATTCACTCAGAATCCAGGGTGGATGCAGGTTTTTGACTTTATGTTCATTCTTAAATGTTTCTGATGATAACGGCAACAAAGAGTATCCACTCAGGTTCTGAGGCAGAGGAATTCCAGCAATATCTATGTAACAAAAATAACCAAATATCTTAAAATAGCTCATTCTTTTATTAGCTGAACATTCACAAATAGCATCATTCACATTTTTTTCATACCATTAAATGCCATGGAGACTGGAGATTGTATATGGATTTTGTAAACAGGCTGCCAAAATTCACATGCTTACCCCACTGGCCATGTGGACTTCAGCAAGTAATTTACTTATCTCAACCTCAGTTTTCTCATCTGTAAGAAGGGGATGACCACAGTACTTGTATTTATTAGGTTCATTTTAGGTTTAAATAAGATACTTTATGTAAAATTCTAAGAACTCTGAGGACAATGCCTGGCAGATAGGAGCCTTCAACAAATAGTTAATATCACTATTCCTTTTTTCTCTAAATGATTAAATAATCATAGTTGTTTCTCAAAGTTTCTTTCATGGGATATTAACAAGTCTTATACAAGAAAGGGGTTTAGTAGTCTTATATGTTTGCAAAACAATGGTTAAACAAAATTAAATACATAAGTTTGTTGTAGATGTAAATTTATTGCTGATGTATATGATAAACCTTCAGGAGTGGTATATAGTATACTATGTGCCCCAAAGTTATGTGATAACAGAGCTTTTTACATTCTCAAGTAGCATCTTGAGGGACTAGCATCTTGAAAAACATGCTTTCAGGAATTGTGGATTATATTTAGGAAGGGAAAAATAATTTTTAACTTACCAAATGTAGACATATAGAACAACAGCATGAGAAATGTTCAACTGAAAAATAGCTTATACTTTTAAAAATTGCTTTCAAGGTAATTAGACCTTAAACTTCCCTCTTCCTATAGAAAAATTACCATTAATTATGTCTGGGTAATTAGGGTTGTTCCAAAATGAGTCTGCAGTTGTCTTCCCCAGCCCTTTTCTGGTTTCAATGTTCATATTTTATGTATAAATATTTCCAATGAAAAATAGAATTATATCTGTAATGTTAGAAATTAAACCAAATTGAATAAGAAAATTAATTTAACTTGACTATCTTTGACAAAAACAGGTTAATTAAAGGATAATAGGGAAGTAGATGAAGACCGCTATAAATCTTCTGAAGGTAGTTGTTTCATATATAACTTGATAAAAAAAGTTTGTAGCTTCCATTTTCCTTGGAAGAAGACTATCACAAGTATTAATTTTCTGCCAACCAATCAAAATTAGTGGCTTTTTTGTTCAGAGATAAGGAAAGAAAGAAGAGAGGAGTATTTCAGAGGTGACTGGTTAAAAACAAAAAGAGGAGAAAAGAGGTTAAAGAGGATGTGCCCGGGAGAGAAGCCTTGCCTGGGTGAAACTAACTGTGCTCCAAGACACAGAGACTACCTACTGTAAGCAGTGGAAAGAAGGCTGTGAGGGAAGAGGCTGGGTAAGGGTGGTCTGTGTGTCAGCCATCAGGAGGCACCACCAGCAAGGCATGGGAAGAGAGAGAAGTAGTCTTTAAGAAAGGTTGGGAGGCAGGAACCAACTGGCACATACTCATGACTATGGCAAGTTCTTGTACTCAGCATTTTAATAACCTTTAATACTTAGAAATGCCTTATTTTAGAACCATTCTTAATTTTCCTAAGGAAGCTTGGAAGACTAAGAAACTTATGTTTCTCCTGTGTTTATGAGAAGTCATTAGTAAACTGGGAAAGAGTCCATTCAAGTGTTCATTTTTAAAATTCATTCAGCAAACCAGGTGCTGTTCTAGCTGTAGGGAAACAACACTGGTCAAGGCAGAAAAGCTCTCCCAGAGCTAACATTCTAATGTGGGCAGACAGAAACAGCTGTGTCAGATGGTGGTAAGTGCAATGAAGAAGAAGAAGGCAGGGTAAGGGAGATAGAGAGTGATGGCAGGCATGTGGGTATGTGCTGTTTTATATAGGGTGGTCAGGGAAGGCCCCTCTGAGAAGGTCACATTTAGACAGTGTCCCGAGGAGGGGCTAGAGTGAGCCCTACAGTTATCTGGGGAAAGGGCATTCCCCCAGGGGAATAGCAAGTGTACAGTCCCCAAGGCAGGAACCTACTTGGTTTATTTTCCAAACACCAAGCAGGCCTGTTTGGCTGGAGTAGAGTAAGTGAGGGATAAAATTATAAGAGATGAGTTGGGGAAGAGAAGAGATCATGTTGGACTCTCAAAGCCTAATTAAAGACACTGAATTTTTACTCTAGGTGAAATGGGAAATCAGTAGAGGGTTTTGAGCAGAGGTGTGACAGTCTGACACTAACAACGGAATGGTGAATTGACTAAAAGTGGGTAAGGGCAGAAGGTCAGAGAGAGTTAGGAAGCTATTGCAGGAATCCAGGCAAGAGATAAGGGGAACTTGGGATTCCAGTCTATTATTGATAGAATAAAATACCTTTGTAAATTGATAAAACCCATGCGAAATATCCATAATATTTAATAAATACTTCAAGTATTTATTGGTTTTTCTGTGCCTCAGAAAATTGGGTTTTCATTTTTCATATATTTATCAATAATTCCCTTAAAAGCGCTTTAGTTTAGACTGCTTTTCAAAAAGCTGTTTGATTTTTATTTAAAATCATTTTGCATATTTATTTCTCCTGGCAAACCTGTCATTCTAACTCCATTTTAAATAAGCTTCATCTTTCATGGGAGTATAAGCACAGACTAGAAGTAACCGCAGGGTTCTTAAGCAAGAGTGACTTAATGTAAAACAGTAAACAAATGGTAAAAATGCAGGCCTGGATATGTGTGATGATCTCCTGAAGAGAGATGATATTATATTTCTTCCTGACCATATCAGTACATAATGGATTTGAGTGGTATGGCAATGATGCAAACTAATATACACATTTTTTAGAGCATATCTAAGAAGAATTAAACATATTAATGATAACCATATCTAACATTTAATTGTTCACCATGTTCCAGGCATTGTTCTGAGCTATGAAATAGCCACTATTACCCGCCCCCCACTTTTTTTTTTTGAGGCAGAGTATCACTCTGTCACCCAGGCTGGAGTGCAGTGGCGCAATCTTGGCTCACTGCAACCTCTGCCTCCCAGGTTCAAGTGATTCTCCTGCCTCAGCCTCCCGAGTAGCTGGGATTACAGGTGCACATCACCACGCCTGGCTGATTTTTGTATTTTTAGTAGAAACGGGGTTTCACCATGTTGGCCAGGCTGGTCTTGAACTCTTGACCTCAAGTGATCTGCCCACCCTGGCCTCCCAAAGTGCTGGGATTACAGGCGTGAGCCACCACGCCTGGCCTATCCCCATTTTCATTGATGAGAAAATTGAAGACCAGACATGTTGAGTAACCTGCCCAAGATTACGCAGTTGGTAACGAGTAAAGAGGGGTTTGAACTTAGGCAGTCTGACCTTACAATCTCTGTACTTTTAATACTACACCATAAGCCTTGCCTTACTGTAGTTAGCCAACTTCATAATATTCCTCAGCCAATAAAAACACAAGAATCTATGCAAAACACCTGCCAACCCCCAGGCTTCCACTAAGGTCCTGTAACAAGAAGGGTTTTGAAATTTAAATTACTAGCAATGAAATATTCTTTTAACTACAACTGCATTTTTGTATAATTACATTCTCAAAATTAAAAAAATCTAGACTTATCTTTTAAGTGGAGAAAGGCAGGTGTTTTACAGAAAGACTATTACAGAAAACAATTCACATGAAAATAAGCTTAAAAATAAAAATCAAAACAATTTTAACTACAAAACGAGACACCTTTAGTTCTTACTGAGCTAAAAGATGCTGATACCAGGTATTAGAGAAGAAAATATTTCGGGAAGTAATTTTTAAATAATCTCAGAAATAATATCAACTTTAATATTAATATTATAAAGAATTCCTATTCATAAATGTCATTTTCCTGCTGGTATTAGGAAATGATAATGTAATAGTATCCTATCACACTAGTGATAGAATTAGTTTATTTGATCCAAAAGCACAAATAAACTAAGCATATTCTTCCTATTTTATCATAAAATATTTTCTTTAAAAAAACCACTCTTTTAAAATACCTTTTAAAAAATGACTTGTAAATTCAAACTTTTAAATAAAGTATTGTTGCATCTTAAATTTCAATAGCCTCTTGATAGTAAGATAGGTTTATTAAAACAGGAATTCCAGTTGGTTTTTCTTATTCAGTTTCTTTCTATTGAAGGTAGAATAACCATCTTTTATACATTTCTAAGATCCACAGAATGGAAGTGAGGAGGAAATATCGCTTGAGTTTTTGGCTTGAGATATATATATATTTTTTGATACAAGAAGTGTTTTTTTCTGTTTAACAGACATTTCAGGATTTTAATTTCATTTTTAGTTTCCAGAAGACTCAAATATTTTAAAAGTCAAATACACTATAAGCAAAGTTTATCCTTGAAAAATCAATTTCAAAACAAATTTTTCTCTTTATATCATTTTTCTTTATAAGCCTCTCCTCTGTGTGTGTAAACAGGATTCATACAAAATAATAAAGCTACAGCTAAACTAATAAAGAAAGGACTTTGAGAGCTCTAAGAATAGATACTTGCTTATATCTATTTTAAGCTCCTAATTGGTTAGAACAAAATAAGAAGTCCTTTGTAGATGTTTTATCAAAATATGTATAAGTTTGTTTATTAAGCAGAGGTGAAGTAGAACATACTGTCTCACAGGTCTAATTTTAGAATTAATCACTAATAAAGTAGCTTTAAACTGTTCCAGCACTGAGGAATTTTATCTTAAAAGGTTGAATGATCCATCAGATTAAACGTAGACCATCAGAATGATCTTTGTTTTGTTGGCTCCTAAGGCTGTTAAATAAAGAGTAGCCTCAGTTTCTGCCTGTTAATGCTGGTGTAATTGTTAATAGTACTCTAAAAACCTGCTAATTTGGACAGTAAATTAGATGGACACAGTATCTAAAAAGGAAACAAAACAAAACAAAAACATCAATTTGTACAGTTTTAAAGCCTTCATTTTCTTTTTAATACATGGGGGCAATTTTCACACATTTCACTTGTTAAAATTAATTGACTTTTTTTTTCAACGTTTTACATTCAGTGGGTACATGTGCAGGTTTGTTCCCTGGGTATATTACTTGATGTTGAGGTTTGGGATAGGAATGATTGCATCACCCAGGTACTGGGCATAGTGCCCAACAGTTTATCAACCTCTGGCCCTCTGGCCCCCTCCCTCCCTCCCTCTCCCTTCTAGTAGTCCCCAGTGTTTCTTGTTGGCATTTTTACGTCCATGAGTAACCAATGTTTAGTTCTCACTTATAAGTGAGAACATCCGGTATTTGGTTTTCTGTTATTGTGTTAATTTGCTTAGGATAATGGCCTCCAGTTCCATTCATGTTGCTGCAAAGGCCATTATTTCATTTTTGATGGCTTTGTAGTATTCCATGGTGTATATGTGCCACATTTTCTTTATTCAGTCCACCACTAATGGGCACCTAGGTTGATTCCATGCCTTTACTATTGTGAATAGTGCTGCAAGTGCATGTCTTTTTGGTAGAATGATTTATGTATTTTTTGGTATGTACCCAGTAATGGGATTGCTGGGTCTAATGGTAGCTCTGTTTTAAGTTCTTTGAGAAATCTCCAAACTGCTTCCCACAGTGGCTGAACTAATTTACACTCCCACCAACACTGTATAAGTGTTCCCCTTTCTCTGCAGCCTCACCAACATCTGTTGCTTTTTGACTTTTTAATAATTGCCATTTTGACTGCTATGAGATGCTATCTCATTGTGGTTTTGATGTGCATTAGAAGTGACTATTTTTAATCCAATCATTACTACTAGATATTCATATTGTTTCTAATTCTTAATATGGTAATAAATATCCAGGGAGATAAATATTTGTGCATATCTACAGGTTATTTCCTAAAATTAGGATTTCTAGGTCAAAACGTATGCACATTTCTAAGAAATATGAAATGTAACGTCACATTTGCCTACAAAACATTTGTATCAGTTTATATTCCCAGTAGCAGTATATGAGAAGGACTATTTCTTTCTTTTTTTTTTTTTTGTTTGAGACGTAGTCTCGCTCTGTCACCCAGGCTGGAGTGCAGTGGCACGATCTTGGCTCATTGCAAGCTCCGCCTCCCAGATTCACGCCATTCTCCTGCCTCAGCCTCTCAAGTAGCTGGGACTACAGGCGCCTGCCACCACGCCAGCTAATTTTTTGCATTTTTAGTAGAGACAGGATTTCACCATGTTAGCCAGGACAGTCTCGATCTCCTGACCTCGTGATCCACCCGCCTCCACCTCCCAAAGTGTTGGGATTACAGGCGTGAGCCACCGTGCCCAGCAAGAAGGACTATTTCTAATATAAGATTTTCTAATTCTTCTTAACCTTTGTAAACTTTATATGTGAAAGAAAAATATTTTTCTGTTTTAATATTTTTATGACCACTGACTTTGATTCTTTAAAAATATATTGGCCATTTGTGTATATTTTCTGTTGTGAATTGCTTATTTCTTTTGATCCATCTGTTAATAAGGTATTCCTCTTTTTCTTACAGATTTATAAGAGCTCTATGAATATTAAACCTTTATCATTTATAAAAAGATTAATTTAAGTAAATAATTGTGTTACAATGTTGTCTCCTGGCTCCAGCATAAGGTTTTTGTTGCATTGTTCTCTTTCTACCATTATCACTGGTTAACATCTGGTTAATAGAATGTTTCAGTGTTTTATATAAAGACCCATCCATAGGTATTCTCCACTCACTCTTCCCCAACTAAAAAAATCATTTAAATGTAGCTTTCCCTCTTCTGATAATAAAAATAATATTCAATGTGAAACACATTATAAACTGTGCTAAGCCACGAAGATGTTAATTTTTCAGTTTAGAATTGGAGAGATTTATTTTTGACTTTATTTCCTTTTACTGAGGAGGTCTAATCAACACATGATCTAAATGCTGTTAATAAAACATATTCTGCAGGGAAATGTGACTTAGAAGGAGTCTATTACCAAGAATCTTATGAAAAATAAAAATCTATATAAAACTATAGTTTTAGAGAATTATAATAATTGACAAATTGCAGGAAAAAAACCTACAGGTGCAGGGAATTTACATCATTTACAGAAGAGTTGGGATGGAATTTAGAGGAGTTTCTGAGACAGTATTTTCTTAGCTAGAGAAATTCTTATTAGCAAGTAACATAAATTAGGCAGTGATGATAGGTAGATGCATGAGAATTTCCCCATTCTAACAAATTTTATTTAGTATTTTCTTATATGACCTGTTAAATACATTATGAAATCTGCTAGTTTGCAGATGACCTTTAACTTTTATGATGTATAAAATGGCAAGAAGTAATAATGGTATCTTCTCAAGATTGTAGAGTACAAAATTTGCATTGTGGGCAAATATAAAATAATGTTTAAAGAAAAATGATTTAAACCATGCATTTTAATTAACTAACATATATGATGACAGAATGTCTAAGAATTGAATAGGGCTCACTGTAGACAACTCCCTAAAGATATTTAACTATTTAGCTGCTAGAGTCAAATAGATAAAATGGCAACTATCACTTTGAAATATACTGAGGGAAAAACGGAGAAAGAATCACCCCAGCTTTCCATAATCTTTTACAATACCTTTTTGCAGTTCTGGTCACTATACCTCAAGAAAACAGAATGAGGCTAAAAAGTCAAGCAAAGATGACCCAAGGAAGATTTTCTTTGGGAATGGGGAGGGTAGGGAGAGTTCTACATGAAGAAAAATTAAGGAAGGAAATTGTAAAGAATATAGGCATATATTCATAAAACTCTAAATTCATATATATTCATAAAACTCTAAATATACTAATAAAAGAGACCCAAATATACACAGTTCTATATAAACTTCTTTAAAAAAAACACAGAAATGAGGAAAAGTAATAGTGATCAGCTAGAAACTAATGGAATGAGAAAGTGGCCCAGATATGGCTGAGTGTGATCATTACTTTGGGATAAAGGGAAACCAGCAAATGATGACTAAGAAACAGAAGAGATTAAAAATTCAAAGAACTGGCCAGGCTTAGTGGCTCACGCCTGTAATCCCAGCACTTTGGGAGGCCGAGGCAAGCGGATCACAAGGTCAAGGGATCAAGACCATCCTGGCCAACATGGTGAAACCCCATCTCTACTAAAAACACAAAAATTAGCTGGACATGGTGGCAGGCGCCTGTAATCCCAGCTACTCAGGAGGCTGAGGCAGGAGAATCACTTGAAACTGTTAGGCAGAGGTTGCAGGGAGCCGAAATCGCACCACTGCACTCCAGCCTGGGTGAAAAAGCGAAACTCCATCACACACACACAAAAAAAAAGAGTTCAAGGAACTGGAAAGAAGTATGTGTAATTATATGAGAAGGGATATGAAATAAAAGAGGAAAGGACGCTGGTTTAAATTAACTCTAAATAAATTTAGTTAAATTAAGGGAAGAACTTTGTGGCAGAAGGAAGCAGATAAAAAGAACTCTGATTTCTTTGATTTTAAGATGCATCTTTCTTTCACATTTTAACATTTCTGAAATTAGAGAACATAACTTGTGCTATTTTTTTTTCTTTCACCAAAATTTATGAATTGAGGGTACTTTTTCCAATTGATGGTGCCTTAGAACAGAGAAACTAGTGTTTAAATGCTAATGAATTTAAAGTACTTTGCTAAATGAGATAGAAACTAGAAGTTAGTTCTATGATTTCCTTTGAATTTGATTATGTCGTTATTCTAGTATCTTCAACAAAAACTGCTAACTACCCTTATCCATATGTTGCTTTTCTAGACATATGGCTATGCTTGTAGACATTAAGAAGCTAGTAAAGCAAATAGTACAGAACTATCTAAAGAGTCTGAGGAGGAATATGTTCATACTAGTTTCAAAGTGAATAGAATAATTCAGAAAGGAAATGCTTACATTTTAAGGAGGTGGTGGTAGACAATCAAATGATGTACAAATCATATCTATAAGGTTATGAACCCGAATATCTTACATGGCTTACTTTACAGTCATCTCCTGAATACAAATCTTTTGAGGGAAAATGACTATAGTAAGTGAAGGCCACAGGGACATGAAAAACAATCTCTTCATTCTTCAGAGTACAGATTTGACTCACAGTTGAATGAGTTGCTCAGGGTTATAAACAAGTCAGCAGGACCTCTGACTACTAACTGAAAGACTGACTCACTGACAACTTCAGTTGCATTCTCCAGCATTATTACAAATAAATATTTACAGAACTACATTACTTACCAAGCATGGTAGGGTAAATATCCACAAGAGAAACCACATTTGATACTTGTAGGCCGGCTTTAATTCCTGGTCCCATCATCAAAAGCGGAACATGTGCACTAGCCTCGTACATGCTCATTTTATAAAACTGTCGATGTTCCATGGCCAGCTCTCCATGGTCTGAGGAGTATATGACAATAGTTTTCTGAAGAAGATCTAATTGATGAAGGGCCAAAATAATTTCACCTACAATAGAAATCATGATAAACCGATTAAAACTTTCAGTTCATGTTTTATTCTATCACATTAAGTTTATAACCACTCTACCCTATAAGAGTTTGTCACTATGCTTCTTAACATCTGAATATTACCTACTGTTCTCAAGTTAAGTCTAAAGTTGACAGTGGTCTGTCTACTGCTTGCTCTTCAGCTGACTAGAGGAAGAAGAAAATATAATACCCATGGGAACTCTTGCTCAAAGCTGCTTATCTGGAGATCATGCCGGCTTGTTTTCTAGGTTTCTACCAGAGAATAGGGGAAAAAATCTTCCCCTTAGTGCCTTGAATGAGAAAAGAAAGATCAGTTGGATATGAGCACTTTACATGTCTCAGATGATAAAAAGATTGGTATCACCTCTGACCCACAGTTTCTGTGCAACAGGAAGTGATAAGAGCAGTCAGAACTCTTCTTCTCTGCTACTTTTTCTCCCAAATCTCTAAGCAATCACCAGATCATGCTCATAAAGTTGGCTGAGGATTATGGAAATCCCACCTTTGAAGAAGGGCTGGAAGCAGGACAGATAGTGTACAAGTTTGATTTAGCATCTTCTTGGATAGGGAATAATGGGACAGTAAAATTCCTCTGACCAGTTCCTGTCTCAGTGTTCTCGAACTTCCTCCTACTGTAATTAAGAGAATCACAAGAAAGCACAGGCCAGAGAGAAGGGTCATCCCTATTTTGGCAGTTCCTGAATCTGGGTAGAAGAGTGTATATTAATTTAAAAACCTACAGATTCTGAGGTGTAATCAGGATTGACATTCACTGCTCTATGGAGTTATTTGCAGAGTTGAGACTCTCTTGATTTTTCAACTGGACAACTGGAATTACTTACTAATCGGTCTTGCCCCTACTCCTCTTTCCCCTGCTTGTACTATCCTGGTGTCTATCTTTCTAAATTACCTAATCACTCCATTGTGTCACATCCCTGCTTGAAACTTTTTCATAGATGCCCACTGTCGAATTCTTTAGCATAACAAGCAATGCCCCTGTCCACTCTCCACACTCAGCACCCTCGGCTACCTGCTAGACCTTTACGTTTCAACAATCCTAACCTGCTCAGAACCTCCTAAACACACACCATATTAGTTTACGCTTTCTTGCCTCTGCATATACTCTGCCATTTATGGTGAATGCCCTTTCTCCCACAGTCTACTTGACAAATTCCTATTCTTCCTTTATGACCCAGCTCAAACATGCATTATCTCTCTAGCAAAGCACCATTCCCTGCTCTTCTAGGTAGAGTAAATCACTTTGTTCTTCAGGATGCCTACAACTTGCATATTACTGTAGTCACAACAACACATTGTAATTCTTAGCATTTATGCTCATTCAATAAATGTTTACCGATTATGCTCATTCAATAAACGTCTAACTGGCAATAAATAATTGCCAGTTAGAATGGTAATTATTACAAAGTCAAGAAACAACAGATTTTGGAGAGGTTGTGGAGAAATAGGAATGCTTTTACACTGTTGGTGGGAATGTAAATTAGTTCAGCCATTGTGGAAGACAGTGTGGCAATTCCTCCAAAATTTAGAACCAGAAACACCATTTGACCTAGCAATCCAATTACTGGGTATATACCCAAAGGAATATACATCATTCTATTACAAAGATACATGCACATGTGTGTTCACTGCAGCACTATTCACAATAGCAAAGACATGGAATCAACACAAATGCCCACCAACAATAGACTGGATAAAGAAAATGTGGTACATCTACACCATGCAATACTACGCAGCCATAAAAAGGAATGAGATCATGTCCTTTGCGGGGACATGGATGGAGCTAGAAGCCATTATCTTTAGCTAACTAACGCAGGAACAGAAAACCAAACACTGCATGTTCTCACTTATAAGTGGGAGCTGAACAATGAGAACACATGAACACGGGGAGGGGAACAATACACATTGGGGCCTGCCAGGGAAGGGAGAGCATTAGGAAAAATAGCTAATGCATGCTGGGCTTAATACCTAGGTGATGGGTTGATAGGTGCAGCAAACCACCTTTTACCTATGCACACGTTTACCTATGTAACAAACCTGCATACCCTGCACATGTACCCTGGAACTTAAAATAAAAATAAAAGAATGTCCCCGCCCTCATGAAGCTTGTGTTCTTCTAGGGAAACAGATGGTAAACAGACGAATAATTAGTATTACTATGTAAACAACCTGACAAGGTATAAAGTAAGCAGAATGATGGAGCTGGCACACTGAGTTAGAGTGGTTGGGGAAGACATCCCTGAGGAGGTAACAACTGAGCTGGGATCTAAAGACAGAATAAGCCAGCCATGTAGAAAGCAAAGGGAAGGGTGTTCCAGGCAGATGAAACAAAATATAAGACCTTGAGGTGGGAAAAGACACTAGATTGTCTTTAATTTTTTTTTTGTTTGTTTGTTTTTGAGACGGAGTCTCACTCTGTCACCAGGCTGGAGTGCAGTGGTGTGATCTTGGTTCACTGCAACCTCCGCCTCCCGGGTTCAAGTGATTCTCCTGCCTCAGCCTCCTGAGTAGCTGGGACTACAGGCGCACACTGCCACACCCAGCTAATTTTTGTATTTTTAGTAGAGATGGGGTTTCATCATGTTGGCCAGGATGGTCTTGATCCCTTGACCTTGTGATCCGCTTGCCTCGGCCTCCCAAAGTGCTGGGATTACAGGCGTGAGCCACAAATGTCTTTAATTAATGAGTGATTTCTTAATAGTATTCAACATACTATACTCCCCCAGTGCCCAACATAGTGCCTTACAGCTAGTAGGTACTTAATGTTTGTTAACAAACACAATGAACAGTATTAAATACTATTTGGTGAAAAGACCGGTGTAGATTTAAAAATTTACAGGCCAGTCGCGGTGGCTCATGCCTGTAATCCCAGCACTTTGGGAGGATCATGAGGTCAGGAGATTGAGACCAGCCTGACCAACATGGTGAAACCCCGTCTCTACTAAAAATACAAAAATTAGCTGGGCGTGGTGGCGCGTGCCTATAATCCCAGCTACTCGGGAGGCTGAGGCAGGAGAATCGCTTGAACCCAAGAGGCAGAGGTTACAGTAAGCAGAGACCCCGCCACTGCACTCCAGCCTGGAGACAGAACTAGACTCTATCTCAAAAAAAAAAAAAAAAATTAAGATACAGTATATTCCATAAATTTTGTAACTTGATGTAAGGGAGTTGTTACATATTTTTCTTCTCTGAAGAGACATCAAGAGTAGTATTCCCACACTCCCTACAGCAACATTCTTTCATTTTATTAGATACAGATGAATGAATGGCTATAAACTTTCAAATGCAATTTCTAGTATGCAAATGGGAGGACATTCTCTAACATCAGAGAATATCAATGAAATACAATTTGACAGATGTGCTCATGATTAAAGAAAATTACTTAAGATCTTATTTGCATTGAGTACTTGGAAAGTCCTTATGAGTCCTTAAATACTTTTTTTTTTTTTTTTTTGAGACGTAGTCTTGCTCTGTCACCCAGGCTGGAGTGCAGTGGCACGATCTCCACTCACTGCAACCTCTGCCTCCCAGGTTCAAGTGATTCTCTTGCCTCAGTCTCCCAAGTAGCTGGGATCACACGTGCGTGCCACCACACCCGGCTAAATTTTGTATTTTAGTAGAGACAGGGTTTCGCCATGTTGGCCAGGCTGGTCTCGAACTCCTGACCTCAGGTGATCCACCTGCCTCAGCCTCCCAAAGTGCTGGGATTATAGGCATGAGCCTATACATTTTTATACCTGGCCAATACATTTTTATACTTGCTATATTATAAATAATTTGTCCATATGGCCTTTTTGCTTCTTGCTGTATACTTTTCTATTTTTACCCAGTGAATTTTTTTTTAACAAAAAACATTCACTTGTCATTTCCAAAGTTTACTCTGTACAGAAGAGGTGCTACCTACGCTTCACTAGTACAATTATGCTTCATTCCTAAGTGCAGCAAAATAAATGACATTACTTTATGAAAATAACTTTTGTTATAAAACAGATTTTTAAACGAGGGTTTTTCCACACATGAACTGGAAACTTCCATAGCTCTATAAGTGAACAGGTAAAATGTTCTTGACAGTCATGTGATGAAGGCAGGTTTAGTTTTGAGGTGGTCTTGAGCTTGAATGAGGGAAGAAAATTCGGTATGATTCTGGACCAGAATATACATGGAGAAACTTTAGTTAAGCCATGCTCTAAAGGGCCTGGGGAGAATGAATTTGTTTCATGGTTATTATAAGTTTTGGGGAGTCACAAGATTCTACAAGTAAATTTTCTCATCTCTAGAAACCTAAGCTGCCTTACAATTACCAATCACATGTGTACCTGTGCTTGGCTGAATATTGATTCCTGTTTAAGGACAGTAAAACGTTTCAAGTAGATGATAGCCTTCTGTGACCCTTTCTTTATGTGTGAATAAATCTGAGCATTTATGAATCTGAGAATTTCTGAATCATTAAGATGTAAAGAGCTTTTCATTCTATCAATAACGCAAGTTATCAAGTTTTGATAAGTGTCAAGATTCCTATAGTTATAAGCAACTTTGTAAGAAAGTCACCAAGCAGCATGATTACAGACTGTTGGAAAAATATTATAATTTTTCTTCATGTAATTGCTTATTAATTATACCACCTACCAAGCATGGCATCTGTCTCAGCACACATAGCATAATAAAATGCTCTAATATTCTTAATTTCTTTTTTTGTAAATCTTCCAGTGCAGTTTTTTGTATAAGAAGAGTAATAATCTACAGGGTGCATTTCTGACAAAGGTGACCACTTTGGGATTTTGATGGCATCATGAGACACCTAAAAAGGGGAGAAAAAACTTAGTTATGCTAGCAAAATAGTGCTATTTCTTTCCTCCAATAAGTATGTATGATGAAATCAACAATGTTTAATTACTTAGAATAGTAGAAAAGAACAGTGTAAATATGTAAATAAAATAGCAAATCAATACATAAATTAGGAACAAATTGTTAATACTGTCATAACAAAAGGTATATATCAATATGTGTATATATATCATGAGATAGTGGTAAAATTTTTAAAAATTATACAGGCCAATAAAAAATATGAGCTATATTAGACAGTACATGCTAATCCAGAAAAGTATCCAAGCACTTTAATATATAGTTGTGTAACCAAAACTTCAGAATCAACAACCTCAGAATACGGACTCCTTTTCTCCAATAATTCACTAGTAAAAATGACAATATCTAGTGAGATAGCCAAGCACTTGTCAAAAACAAATATGACTCTTTAACACATATAAATGCTTATGTACAGTGTTGGTAAAAAAAATTAGAACTAGATCTTGAATTCATATATATTTTAGTCATGTAACTTTCAAAAAGTTCAAACATTTACTTAGTATTTGCTTGAAAGTCATTTAACTCATGTCATTTGGCTAGTACTAACTCCAGACAAATTTTTGAAGATGAAACCACTTAGAACTTTTAAAGAAGATATAAAGTATCTAAAACACTGGCATTATTTTCTTTAAAATAGGATGGACTAAATCGTGTTTCTGATTAGTTTTTTTAAACTAACTTTTAATTTCCACAGGTTTTTGGGGAACAGGCGTGGTTGCATGAATAAGTTCTTTAGGGTGATTTCTGAGATTTTGGTGCACTCATCACCCAAGCAGTATACACTGTACCCAATTTGTATGTAGTCTTTTATCCCTCACGCCTATCCACCTTCCCCCAACCAGTCCCCAAAGTCCACTGTATTATTCTTATGCCTCTGCATCCTCATAGCTTAGCTCCCACTTATTAGTGAGAACATATGATGTTTGGTTTTCCATTCCTGAGTCACTTCATTTAGAATAACGGTCTCCAATTTCATCCGGGTTGCTGCAAATGATTCATTCCTTTCTTACGGCTGAGTAGTATTTCATGGTATATATACCACAATTTCTTTATCCACTGGTTGAGTGATGGGCATTTGGGCTGGTTCTATATTTTTGCAATTGTGAATTGTGCTGCTATAAACACGTGAGAGCAAGTATCTTTTTCGTATAATGACTTCTTTTCCTCTGAGTAGATACCATGTAGTGGGATTGCTGGATCAGAAGGTAGTTCGACTTTTAGCTAAGGAATCTCCACACTGTTTTCCATCGTGGTTGTACTAGTTTACATTCCCACCAGCAGTGTGAAATTGTTCCCTTTTCACCACATCCCCGCCAACATCTATTATTTTTTGATTATGACCATTCTTGCAGGAGTAAGGTGGTATCACATTATGGTTCTAATTTGCATTTCCCTGATCATTAGTGATGTTGAGCCTTTTCTCATATATTTGTTGGCCATTTGTATATCTTCTTTTGAGAACTGTCTATTCATGTCTTTTTTCTTTGAGATGGAGTTTTGCTCTTGTTGCCCAGGCTGGGGTGCAATGACGCAATCTCGGTTCACTGTAACCTCCGCCTCCCAGGTTCAAGCGATTCTCCAGCCTTAGCCTCCTGAGTAGCTGGGATTACAGGTACACACCACCACACCTGCTAATTTTCATATTTTTAGTAGAGACAGGGTTTCACCGTGTTGGTCTGGCTGGTCTCGAACTCCTGACCTCAGGTGATCCACCCGCCTCAGCTTTCCAAAGTGCTGGGATTACAGGCGTGAGCCCTATTCATGTCCTTAGCCCACTTTTTGATGGGATTTTTTTTTTCTTGCTACTCTGTTTGAGTTTCTTGTAGGTTCTGGATATTAGTCTTTTGTCAGATGTATAGATTGCGAAGATTTTCTCACAAACTCTGTGGTTGTTCATTATGCTGATAATTTCTTTTGCTGTGCAGAGGCTTTTTAGTTGAATTAACTGATTAGTTTTTAAAGTAACTTAAAATTGATTTAATATTACACATTTCAAAATACAGGTAGAACATGCATCATGTGGTTTGATATGCATGAATTTCAGTTATCACAGTATTGTTAAATAATACCAGTCCCCTAACAAAATTACCCCGGTAGACTTCAGTTACCAGGGTATGTTAACTGTGAATAACTGCAAGAAGTACAAACTTTCACACTGATATGCTGCTAGCTCTTTAGTATAAATCACTGGGTATACAACAGATATGTATGCCATTCAGTGACTAATCATATTGTTTCTTTTAAAATGTGTCAGTGATTAGTTATCTGGTACATGCACAGACAACAAAGCATGTACTTGTATCCTAGTGATAAATTAATGTGACACTTTATAAAAACAGATAATGAAGAGAAGTCAACAAAGATGAACATGCAGTAAAAAAAGGAAAAGTGACAAGGCTGGAAGTGAAATTCAAATCAAATGTAAATGAAGTTATAGAAGAAATAGCGGAGCTGGGAATGTTGACACTGCTGTCATTCAAGAGACACTAGAAATGTAGCCAGAGGAACTTAGTGAAGGCACATTTACGAGCATAAATGAGGAAGGCTGTTGTGAAGAAAAGGATAAAGATGTCCCACAGAAAGCGATATTGGCAAAATTTTTCACATTAAATGAACTTGGAGATATATCATTACATTGAAAGTGCAAAAGTTAAAATGTTGGAAGGTAATCCAAATTTAGAAAGAAATAATGACAATTTGCCAAGTCTTGGAAAAGATGCTTTCTCTGTATCATAAGTTTTATGATGAGAAGGCAAGCACTCTTCAATCTACTGGCAAGTTTTTTAACCAAAAAAATTCCCTCTTTAATTCTCAATGTTTCTAGTGTTTTCATTATAGTGCACTATATAAATATTAGTTTATTTTTTCTTTTTCAATTTTTAACAAAAAGTAACATAATTCAAAATATTTTGATAAATGTTTTTAAAAGTGCCAGAAAATGGTCATTTTCCCCATTTATTAAGGTTGTTTTATGTGGTTTCATCTTGCATGGTCATTTTTACAATCTGGAATGGTGCAAAGTGAGAGCTGCCTACATTTCTAAGAGAATGCCTTTTAGTTTCTCTGTTTATAGACATATCCTTAGCAAATGAATTCAATCCAGAAGCAGGCTTCTGACTTTTAACACTTATTTCTGTAAAATTGTCCCTTTAGTTTTTATCATACTAGTTATTGGTCAAGTTTGAATATACAATTTTCAAATTTTTCTTTAAAAGTGATAATAAAAGAAACAATGAGCAAATACCAATAAGCCACATATATAAATCTACTTTTGAGCACACACAATGTAGTTACTTACTTTTTCAAGCCAATAAAGAGATGTGTGAAATGTTGAAGATCCAAAATTTTCTCCAGAAGATGGTGAAGGGTAAGGGTGTGGTAAATTTAATCCCAAGTAAATAACAAATGGTTCAGTGTAATTAATTGCTTCCTTTCTTAACCAGTTTACTGCTTTGTCTGTATTCTGCCAATCCCTTTCCATCACTCTGACTTTAGTCCTGTTACGGATAAGATTAACCATGGGCCTGCCTTCTTGTCTGAGTAAGAAAGCAACATCTCTTGTCCACGCTTCCACACGATTACTGAGGGGGCAAAAAGACACATATATTGTCAGGTATATTAAAAAGTTTTAAAAACATACTAAGCATACACTAAGAAAACAACATGGAAAACAATTTTTAGACTCAGTCTTGTAAATGTTCAGAATAACTATATTAGATCTCAAAAAGAAAGTTATTGAGCATTACAAATTAAAATAAAATAGAAAAAAAGCCAAGAATTGAATATTCACTTATGTGTTCTTTAAAACTATGAAAGATTATGTAGAACAGTTAACTTTTCTTACAGCAAGATATTTAAACAAAATGTTTCAGATTCTAGTATTTCTCCTTATTTACTGGATTTTCTAATATTTTTCTTTTTTTCACTTAGAAGATATTATTCCTAACCAAAGCTACTATAATTTCCTTTTATCACTAAACATTTATAGTTTCAAAAATCTACCTACCATGTATACTTCATGTGTTGCTGAAGTTTCAGGTTTTAAATTGTTTCCAGCTCTATCTTTTCTTTATTAAAAGAACAATTTTAACTATAATCTGAGCTATCTAAGCTAATAGTGATACGAATTTCATATCCATTATAAACCAGAGATATTTTCTTTATTACTCATTTATAAATTAAATAATTCAGTTAATTCACTTTCTCAATTAATTCACTTTCTCTAAATCTTTATTTTATCTGACTGCTTGATTTTTCTCAATCAAGCTCTTAAGTATATGTAGCTGACATAATTGGTGAGAAAGCAGTCCTGGGCATTTCTAGGAAGCTTGCTTTTTAAGTTTCTGTTGAAATAGGTATCTCTGAAGTGATCTATCAATTGAGAAAAGTGTTTTAAAAATCCAGATACCAACTCACAAATAAAAAATATTTTATACTAAAACATAATACTCCACTTAAGAGAAATTGCAATTCATACAAAATGACTAACCACCCATATATAAGCTAAAATAGAAAAATTTTATACCCTGACTTCTGAATGCAGGTAAATAAATTTAAATAGCTATAATAAAAATTCATTTTTCTTTGTAGATATTCAATATATTTTGATAAAAATAAAAAAACCATAATTTCAGCAGAATTACATCTAACAGATTCTAATTAATTCTAACAGATGGGAAACCCTAAAATAGGAAGTTTTGTATTCATCACACCATCAAAACAATCTGACACTGGCGTCTCATTTTGCTTAAATCATAGCTAACTCTTACTATATGTGACTATTAGTATTGTTGCAGAGGTGGAATTTTACGGGTTTATAACACCAGCAGTATGTGTGGTAGAACTCAGATTTTGAGAGAAGGAATAGGACACAGATTTATATTCTATGTTTAGGAACCAAAGTACTTTCTTTTCAATCAGAGAGTATTACATGAGAAAATATGGCTGAGAAACTATTACAACAAGCAGGCTTTTAATACAACCTAATTAGTTGCCACTCCTTGGATTAACTCAGGTTAGACTATTGTCCTGATTGTGCTAACTGACCTAACCACTGGACTTCACGATGTAGTCTAGACCATGAGCGAGTCTAGACCATCTCAAAGAAAGATTTTCAAGCCTTGAAAGATGGCTATATTGAACCCAGCTTGCTGCATCTTTTGCTATAACAGTGATTAAGTGTGACATCATTTAACCTTTCTGGTAATAAATTTATGCCTTCTCCTTATTTTTTTTAACTGTGTTCCTGAGATTCTTTTAACCAAGGTCCCCTTAAGTGTAAAATGGCTCAAATAAAGTTAATTTTGGCCTACTGTAATCATTATGGCCAGATTTCAAACTTGGCTTTATAACTAAATAATATGCGATTGTCCTCTAACTAAATAATACGTGATTCTCTATTATCTTAGTGGTATCCTCTCTTGCCTTTTCATAAGCATGGCTTTAGCATGATTCCCATAATTGCTGGTACTTAAGTAGA
This sequence comes from Homo sapiens, assembly GCF_000001405.40. Classification (NCBI taxonomy): domain Eukaryota; kingdom Metazoa; phylum Chordata; class Mammalia; order Primates; family Hominidae; genus Homo; species Homo sapiens. Next base: position 95,581,017 of record NC_000005.10, on the reverse strand, counting down.
GTTATAACAAATGATTTCAAGCACTGTTAAGGCAGCAGAGACAAGATTATGGTTAAAGGCAAAAGGTATTTTTACCTTTCTCAAACTTTTTCACTTCTTTGATTAGTTGACCCACGTTCACTGTGCCTAAAGTGTAAAATAACAATTTATTTCTTTGCAAATTAGTGAGGAAGAACATGAGTATAAAGTGATGTATTCAGTAGATGAATATACTACAGTACTTTAAAATCATTTAGCACTGTTTAATGTATTCAAAAAAGATTAATAATTATAATCAATGACTCTCCATTCTACTTTCACTACTTCCTGGGCCAGCCCAACCTTCCTGGGCCATCATGAAACACAATAAGAGGAGTAGATGCAGCCTAAGCAGTAGGCTGCTACAGGAGCTGCAATTCTTAGTCCAGAAAGTCCCTCTTTCCGGCCCAAGCTACCTTCCAGTCAGTGAGTCCAACGAGCAAAATATGGAATGAGAATATGAATATGCAACTTCATAATCTATTACAATTACAATAATAAGATAACTCTTTTGACATTATAATTCTCTCTACTAACCAATGTATCCAGCCCCTTCTTACAAGAGTGATGGTCTCTTAATCAGGCTAAACTATTGCACCTGGAAATCATATCTTTCGCTCATATGCTCAGAGCTACTTCTTTGTCTCATCGTTCTAAGTGTTCTTCCCCGCCACCAGTAATTGCTATAACTTTTTCCAAATAAAAGCTTTCTAATTACTTAACCACTGGGGGTATTTTGAACCAATTTTTTTACCATTCCATTTCTATGTATTTTGTCCAGAATACCAAGAGTATGGTTTCAATCAGGACAATTAAAAAGGACTTGCATCAATGAGGAGGATCCAAAACTACCTGTGGCTCAGATATTTTATGATTCAATGGCTGTTCTCAATATAAATTTACCCTGCTGCTTGCAATAGGCACAGCTATACAATGTATAGTTTCCTCTACGCCAGCATCTCTCAAAGTGTAGTACAGGGATCCCTAAGGATTCTCAAACACTCTCAGTGAGCCCATGAGGTCAAAACTATTGTCGTAATAACAGTAAGACGTTATTACCTTTTTCATTCTCATTCTCTCATTACACACAGTGTGCAGTGGAAGACACCACTCTAATCTATCCTCAGGTAGGAGCTCAGATATGGAGCATACCTATCTTGAAGAAGATTGTCCTCTACAAACTTAGAGAGGCTTCAGTGTTTCATTATATCATGCCCCTCTTAAGTGGCCCAATGTCTACTTCAACTCTTTATAGAAATATAAGAGGGGCTTTTCTTCTCAAAGGGATACAAATAATCATCACACATTTCTGATAAAGATATTCACAATTTGTGAATCTTGTCCTACTTCCACCAGAGGTCCAGTTCTTTATATCCTTGCTACTCCAAGTGTGGTCCATGGACCAGCAACATCAGCAGCTCCTGGGAGATCCCATAATTCCCACATGTTGTGGGAGGGACCTGATGGGACTCATTGTAATTGAATCATGGGGATGGTTTCCCCCATACTGTTCTGGTGGTAGTGAATAAGTCTCCTGAGATCCGATGGTTTTTAAAAGCTTTCCCCTTTCACTTGATTTTTCATTCTCTTTTGCCTGCTGCCATGTAAGATGTGCCTTTCACCTTCCACCATGACTGTGAGGCCTCCCAAGCCACATGGAACTGTGAGTCCATTAAACCTCTTTTTCTTTCTAAATTACCCAGTCTTGGTTATGTCTTTAATGGCAGCATGAGAACAGACTAATACACTATCCTAGACTCACTGAATCACAAAGGGCATCTAAGAAGATGCCCAAGTCATTTGTGTGTATATTAAGGTTTGAGATGCACAGTTTAAGAATTTTTTTCTGCAGAAATCCTCAAATTTTAATCAAAATTCAATCAAAATGGAGGATAATCAAAATGGAGCTTCAACAGTAGCCTATAAATAGGAGAATTATTCTATCTTGGTTCAATTCCAGAAAACAGGTGATAGCCAAATATACTAACCAACAATCAGCAGTTAAATTAGTTATTTTTAACAACAAAAAACTCCTCACTAATACAAATGAAAAACAAAACTACTTAACACATTACCAACTAATTTTTACATAAATTTGTATATTTGCCATTACTGTGTGGGTTTTCTGTGGCAGTGTGCCAAATTCTACTGCTAAAATATTGGATACAATCAGTTTACAAGTAGCACAGGATTAGTTTACATAGTAACAATTATATCTGAAAAAATATACCTTAAAATTGATGATGAGACTATCACAGTTTTCTTTCCACATGAAGTAGGAGCCTAAACATAAACCTTCAGCTTCCTAAGAGTCCACTGAAGATGATTAACTATCTCAGACTTAGAATTCTGTGATCTCTCTCTTTTTCTCATTGTTATTGATGGGATTATAGCAGCTAATGTGTTTCTGGTAAGTCTCACAATCAAAAAATTGGAAAAATGATAATTCTGAAAAATGCCCTTGCAAATCTCTGTATCGACCTAATAAATTCTGTAAGAAAAAAAAGGATCTATATTCATTCCCATTAAATGCTCTTTTCTGGACTTGGTGTGGGGGCTCACATCTGTAATCCCAGGGCTTTGGGAGGCTGAGGTAGGAGGATTGTTTGAGCCCAGGAGTTTGAGACCAGTCAGGGCAACATAGTGAGACCTTGTCTCTACAAAAAAAAAAAAAAAAATTCTTCACTGGGCATGGCGGTATGTGCCTGTGGTCCTAGCTACTTGGGAGGCTGACCAGGGAGGATCACTTATGGTCAGGAGTTTGAGGCTTCAGTGAGCTATGATCCTGCCACTTTACTCCAGCCTAGGTGACAAAATGAGACCTCATCTCTTAAAAAAAATTCTTCTCTCAAATTTGAGAGAAACACACATACAATTTTTAAAAGGATTTACAAGGCTGTCATCCATCTTCTTTACATATGATCACTCCCAAAAACAGTCTGTTTTAGTTGACTGAATAACATCTACCCTGGCAAATTCAGGTTGGAACATCATTTTAAAATATACGTTATTTAAACGCTCAAAATATGCATGCTTTTACATTTATTACTTTTATTAATTACAACTGTTTCATTTTTTGGTAAAATTATAATAGCTAATGCCCCTTAATCTTTTCTTATTCATGCATTTCTTTGCAAATATGATTAAAATCACAGATTTTTCTCTATTAAACAGTAATATTACTTATATCACAAATTATATTGGTTATATGATAATAATGATAGTAAATATATTTCAAAGAAAAGTTTTGTTTGCATGTGTGTGTGTGGAGGTGAGTATTCAGGGATTTTATCTTGTGAAATCTCACCTAGCCATTTTCTGGTCTGCTTGTGAATTCATCATTGTGGAAGCACTAATATTTACAACTTTGAATTCCTAGATGACTATAGCCCTTGACAGAGTATACATGTTTAATGTAGTCTGAGCTTAAACAAAGGCAGCCTTTTTGATTCAATTAAAGAAATAATGAATATGTGCTACATGCAAGACATTGATCCAGGCAGGTGCTTAATGAGACTTGCTAAGCTAACAAATTGGTATTTCCACCTCATAATCACTCAGACATAAAACTCTCCTACTATTGTACTTTTAAAAATAAATGCCAAAGACTACTTTATGGAAAAAACTGTAATAAAATACTTTAGCTATGAATCTAAAAATGGTTTAGATCACATTCACCATTTTATATCCAAAAGGAGATTATTTTTCTAATGCTTTTAAAGTAATTAACATATCAATTTGACTATAACATTTACAATTTTTGTAAACCTTTGTTTTTCAATATTATACAGAAAATGTAACCCAGACAAAATGCCATCAAATCTGAAAAAATAAAGCGGGTGGGTTATTGCCAGATTATCTGTTGTTAATAGAATTTACTAAGCAGTCATTGCAGCAGACACATCACCATATCCACAGCTCTTGCTGAAGGAGTGACCTAGTTGGCCACATTATGTAGGATTTAACTCCCTTTCTAGCCTGTCGACTGGCCAGGTATGGGCACCTAACGTAAGCACTAGCACTTAACGTGGCCAGCACTTAACTTATGATGGAGTCTTGCATGAAATATAAGTTAGGCCTATCATCCCTATTTACAGAATTTAAATTTAGAAAGAAAATAATCCAGTAACTGGAGGTTTTAAAGATGCAGCTGTGAGGTAGAGAAAGAGTCACAAGGGAGATGGAACTTGAGCCAAAAAGGGTCTGGCAGGTCAAAGTTGGGATTAGAAGTGATATAGCTGAGAAGACCCAGAGTCTGGGTAGTTTTTTGTATTTCTAGTAGAGACAGGGTTTCACCATGTTGGCCAGGCTGGTCTCGAGCTCCTGAGCCCAAGTGATCCACCCGCCTTGGCCTCCCAAAGTGCTGGGGTTACAGGCATGAGCTACTGCGCCCGGTTCCAATCCAAAAAACTTAATGAAAATGATCACCATATTGAGAGTACTAAGTGCAAATCTCAGTCAATTTTTAAGTCTCAGAATAGAAGACATGAAAAGTATAGACTTGGCTGGGCACAATGGCTCACACCTGTAATCCCAGCAATTTGGGAGGCCGAGGCGGGCGGATCACGAGGTCAGGAGATCAAGACCATCCTGGCCAACATTGTGAAACCCCATCTCTACTAAAATACAAAAAATTAGCCGGGTGTAGTGGCATGCACCTATAGTTCCAGCTACTCAGGAGGCTAAGGTAGGAGAATCGTTTGAACCTGGGAGGTGGAGGTTGCAGTGAGCTGAGATCGTGCCACTGCACTCCAGCCTAGTGACAGAGCAAGAATCCATCTCAAAAAAAAAAAAAAAAAGGTATACACTTACGTGAGACATCATATCAACAGAATGAAGGACGAAAACCATATGATCATTTCAACTGATGCTGAAAAAGCTTTTAATAAAATTCAACATCCCTTTATGATTACCCACCCCCCACCACAAAAAATACTGGGTATAGAAGGAACATACCTCAACATAAAGACACATACAACAGACCCACAGCTAGTATCATGCTGAATGAGGAAAAACTGAAAGTCCTTCCTCTAAGATCTGGAACACAACAAGAATGCCCACTGTCACCACTGTTATTGAACATAGTACTGGAAGTCCTAGCTAATAAGATAAGAGAAAGAAATAAAGGGCATCCGAATTGAAAAGGAAGGAGTCAAATTATTCTTGTTTGCAGATGATGTAAACTTTCATTTGGAAAAACATAAAGACTCCACCAAAAAACTATTAGAGATGATAAGTTCAGTAAAGTTGCAGGACATAAAATCAACAAACAAAGATCAGTAGCATTTCTATATGCCAACAGCAAACAATCTGAAAAAGAAATGAAGAAAGTAATCCCATCCCATGAAGTAATCCTTCAGAAATGAAGAAAGTAACCGCTACAAAAAAATACTTAGGAATTAATTAAAGAAGTAAAAGATCTCTACAATGAGCATTATAAAACATTGATGAAAGCAATTGAGAAGACATAAAAAACTGAAAAGATATTCCATGTTCATGGATTGGAAGAATCAATATTGTTAAAATGTCCATACTACTGAAAGCAATTTACAGATTCAATGCAATCCATATCAAAATACCAATAACATTCTTCGTAGAAATAAACAATCCTAAAATTTATATGGAACCACAAAAAAGAAAAAACAAACAAACAAAAAACAACAAAAACAACCCAGCGTAGTCCAAGCTATGCTGAGCAAAAAGAACAAAATTGGAGGAATCATATTACCTGCCTTCAAATTATACTACAGAGCTTTAGTAACCAAAATAGCATGGTACTGGCATAAAAACAGACACGTAAGACCAATGGAACAGAACAGAGAACCCAGAAACAACTCCATACACCTACAGTGAACTCATTTTTGACAAAGGTGCCAAGAACATACATTGGGGAAGGAACAGTCTCTTCAATAAATGGTGCTGGGAAAACTGGATATCCATACGCAGAAAAATGAAACTAGATCTCTATCTCTTACCACATTAAAAATCAAATCAAAATGGATTAAAGACTTAAATCTGAGACCTCAAACTATGAAATTACTAAAAGAAAGCATTGGGGAAACTCTCTAGGACACTGGACTGGACAAATATTTCTTGAGTAATACCCCACAAACGCAGACAACTAAAATAAAAATAGACAAATGGGATCACATCAAGTTAAAAAGCTTCTGCCCAACAAGGGGAACAATAAAAAAAAAGTGAAGAGACAACCCACAGATGGGAGAAAACATTTGAAAACTATCCATCTGACAAGATATTTACAACCAGAATATATAAGGAGCTCAAACAACTTAACAGGAAAAAAATCTAATAATCGGATTAAATAATGGGCAAAAGATCTGAACAGACATTTCTTAAAAGAAGACATACGAATGGCAAATAGATATATGAAAAGATGCTCAGCAACATTGATCATTAGAGAAATGCAAATCAAAACTATAATGAGATATCGTCTCAGCTAAAATGGCTTTTATCCAAAAGTCAGGCAATAACAAATGCTGGCGAGGATATGGAGCAAAGGGAACCCTCAGACACTGTTGGTGGGAATGTAAATTAGTACAACCACCATGAGGAACCATTTGGAGGTTCCTCAAAATACTAAAAATAGAGTTGCCATATGATCCAGCAATCTCTCTAGGTATACACCCAAAAGAAAGAAAATCTGTATATCAAAGAGATATCTGCACTTCCATGTTGCTTACAGTACTAGTCACAATAAGCCAAGATTTGGAAGCAACCAAAGTGTCCATCAACAGACAAATGGATAAAGAAAATGTGGTACATATACACAATGGAGTACTATTCAGCTATAAAAAAGAATGAGATCCAGTAATTTGCAACAACATGGATGGAACTGGAGGTCATTATGTTAAGTGAAATAAGCCAGGCACAGAAAGGCAAACTTCACATGTTCTCACTTATTTGTGGGAGCTGAAAATTAAACAATCGAAGCAGAATGATGGTTTACCAAAAGCTGGGCAGAATAGTTGGGGTGGGGGCAGTGGGAATGATTAATGGGTAGAAAAAAAAATGGAAAGGATAAGATCTAATATTTGACAATAAAACAGGGTGACTATAGTCAATAATTTAATTGTACATTATAAAATGACTAAGAGTATAATTGGATTGTTTGTAACACAAAGGACAAATGCTTCGAGGGGACGGATACTCCACTTACCTTGATGTTTTCATCACGCATTATATGCCTGTATCAAAATATCTACTGTACTCCCTAAGTCTATATACTTACTATGTACATACAACAATTAAAAATACTGCTTATTTTGACTTGGCTTAGAAAAATATTAACCTACATGAGCAGACAACATACATAATTACAATGGTAAGATGAAATGATAGGGAATTTGATTTTAGATTTTCAACAAGACAGAAGCTAGGAAAAACAACACAGCAGCTTGTTTAATTTCTCTTCTGATAGCATTAGAATGTAAGTTCCATGACACTGAAGAATTTTGTGCTGTGATTGCTATTGTATTTGCATCATCTAAAAATAATGTCTGGCACATTGTAGCTGGCTCAAAAATATTAGCTTAGTGGATACTACAAATACCTGATTTTACTTTTGTAACTGAAATAAGGGTCATCTCCTAGTCTTAGTACTTTAAGGAATTCTACTTAATATTAAATTTTTTATTATACTGATGTTAGAAATTTAGTTTTTAAAATTTTCCGTATAAAATCAATTACCTCCTAATTCTTTACACTTTCTATACACAATTCTATACATTTTTTGTTAATTCTAAAAAAAAATTGATGTAATAGTGTTAAGTGGATTTGATCCCTTAGAATATGAAAGAATAAACAATATTTAAAATGTAGGCAATTATTTTAAGTGTGACATTCCTAAGACCAGGCTGACGAGCATAAAATGTCTAGTTTTAGACATGTTTTCTCAATCTCTATACTAAAGACATTTTGGACTTGATGATTCTTTGTTAGGGAAGGGGCTGTTTTCTGCATTATAGACTGTTTAGCAGCAACCTTGGCCTCTACCCACCAGATGCCAGCAAAATAACCCCGGTGTTATCAACCAAAAATGTCTCCAGACATTGTCAAATGTCTTCTTGGCAGCTAAGGGGTAGAGGTGGGGGTGGTGTATGGGGGTGAAGGGTGACCGCCCTCAGTTGAAAACCACTACTTTAGGAATAGATAGGCAACAAAATTTTACCTGAAGGCAAATACAAATGTTTCCTTTTTTTTTTGAGACGGAGTCTCGCTCTTTCACCCAGGCCGGACTGCAGTGGTGCAATCTCGGCTCGCTGCAAGCTCCGCCTCCCGGGTTCACGCCATTCTCCTGCCTCAGCCTCCCGAGGAGCTGGGACTACAGGGGCCCGCCACCACGCCCGGCTAATTTTTTGCATTTTTAGTAGAGACGGGGTTTCACCGTGTTAGCCAAGATGGTATCAATCTCCTGACCTCGTGATCTGCCCGCCTCGGCCTCCCAAAGTGCTGGGATTACAGGCGTGAGCCACCGCGCCCGGCCCAAATGTTTTCTTTCAATTGATAAGAAGACAGCAAATTTGAACTTAAACCTGTTATAACACAATACATATAATGTGAAGGGGCAGATGAGTATCAGAAATTTATAAAGCACTTAACTGTACTCCATTGGAGTTATAGAATTTCAGAGTAGAAGAACTTTTAAAGCCATCTAGTGAAAGCTCATCTGACTAAACTGGGATTCTAAGCAGATAAATTACTTGCTCAAGGTCTTATCATCAGTAAATGGCATTTTTATGAGTAATACTACCAGTATCTCTTTAACAACTGTCCAGATGAAACAACTGTGCAGCCCATAGCGATCCTAGTATGGTGTGGTGTGTCATATATAATAAGGGACACTTAATTAAATTAGTGTTCCTAAACTGGTACAAGAAGGAAGCATCGCTGATGCCTAAAAAAGACAGATGGAAGTATTATAATAATAAAGAAACCTGTAATTCTGGCTGAAAATATAAGCAGGTTCAAAAATGGCCAATTTCAGTAATAAAGAATTATAATAACTTGCATTTTGATTTTGAAAGTCAATCTATCAACAAGACTGAATGCCCCTATTTATGAAATTTGATATTTGAGAGACCATGTTTTGTTCTGAGACCCATTTTTAAGTTTACACTGAAAAGTAATGTGCTATATAATTCATATAACCTTCAGACATGCTATTAACAGCAACCTTGACCTATTTGTCAGCCAAATGTCTGTGTGGGTACATACAGCGCTCATAAAAATACTCCTGGTGGCTTATTTCAATTTCCTAAGCTCTGATGAGAGTGTGAGTAAATGAAAACATGCTTTAAGCAAGTATTGCACTGAAAACCATCTTTGACATCCCAAACATCAACATCTAAGTGTTTTTTTCCTCTACTAATTTTAGAATTCCACATGACAAAGAAAGAACTCCTAAATATTAATATTTAAAGAATTTTAAACAGTTAAAAACAGGATATCCTCTATTAGTTGTAGATATATACAAAATACTAATGAACAAGTGATATGATCCTGTGTTACACAGAATATCAATGTTTATCAAATAATAAACTGTAGGTACTTCAAAATAACTTTTTCATTCATCAAAAATTTAATTATGAACCTACAATGTACTGGCACTATGCTGGCAAATGGGAATAAAGCAGAGAAGAAGAGATAAGGTCTTTGCTCTGCATGGATAATTATCCTGCTGCGGAATATAAGTCAGGTCATATTTTAACCATGTCACATAGAAGAATAAAAGTTACAGGGAATATATGGCATTCAATCTTAGATTTCTTTTATTATAAACAGTTGTATCTTACTTTAGATTAAGCTTACATTCTAAAAAGGAGAAAGATTTTAAAGAGAAATTTGTGAAACTCCATAAAGTAACTAGCAATGCAAAGCACTTTAGAAAAATGATGGTTATGGCCGGGTGCAGTGGCTCACGCCTGTAATCCCAACACTTTGGGAGGCCTAGGCGGGCAGATCATGAGGTCAGGAGTTCCAGAACAGCCTGACCAACATGGTGAAACCCCATCTCTACTGAAAATACAAAAAATTAGTTGGGCGTAGTGGCCCATGCCTATGATCCCAGCTACTCAGGAGGCTGAGGCAGGAGAATCGCTGGAACCCGGGAGGCGGAGGTTGCAGCGAGCCAAGATCACGCTATTGCACTCCAGCCTGGGTGACAGAGCGAGACTGTGTCTCAAAAAAAAAAAAAAAAGATGGTTATATAAATGTTAGACTGCAATTCTGGTTAAGCCATTTTCATAATAATAATCTTTCCATTGAGTAAATGCTTAATCTGTGCCAGGCACTGTTAAATATTTTATATTATTCCGCTTAATCCTTGTATAGTATCTTTTAACTCATATAAAACACAGTCATCCAATGAGGTAGGCATCATAATTCTTACAGATAACTTACAGAACACTGACACTTAATGCCAGGTAACTTGCCCAAGAATTCTTACAGAACACTGACACTCAATATCAAGTAACTTGCCCAAGGTTACAAGGATAGTGAGCAGGGAAGCTGGGTATCTGACTGCTCTGATGGACACAAAGCCTGTGCTCCTCCTCCTACATGTACTTCTTCTCCCTCCCTTTCTTTCTGATATTAGCAGGGAAGAGTAGGGGAACAAGATTTTGCACAGAGAAACTAGCTCATGCAATAGTCCAGAAGTAGTGAAAAGCATATTAAGGAAAGTTTTAAAAGACCAGGTGCATACTGAGGGATGGAGAGAGTGGTATGAAATGAGACTGGAGGTAGACAGGGGCTAGATCATGTAGGGTCTCATAAATCATGTTGTGGATTTGGGATTTTAACTAACCTGAAGAGAAAAACCATTGAAAGATTTTAAGCAAGTGTGTCATGTAATCAGACATACATCTAAGAAAGATCATTCTGGTTGCCTATAGAAAATGGGTCAGATAGAGTAAGAAGAGTCCAGGTAGAAGCCCATTTTAATAGTTTAGGCAAGAGATGACAGTAGCTTGGTGGAGAGAGTTGAGAAGTGAGTAAGTTGGAGAAATAATTCAGAAGTAGAACTGACTACATTTGGCAATGCATTAGAAGACAGAGTAAAGAATAGGAATGTCAGGATTGCTTCTGCATTTCCTGTACTGCCATCTTTTAGATTTTGGAGGACAGAAAAGGGAAGAAATTAAACAGTAACTAGGAGAGCAATTTTAATGTTCAGATTATTTTAGATTATTTTAGTATCTGTTTACCCAAAACTCACTGTATTCATCTCCTAGAACTGTCAGAATAAATTATTGCAAACTGTGTGGCTTAAAACAACAGGAACCTGTTCTCCCACAGTTCTGGAAGCTATAAGTCTAAAATCAAGGTGTCAGCAGAGACACATTCCCTCTGAAGACTCTGGCAGAATTTTTCCTTGCCTCTTCCTAACTTATGGTGACTCCTGGCAATCTTTCATCCTTTGGCTTGTAGCTGCCTCACTACTATCTCTGCCTCTGTCTTAACATTGTTTTCTTCTCTGTGTGCCTATGTCCTTGTTCCTCTTCTAATAAAGACAGCAGTCATGATTTCATCTGGAGATCCTTACTAATTACATCTGCAAATAAGGTCTATTTTCCAATAAGATCACATTCTGAAGTTCTTTCTAGGTGGTCACGAAATTTGGGGGAACATTATTCAACTCACTACATTCATCAACTATTTTTGTTAACTTAATTTTTTCTTATTATTACTTATCATCATCATTAGTATCATCATCACCATCACAACAACCATTACAAATAACCCTCAATTAGCACTTGCCTAGGTAAGAAAGAGGCACTGTAATCCCTAATATGTATTCGTGTTGGGGTTCACAAGTGTTGGGGGATCCCAAGATCACACCGAAGTTCAGTAGGAGGAATTGCAGGACCCAGAATACAGCTGCGCTCATGGCTATAATTTATTACATAAAAGGATACACAGCAAAATCAGCAAAGGGAAAAGGTGCTTAGGGCAAAGTCCAGAAGAAACTAGGCACAAGTGTCCGGTTGGAGTCTCAGAGGACATAATTCTTCCACCATCAAATTGCGACGACACATGTGAAGTGTTGTTTCTGCTCATTAGAGAATCAGTACCCAAGTTTTTTAGGCGGGGGTGCTGATTATATAAGCACCCTCTACTTCGCACATACCAAAATTCCATACTCCTGGAAGGAAAGCTGGTATTCGGCATAAACCACAATGCACAAATGCTCCAGGCACACAATAGGCCACTCTTATCAGTTAAGGAATAGTGGGAATACTCCAGAAATCCAAGTTCCTAGATGCCAGACAGGGGCCAACCTTCCAAGCAGGCCTTTCTAAGGAGAGCAGTCTCAGGCCTCCTATGTTAGCTCTTTTCTGAACTTATTGATACATTTAATCCTCACAGCAAAGAAATTAAAGTACAGTGTCAACATTTAGACAATGTGTCCAAGATCAGACTACTACAATGCTAGTAGTAAACAGAAACTATAATTCAAAAGCAGGCAATCTGATTCTTGACCTCTACTCTTAACCACTATGCTTGGCTGCCTGGTTTTTGAGGACTTAGTAAAATGAAAGAAAAAAAAAAGTTACAATAGACTCAAGTTAGAGAGAACTGACCAACGAAAGCAGCAAGAAGGCTATGGTTTTAAAAACAGATTTTAAAATTAATAATACAGTAGCCATTAAAGGAAATTCAATGAAAATAAAGCGTGGGCTAAACGAGTTTACAAACACTATTTATAGACCTTTAATGCTTAAGAAAAACAAAATGACTAGTATATTAGCCATTTTAATGTTTTAGGAAGATGAAAGAAAGCTAAAATTTCAGCCTAATTAACACAATGAAGGGATTAAGAGATTTACTTTCACCTTTGTGGAAAAATAAAAAAATTAAAGTCAAAAAGAGTACATGTACACGCTATGGCAGAGGGCAGTCCATGATGATTATTTTTGTTTTATTTTTACCTAATGGAGTGATGTCCTGAAGTATAGTCCAGTTTCCCAAATTTCTGTGTTCGGTAGCCATGCCTCTCCATGACATCCATCCATGTTGTATAATTTGGATCTAGACCCTTAAAATTATTCCAAGATTCTGTTAAGTGAGTGAAGAGGCCACTCCACATTGCTGAGAAAAAAAAAAAAAGGAATTGGGATTAAGGTAAAGCTTAACAATTTAACTATTAGGACAATTACTCTGAGAGAGCAGTCCACTAGTGAAGAGCTTATGCTCTGCAGTAAGACGTACCCAGATTAGGTGCCTTACCAAACATTTCTGATTGTTACCTCATTTTATCAGAGTGATACTCTGTGGGGAGTTACTATTTCCATTTTACAGATGAGTTGACTAACGCTTAGTGCTTAAGTTACTTAAGGTAAATACAGCTGGAATTAAATACAAAGCATGTGTGACTAGAGGCCTCTTTCAATCATAAAAACAATCCCTAAGTATTTATTGGTTAATTTTCTAAATCAGACAATTGAAGTACAGATCTCATTTCCCCAACATCCTTAAGGATCTTCCCTTATTCCCTGTCCTTTTGCTGGCTTTCCACAAAAAACGTAGTGTGTTATGCCTTATCTCTCACTTTCTACAACTATGATTGTTTATTCAATAAACACTTTTTTTCCTTTTCCCATTTCTGTGTACATAAATAGAAAGTTAGAATAAGCTTTCTGTTTTCATCTAGCAAGATGTTTTCTGAGAGGTGGGATGGGGGATTACCTGGGTTTGAATCCCAATAACACCAGTTACTGAGTGGTCTTTGACAAATTATTTGACCTTGCTTACTCTTCAAAATATACTTCTTCCAGGAAAAACAACATCTAACATTTTGAGACATCTAGGGTTCATTGGCCACTTTCTCATTCGTTATTTAATGTGATGCTCAGAACAACCCTGTGAGGTACACAGTATACACAGCAATTTGCAGATAAGAAGACTGAGTGACTTGCTTGAGGATTAGCATCCAGGTCATTGTCTCACCCTAGCCCACTGCTCATTCTACTTTACAGTTAACAAAACTGTTTTTTAATATGCCTGGTCCTTCATTATTGAAATATCATTTACAATATAGTTTAGTTTCTTTTCATCACTGGTAATAATATAGTTGTTAGTGTTGAAAATATAGGTGAAAGAAGTTATAACTCAAATCACAGAGAAAATCATCTCATTTACAGACAAACCAAATCACTGAGTGCCATTTATGTGTTCCAAGGCAACAAACATAAACCAGAAGACAGGGGAAAAGGAAAACAACCATCAGACAATAGATAGAATTTATAAAAATGGCAGTTTTTTCCTATTTGTTAATTATTCATGGCTTAATGTCACTGACATTCTGCCAATAAAACTATGCCTATTTGTTAAATTATTATAATAAAAGTGAACAATTTGACTTGGGATAAAAGTGAATTGAGACGGAAAGAAAGAGGTAAAGTATGTAATCTGAAATAATAAGAAAAAATTCAGGTAAATCTGAATATAAGTTGTAACTACTTTATGGTATACTCTAATGTTCATAGAAGTCCTCCCAATTACCTATACCGTTACTGAAAAATTTCCCTGGAAACAGAACTCTTCTAGGAAATATGAGTATTCCCTCATTTTCTTGGATGGCCAAAAGATTCTTAGTCCCCAGTCACAAGGAAATAAAACGGTAACACATGAACTAGACACCTTTCTAAATGATAAAAATTCCTACTCTTGAAAAATACAATTTGAACAACCCCAATAGCCAATATATACCTTAAAATGCACATCTTTTATATTAAAACAATTTTATTGAGGCCAAATACAACTATTCTACTTTTAGGTATAATCTTTTAAACTGTGAATATATTTTCAGTGTGTAGCCACTTTCTCCCATTCATATTAAGGATGTTCATACCTGCGCGTGATGGGCAACAAATTGGAGAGTTTGTGTAGGCATTCAGAAAGGAAGTCCCACGTGTCTTCATAAAGTTGATAAAAGGAAGTTTCACTACCTGACTTCCTGGATGAAATGTTAACCTTCCATCCTGGAAATAAAGAAATTTAATTAGCATTGATTACATTACCAAAGAAGAAAATTATTTTCTTTAACCATAAAATTTACAATAGCAGAAGACTTCAATATGATTTTAAGAATCCTCCAAAGATAAAAACAAAACAAGTATAGAGGGTGTTTCCAGTATCTGGTACATAAATAGCTAGAATTCAGTGCAGCGTTACACTTGGATTCATTTAACTACAGTAAATAAAGGACTTCCTGGAATGTTCTTTTGGGGGATGATGAACTGACTAAGTATTTATTGAATACTTAACTATGTGCCAGACACTGCAAAATCTGAGGATGCAATGGTGAATAAAACAGAGTCTTAGGCCCCATGAAGCTTACAGTCTAGTGGGA
Organism: Homo sapiens; assembly: GCF_000001405.40. NCBI lineage: Eukaryota > Metazoa > Chordata > Mammalia > Primates > Hominidae > Homo > Homo sapiens. The sequence goes on along the minus strand of NC_000005.10, from coordinate 95,565,626 downwards.
GAGGCAAAAAGTATACTGGCAAATAAACTATGAATAATTACAAATTATGACGTGTGCTTTGAAAAAAATCCGAGATACAGAAGGACAAGAGAGACCTACGTTAGACAGTGTGGACAGGGAAGCCTTCTCTGGGATGTATGAGACCTAAAGAATGAACAGGATCCAGCTATTCAAAGAATTTAAAGGACATACAAAGTTTGAGATATCTGTGAGATGGAAGTGGTGATATCAATTAGGCAGCTGGGGTGGGGTGTGGTGGCTCATGCCTATAATCCCAGCACTTTGGGAGGCTGAGGTGGGAGGATAGCTTGAGCTCAGGAGGTCAAGACCAGCCTGGGCAACACAGGGAGACCCTGTTTCTACAAAAAAAAATTAGGCAGCTTGATAAGTGAGTCTGAAGATTAGGAGATGTTTGGGTTGGAGATATGCATTTTGGAGATGAACTGGGAATTGAAGAACTCACGTTGGTAAAGAGCAAGAACAGAAAAAAGAATGTTCCAGTCCTGGAGTTCTATCTATTATATGTTTTCAACATAATTATAAATAAATTCCAGTTTAGAACATGAGCCAACCCAAAATATAGAATATATCTAAATCCTTGAGATAGCTGAGATTCCCAAATAGAGATATAAAGTAGGCTGTTGGATACAGATAGGAATCTGGAGTTGAGAGAAGTCTATCTTGGCGAAATAAAACTTGGGAGTATTTAACATATTCATGGTTTTGAAAACTGTGAGATTAAATAAAACCTTTCAGGGAGAGAGAAGGAGGGGAAAGAAAAGGGTCTAGAGGAAGCTATAAGGAGTCCCAAATAAGAGGGGAAACAGCATGGGAAACTGAGAAAGAATGGCCAAGGGAGGAAGATGTGAGGAGACCGAGTGCCATGACAGCTGAGAGAAGGCAGTGTGCCAAGAAAGAGGTAACATCTGCTGTGTTGAGAATGCACCTGAAATGAGGCCAGAAAATGCACATTGGAATTGGCAGTATGGAGACAGCTGGTGACCCTGACAAGAGCACTTTCGATGCGTGGTAAAGATGAACAGCTAAACTGGAAAGGGGAAGGAATGGGAGGCAGGAAAGTGAGGCAGCAGGGGGAAAAAAGAAAAGCTCTTCTGAGAAGTTATTTTGCAAAGCAAAACAGAAAAACGGGAGGGATGTTAGAGAATGGTGTGTTAGCTGGAAGAAAATGTGGGATTAAAGTCAGTTCTTTTTTTAAGATGGGGAAAATTATGCATGTCTTATGTCAAAATAAATTACCACTTCTAGCAAGAGTA